>NC_000006.12:25514545-25817575 GCF_000001405.40 Homo sapiens
GTCTCAAAAAAAAAAAAAAAAAAGCCACACAAGTGTGACTTAAAAAAAGAATTGTAGATGTATCTTCTGATTGAAACTTAACAGATAAAGTTAAGGCTGAGTGTGGTGGCTCATGCCTGTAATTCCAGCACTTTAGGATACCAAGGTGAGAGGATCACTTGAGCCTGGGAGTTCAAGACCAGCCTTGGCAACATAGTGAGACCCTGTCTCTACAAAAAATATTTTAAAATGAGCCGAATGTGGTGGTACGCACCTGTAGTTCCAGCTACTCAGGAGGCTGAGGTGGGAGGATGGCTTGAGCCCAAGAGGTCAAGGCTGCAGTGAGTGGTGATTGCACCACTGCACTCCAGCCTGTGCATTCTGCACAGAGCGAGACCCTGTCTCAAAAAAAAAAAAAAGATAAAATTAAAGGGTGATGATCAAAAAGATCTGAGATAAGCTAATAGGGAGATGTGGTATAGGGTTAGGAGCATGAAATCTGGAACCAGTACATCTGGGTTTGAATCCTAGTTCAGGTGCTTTCTAACAATGTAACCTTGGTTGAGTCACCTAACTTTTCTGTTTGTTGGTTTGGGAAATGGGGATAACAGTAGCATCTAAGCAATGGGTTAGTGGGAAGATTAAGTGAATTAATATACATAAAAAGCTTAAATGGTGGTTAAACATAGTAATTGTTCAATAATTGTCAGCTATTATTAATCCTGGCTGGCTTTTATCTTGTATTTGTCCTCTATTAGTATTTTAAGGTGTCATTTCACCTTGTATAAAAATAAAATGGGTATAAAGGGTGATCATATTAAGCTGAGAAATTTTTGTTATGTTTTTATTTATTTCATCCTATCCTCTGCTTCACGCTGGCAGTTGTCAGCCTGCATGTCTTTCCCTGGCTTCCCTTAAAAGAGAAGTGGTAGGTATTCAGCATTAAAACACAAGTTCTCCATCTTTGACTCCAGCGGTCCATTTTGTGCCAGAACCTTAAGTTTCTATCCACGAGTGTCTTTTAGGTAGTAGTTCTAAAATCAGACACGTGCAGTAGGTCCATCCCCTCTCATTCTCCACGAAATGCGTCGTGGAGAGTGGGTGCTGCTTTGATGAGACTGCTGAGTGCCGTGTGTCATTTGCTCCGCAGCCTCTGCAGTCCTTGTCCCTGGCTGACTCGAAACTCAAGACTGAGGTCACCATCATCATCAATGCCCTGGGAAGCAACACCTCCCTGACCAAAGTGGACATTAGCGGCAACGGAATGGGGGACATGGGAGCGAAGATGCTGGCCAAAGCACTGCAGATCAACACTAAGCTCAGGTAGGCAGATCCCACCCTCCCTGCTCATGAGGAAGGCTTGGAGCAGATTCCGAACAGCAAGCATTGCAGAGCTGCTGGGCCCGAGGGGACCTGGGCTTCCCATGAGGCCATCTTGAGGAGAAGAGGTGACAATGTCAAGATTTCTGTCAGAATAATGAGGAGGCTGTTCCCAAATTTAGAAGTAGTGATTCCTTCGGTCTGTTGTCTTATAGTTCTGTTGTAAGGTAGAACCTGACTGAGAACTGCCACAATTTCCTATTTCGCATCAGTGTTGATAGCTGACCAATGTGGGGGTAAAGGCAGTGAGAAGCTAGGAGGGTTTTGTAGGCAACACTAAGTGAGCAGAGCCCATACTTCTCTGTGAGCCCAAGGTCTTAACCCCCTTGCTCATGCCTGCCGATATAAAGACTTAAAAACAAGGGGTACAAAAGGTCTGCTGGTTCAAAACCCAAAACCAGGCTCACACTGGGTGCTAGCTGTTCTCTTTAGCAGTTTTATTCCATGTTTCCTAAGTGTGGCTTTTCTCAAGGACTAGCTCCACTGTCACCTTGTTGCCATCCATCATTCAGAGAGATTGGTGTTGCTACCTAGGTCAGCAGTCTGGTGAATGAAGAGTTAATTCACATTGCTCCTCAAGGGCTCTTTCATGATGTTTTTCTATTCTCCGGCATAAAAGTCTAAGCTGAAGCCAAAACCCAAAATCTGCAGCAATTTCTTTGAAGGTCAGTATGTGTGTAAAGAAGGTCATCGAGATTAGGAAGGGAAGGCAGTGAAAGTTGTGAGGCCGGGATCATCCAGACAAATAAAAGCTATTTTATGTGTCAGGGTGAACTGACAAATCCTAAATACCCCTGAAGTATACACATTCTGAAGGTAAAGTAATATTTTTCTCCCCAAATAGATTTTGTGTTTAAAAAGCAAACAAACTCCTGTTTATAGTAACTGATGTTTTGCCAGCAGAGTGAGGAAGTTCCTAGGATTACTAATTAAGCCATGTCAGGGAAATAATGAAAACACAAGGAACTATGACAGATTCTCTCTAGTGTTTTAGAAACACTAGTGTTTTACTGTTTGGGGGGAACAATCTCAGTAGCTGAAATTCTTTATATTGGGCATGGAACTGGTTAGCATCTTTTGTAAATAGCTTCCACCTCAGACATAAATATAAGAATATGATTGGGAGAATATCAGAGAAATATCAGAATTTAGAGTTTTCTGTCTAGTGAAAGTTAGATAACATAATAGTAAGTGAACATATGTGCTATTGCTTTAAGTACAGTTTTTCCATACTACTTGCGTGGTAAATGTGTTACGAATATAATATTGGGGGAAATGCTTATCCTTGTTTTGTTAGAAATGAAGATGAACATTATTCCTTGCTCACATAATGCAGCTGTACTGAAATATCTACACACTGCTGTCTATAAGAGGTTTATATTCAATGTGAGAATCATTTTCTTTAAGTGTCTGATCATTTATGTGATTTGATTTTCAAACAGGACTGTAATATGGGACAAGAACAACATCACTGCACAAGGCTTTCAGGATATAGCTGTTGCTATGGAAAAGTAAGTTTGAATTAGGATTTCTTTCTAGGAAAATAAAAAAACAAAAACCAATGGTATATATGTTACCTGTTGGGTAATAGAATCAACTGTTTATTGGGGATCAGAAGATCTGGGTCTGAATTTAGTCTACAGCTAACCAGCTATGGGATCTTGGAAGACATTGAATTTCTCCTGGTGGGAGTTTCCTTATGTATGAAATGAGGGCACAGATGCCTGTTCTGCCAAAAACACCACACTGTCGTGAGAATTAAATGAGATCGCGGGAAAGGGGCTGTGTGAGACTTGCCTTGTTTCCTTTCCCCTTTGTGGAAATTGTGTAGATTTCACAATCTACACTAGGTCTTGTTCTTTTTCCTATTGTGACACCTTTGAATTCACTGGTGAGAAGAAAGCTGAGGTCCAGAAAATAAAGGTGAAATTGATAAATGGTAAGCCCAGGGCTAAGTTGTCTCATTACTATGAAAGACTTTCTTCATTACTTCAGTAACTAAAGCCTGCAATTATTATTTATTGTTGAATTTACTTTCCCAGTAAACTAAATGAGAAAATAATAGTAGACATAGTTGAAAGTAATACTAGGAATGTGGTTCTTTCTGGGCTTTTCGATCCTCATATTGTATTATAAAGGCAGAAGTGAACAAAGCAGATTTATAGCATTAAAAATGAGAGGCTATAAAATATGGGTGAAAAATAAGGGGCGGATGGCATAGAAGCCGTTTCCCTGGGAAAGGGGAGGAAATGCTCATTATTTTGTGTTTTTCCAGATTCCTTGTATATGTGAGGCCTCCCAGGAGGGCCTCTCATGCCTGACATGGTGTTGTGGTACAACCCTAGACTGGGAATGAGGAGTCCTTCATTCAGTCTTCAGTTCTGTCACCCACAAGCCTGTGATCTTGATCAAGGCATTTTACCTCTCTGATTAAATCTTTTTTCATGAAATGAGAGGATTAGGATAAATGATCTCTAAGCCCCTTCCATTTCTAAATCCTGTGGCTCTACTTCAGCCAGGAGTTCAAAGTTACTACCATTACAAAATCACAGAGACTCATCTCTCAGCCCCTTCTCTGTGCTGACCCCAGGGCATCACTAAATAGGGGTAAGGCAGCTTAGACTATCAGTTTTGCATTGCCACTGCATGATTACAGACCCACCTATGGTTACTCCTATTGCACCACAAAACCCCAAATGGAGACATTTATTTACACTGAGCTGCATCTGGATGCTAACAGCACAGTTGCCACCCTGATGTTGTTGTAGACTGCCAGTGCAGGCTGGTGTTTGGAAGAAGCCAGGAGCATGCACAACCAATACTCAGCATTTCCAGATTGACTGTTGGACTCCCTTGATCACAGTCGATTATATATGCTCTGCTCCAAGATGCCAATGCTTCAAAATCACATTTGGTTTAAATAAACTATGCTGGTCTGTAACATGATAGAAATTGGATGAGGGAAAGAAAAATTGTCAAGGCCGTAAAAAAGACATATCGTCTCTTAGTTTCATTTGGCTGGATTTTCTGAAGGCAAACAAAAACAATTTTGCTAAAACAAAGCTAAGATAAAAATTAAAGCAATAGAAATTACAGCTTTCTCTTTGTCTGATTATTTTACATGAAGCTACTCTATAAGTTGGACTGGGTGAATATTTTTTTCCATTAGCCCATCTAGACTGCTACTATTAACTTGATGGTTTTCTTTATTATTTATTCTTTATTAGTACCTTATTTTGGGAGTTAGTTGCTGATTTATTCTTTTAATAGATGTCGTCTAAATATGGCTGAGAAGCACACGTGAGTGCTGCTGATAGTTTAGAGTCCTAAAACAAGGCAGCTACTGTGCAATTTTAATGTCCCAGTTGCCACCAAGTAGCCCGAGGTGAAATTGAGCTCTTCCTGAGCACCGTGTTGTAGAAATGGACAGATGCATTTTGGGGTGGAGGACAGAAGTCATCTCTAATACTGGCATTTGTGGTAGGTGAGCAGGTGTTAATGGTCATCTGAGCACATAGCAGTTTGCAGCAGGGTCAGGATCAAAGGCCAGGGACCAGCTTCAGAGTTCTGTGTGTTTTCCTCACACAAAAATGGCTCACTCCTGCATGTTTGTGTTTAATAGGCCTGCCAGTAGCAATGGGATAATATACAGCAATCAACAGTTGCTTCATTTGGTTTCTCGAGCCTGGTGGACATTAGCTCTTGAACTCAAGCTGAAAGGACCTGCAGAGGTCAGAGTGTTTAGCCAGGCAGCAGACCCTTTCCCAGCAGCTTTAAAAGAGATAATCCCATGTATACTGGACATCTTCATTTAATGGAGCCCAGAAACTTAATAGACTATTTTGTGGATGCTAATGGCTTGCTTTGCAAGCAAATGTTTTGTTTTTATTTCTGTTTTTTTCCTTTACCAGTTTGGGGCTGGTTGTCACACATAATCACTGTGGGGACCCAGGTAGAGTCAGATCTATTGGTTACTAAAACCCATGTAGCAAGTTGATGCTGGACTTTCCCTAGGCTTTCCCTCAGTTCATCTTTTCAATCCCAGTGTGAAAATTCTGTCCTTGATGGAATCCAAAATTAAAAACAAAACAACAAAACTGCATTCCTCAAAGTTGTGTCAGTTTTGTAGGTAGTGTGAGTTGATGTGGTTGCCTGTGGTATTTGCACATGTGGTTATTACAAAGGATAATCTGCAATCTAGGGGCCTAAATGGTCTGGTGGTTTGGAATTTTCTAAGCTACTCTTGCAGCTATCCTTTTGGATTTTTAAAAGAAGAGTGCTGAATTAAGGTAATAGGAAGTTATTTTTAAATAAGTATATTATTTTCTCCTTTTTCTAGGAACTACACATTAAGATTTATGCCAATTCCTATGTATGATGCTTCTCAAGCCCTAAAAACAAACCCTGAAAAAACAGAAGACGCTCTGCAAAAGGTATTAAAGAATCAGTAGCTTAATTACAAGAAATTCACATTTGAATTGTGGTTATGTTCCTGAACTTATAAACAATACTTTGTTATTTTACGAAGTTTTTTTAAATTTTATTTTATTTTTTCACATTGTCTTATGTTCTTATGACCACAACTGGGGTAATGCATGACTGGGGGAGGAGTAAACTAAGGAACACTAAAGCTTGCCATACAATTTAAGTGGAATAAAAAAACATTCTTACAGCATCAACATGCCAGAGCTTAAGTATAGTTAACTTCTTGATTGGCTGGGGGAGAAATGTGTGGAACTGAGTATCAGTTTGCACAGCTTCCCTCCTCTTCATCCTCAACAGATGGATCCCTCTCTTCTTTTTTCATCAAGAAATTTAGAGTATTCCTGAGCTCTCACTTTACCATCCTCATCTATAAATGTATGTAAATCTACACCTATTCCTGCCTCTGTACTGGCAAACTCAGAGGTACCTTCCACTTCAAAGCCCAGCCATTCCCTGGTGCATTTGACCCCCTTATTCTGCCCTGTGCTGGAAACCTCTGAATCATTCCCTTGCTCTTCCATATCTTCATCCTTCTCTTTTTATGGCCACCTTTCTCTGCATTTTAGATGTGCTCAAATATTTCCCATCTGAAGATGCCTACTCCACTCACACTGTGGTATTATTTGAGGAATCTTTGAACTTTTCCAACCTCCTTTGTTCTTTCTCCTTGGCGATGTCATCCAAAAGACCACCAAGATGGCTAAATTTTAGAAAGGAAAGCTTCGTTAATGTTACTGGTTTGCAAACTGGGAAGAGACAGTCTCTGGTGTGTGCTGAATGTGCTCCTCTCTTCAAAGAAGGGAAGGGCAGGTTGGGTTTTATGCTTCACAAGGCCTGCATCGTACAGCCGAGTTGTACATATTCAGCAGGCTTGGGGGGAAGCTATACATGTTTATGAGGGGAGCAGAGTGCATGTGCAGTGGGTAAACATGTAACATACATCTCATATTCACTTTGGGGTGAGGTTTTAGCATTAAAATGAGGGTGATTTTGGTTCTTTATGTTAGAACTATAGTACACAAAGACAGTTTGTGAGCAGCCTCTGTACCCTGGCTGAAACTGGTTTAAGGTCTGCAGTTACTTATCAATAAAGAATGTGGATGGGCGCGATGGCTCACGCCTGTAATCCCAACACTTTGGGAGGCTGAGGCAGGCGGATCATGAGGTCAGGAGATCGAGACCATCCTGGCTAACACGGTGAAACCCCGTCTCTACTGAAAATACAAAAAATTAGCCTGACTAGGTGGCGGGCGCCTGTAGTCCCAGCTACTCGGAAGGCTGAGGCAGGAGAATGGCGTGAACCCGGGAGACGGAGCTTGCAGTGAGCTGAGATCCATGCCACTGCACTCCAGCCTGGCCGACAGAGCGAGATTCCATCTCAAAAAAAAAAAAAAAAAAGAATGTAAGGCTGGCCCTCTGTCCAGTCAGAGTCGTAGTGGTCTGGGTTGTAAATCACAGTAAAAGGGATCTGATAGCTCCTGTTGTTAGGGAGTTTAGAGCTGTAGGGATTTAGAAATTTGCCTTGCCAGCTGGCCCTGAACCCTTACCCCATAGGTAACTTTGTTTCCTTAACCTTAGGGTCCATCTTAGTTGATGAAGGAGTTGCTCAGATCACAGTGTTACCACCTTCCATCTAGTGTTCCAAAGTTGACTTTCCTCTATCATTTCTTCCTTAGCTAATCAATCAGTAACTCTACCATTGTGTAGCATAAATCTCTTCATTAGCTTTCCTTCCCTCTGTTCCCATTATGGATACCTTCCTTCAAGTCTCATCATTTCTTACCAGAATTGTTGTCACATTTGCCTCCTCTTGTCAGTTTTACATATTGCAATAAAAAATAGCCATCCTATTTCATGGTAAATCTGAGCAGACTAAAATCTTTACTCTATCCCTTCCTAGTGGCTTTCAGGATAAATAAAGCTGGGTCTCCTTAACATAGCAGGAAATTCTGTCCAGGATCTGCCTCCTGTACACTTCCCACTTCATCTCTGGCCAACTCTTTTGTTTTGACCTGTCTCAAGGAACTCGTTAAAAATGCAAATTATTAAGCCTCAGAAACTGGGGTAGGACTTAGCATTTGTGTTTTCACAAGCTTTCCTGGTGTTTGTAAGTTTGAGAATCCCTACTGTATTCCAGACATCCTTTTTCTTTCCTGACTACCATGCAGGTCTGTTGAGATTGAAATCAAGTGTCGGCTCATCCAGGAAGACCTCTCAGAGGCCCTTTCCTTCTCTAGGTGTGTGGTCTTAGGATTTCCTGTGCTCCTCTCTGTCATTGGCCTTGCAACATTGATTTAAGTTACCTGGCTCCATGTTTTATTCTCCTAATGGTCTATGAGTTACTTGATGGCAGAGCTTATGTATTTTTTCATCTTGCTTATTCTCACAGCACAGTGCCTAGTATGTATGACTGGATACTTCATTGATTGATTGATTGGTTGACAGGGTCTGGCTCTGTTGCCCAAGCTGGAGTGCAGTGGTGCAGTCATGGCTCACTGCAGCCTCAACCACCTGTGCTCAAGTGATCCTCCCATCTCAACCAGGACTACAAGCGTATGCCACTGTGCCCAGCTAATTTTTAAAAATTTTTATAGAGACGAGGTTTCACTATGTTGCCCAAGCTGGTCTCAAACTCCTGCACTCAAGTAATCCTCCTGCCTTGGCCTCCCAAAGTATTGGGATTATAGGTGTGAGCCACCATGCCTGGTCGCTTGAATGCTTTTTAGGCATATGTTGAATAGAAGACAATATGATTGGAGATGAGAGAGAAAAAAGCTGTGGTATGGCAAAAGAAATCAAGATTTGAATTTAGAATATCTGACTTAAAATTAAACTCGTCCCATAACCTTCAATAAGTTACTCAATTTTTTTGAAATTTATTTTTTTCAACTGTATAGGTAGGAAAAATAAAGCTATGTAATAACTATGTTTAGCTGACAATATGTAATTCTTACTGGGTGTCTGGCACTATTTTAAATGTTTTACATAAATTAATACATGTAATCCTTAAAATAAATGATGCAGTAGGTTCTAGTATTACAGATATGGAAAACAAAGAGTAGGAAGATTAATTTGCCTAAGGTGACCATGAGGATCCAGTGAAACAGTATATGTGAAAAGGAGTTTGTGAAAAGCTACATAAAAATATTAGATATCTTTATAATTTCCAATAGGATACTAATCAGTTTTGAATAAAAGACATATTCTAGAGAAACCAGGTTTCTGGTTTCAGATTTGAACTCTCAAGAGCTTGGAAGTTATCACTCCCATCCTCACAACAACAAAAAAATCTGAACAAACAGAAAACCAATGACTTTTCTTAGATCTGTCAAAGAACTTAAGCCACAAGGAAAACTATCACCCTGAAAACTGGGGACTGGAAAGAGAGGTACAGAGAATCACAGTGAATCATAGCCAAGATCAGCTTGCCAGGAGCTGAAGCTAGTAGGATAATAACTTACAGGACCACTTAAACAGTAAGTGATGAATTGCCAGAGACTTAGCACAGACTAGCTTAAGAGCCAAAAACTCCTAGGGGTCCAGTTTTAGGGAACCCCCACCCTTTCATGGGTTTTATTTCCATGAGTCCCAATGGGCTATCGCAGTAAAGATTGGAGAAAAATTTCCTTTTTTTTTCTGGCAGGGGGAAGGGTAAAATAACCATTTTGAAATATACTCAGAGCATTCTCTTCTAAATAACAAAGATCTACCAGCCAGAGAAACTACTTTAGTAGGACCTTACCTGAACAGGGGAAAGATGATTAAACAACCCGCCCTCTCTAACCTGTCTCACATAAGGGATAGGGTTGAAAAGGATAAGAAATATTTCCAAAGGCCATAGCCCAGGGACCAGGATTGCTTAAAAACAAACAAACAAAAACTAATCATAAGATTATAGAATACTTCCCCTTCCTAACACCTTATCACCATGTCAAGTAAAATAACAGTGGATTACAACTGAGCAAACTGCAAGACACAGATTGTAATTAAGAAAGAGTTTCTAGGGAAACCCCAAAATAATGGGATACAAAAGCAAGGACACTAGAGGAAATCAAAGCCTCTGGCATATACAGCTACAACAAATACTAAACAGAGCCCAGCTCTTAGCCAGTTAACATATAAAACCTCACACTAAAAGGCTGATTACCTCAGGTTGTATTACCAGGTATGTCATTTTCAGCTTTCAGCCAAAAATTACAAAGCATGTTAAAAAGCAACAAACACAGTGTGAAAGAGAGAAAACAAGCATCAGAACGAGACTTATCTATGATACCAGTTTTGGAATTATCAGAGCCCTTAAAATAACCATGATTAAGTTGTTAAGGGCTCTAGTGGAAAAAGCAGACAACATGCAAGAACAGATGGGTAATGTAAGCAGGAGATAAAAGCTCTTAAGAAAAAAAAATTAAAAGGAAATACTAGAGATAAGAAACCTGTAACAGAAATGAAGAATGCCTTTGATGAGGTTATTGGTAGACTGGACATGGCTGAGGGAAGAATCATTGAACTCTAAGATTCTTCAATAGAAACTTCCCAAACTGAATTGCACAAAGAAAAAAAGAAAAGAAAAGAACAGACTATCCCAGCACTGTGGGATAATTACAGAAGATGAAACTTGCTACTAATGGGAATACCAGAAGGAAAGAAAAGAGAGAAAGGAACAGAAGAAACATCTGAAGTAATAATGGCTGATAATTTTCTGAAATTCACAACAGACACTAAACCACAAATCCAGAAAGCTCAGAGACCACCAAGCAGGATAAATACCAAAAAAGCACCCATAGGCATAGCAAATTCAAAATGTGGATAACCAACGACAAAGAGAAAATCTTTAGAGAACATAGACTAAAAAAACACCTGTGTATTGAGAAACGAGGATAAGAATTACGTCACTCTTTTTGTCAGAAACCATGTAAGTAAGAAGAGAGTGGAGTGAACTATTTAAAGTGTTGATGCAAAAAACCCCCAGCAGCCTAGAATTCTATATCTAGGAAAATTATCCTTCAAAAGTAATGGAGAAATAAAGACTTTCTAGGATAAACAAAAACTGAGGGAATAATATATCACTAGTAGATCTGTCTTGCAAGAAATGTTAAAAAGTTCTTCAGGGAGAAGGAAAATGATATAGATTACAAATTGGATCTGCATAAAGAAAGGAAGAGTATCAGAGGGAATAAAATAAGGTAGCATTATATTTTTCTTATTATGAATGATGTAATAGATGACTATTTTTTCAGAATAATGATAACCACAATGTACTGGGTGAATGTGGTATAAAGGATGGAAAAGGAATTGACAATATTCTGTTATAAGTTACCTACACTACTCATGAATCAATATAGCGTTATTTGAAAGTAGACTTGGATTATTTATAAATGCATACTGCAAACACTAAGACAAACACTAAAAACTTTTTTAAAAGGAGTATAATTGATGAACTAGGAAAGAAGAGAAATGTAACCATACAAAATGCTTAATTAAAACCAGAGACAGTAGCAAAAAAGAAAGATAAAAGAAACAAAGGACAAATGTAATAGATAGAAAACAGTTACAAACATGGTAGATATGAATCCTACTATATTAAGACATAATTGACAGGTCAGAAAATTGAAAATAGGTATAGAAAATGGACATTCAGGGCCGGGCGTGGTGGTTAATGCCTGTAATCCCAGCACTTTGGGAGGCCGAGGCGGGCGGATCACAAGGTCAGGAGATCAAGACCATCCTGTGAATGGTGAAACCCTGTCTCTACTAAAAATACAAATAAATAAATAAATAAATAAATAAATAAATAAATAAATAAATAAGCCAGGCGTGGTGGTGGGCACCTGTAGTCCCAGCTACTCGGGAGGCTGAGGCGGGAGAATGGCGTGAACCCGGGGGGTGGAGCTTGCAGTGAGCCGAGATTGCGCCACTGCCCTCCAGCCTGGGCGACAGCACAAGACTCCGTCTCAAAAAAAAAAGAAAATGGACATTCAGGACAAAATATGCAGATATGTTAACTGTAAAATTTGTGCTTTGTTAATAAAAAAATAGGTGACTTTAAAGCTTATATTTATTGGTTTCTTTTCTCTCCCCTCCCCTTTCCTTCCCTCTCATTCTCCTGTTCTTCTCTCCTCCTTCGCCTCTCATCTCCTTTTCCTCTCCTCTCCTTCTCTTCTGTTCTTTTTTTTTTTCTTCTGAGACAAGGTCTCACTCTGTCATCCAGGCCAGAGTACAGTGGTGCAGTCATGGTTCACTATAGCCTCAAATTCCTGAGCTCAAGTGATCCTCCCACTTCAGCCTCCCGAGTAGCTAGAACTACAGGAGTGAGCCATAATGCCTGGCTAATTTTTTAATTTTTTGTAGGGATGAGGTCTTGCTATGTTGCCCATGCTGGTCTCAAACTCCTGGGCTCAAGTGATCCTCCTGCCTCAGCCTCCCAAAGTGTTGGGATTGAAGCATGAGCCACCACACCCAGCCTATTGGGTTTTTTTGTAAAATTGCTGTGTTCTTACATATTCAAGTTTTTATTTTAACAGGTGGATTTTTGTCTTCTGGAAAAAATATGACTATTTACTTTTACTCTACTGAAGAAAAAAATACTGTGATTCAATACTCAATCTTAAAAACACACACACAAGATTCCTTTACTAAAATACAGATTTTTTGTGTTTCGTTTTTGCTTCTTTCGCTGGTGCTGTTTTCAGCAGTGAGACCAGAGATGTCTGACTAGCTCTAGGTTATCTCCCAGCTTGCTCTCAGCTGTCCAGGGGAGCCCAGTAAACCTGACAATGACACCTTTGGTCCTTCAGGAAGTGGGTTTTTTTGTCCTTAGTCTGAAATGGTACATGCAAGCAAAGTTTGCTCTATTAATCTAAGATGCAAATAATTTTGGTGGTGGTGTATACAGGCCTGGTATTAAAGTCACTTGAAAATTGTTACTATTTCTTCCTTTTGAACTGGAAGCACCACTGGTGCATCTGGGGAAATGTCTGGAAGGCATGAGCCAGCCTTGGATGCACTGCCTGTGTGTGAGATGAGCCTTCTGAGAAAGCAAACTTCTCTTGGACCCAGCCACAGCCAGTGCTGCAGTGAGGCCAAATGTATAAGAATTAATAAAGCAAAAGGACCGGAAGCTGGGTGGTGGTGTGTGCCTGTCATATATTTCAAGCAAGAATCTTTTCAGCAAAATATTTTGCATTGATAGTCATGTCACCTTGGAAAGAGATGACTTCTTGGGAAGCAGCAAGAGAAAGTAATGTAATATACTGTCAAGGCATTAATGTGCCACTTTAATGATGTTTCATTTCAGGTATCTTTTCGTTTTTGTAATTTCTTCATTTATGTTTAATGGAAAGGTACATTTTGTTCTGCTTTATATTTTCAAGGGATCGTAATTATAGTCTGTATTTTAATAGTTTCTAATTGATATTAAGTAATAGTCATTTTAGCATATGGAAAATGAAAATTAAAATGTAAAAATACTTAGCGCTTCAGAGTTATTAGTTAGTTCTTAACCAGGGAACTGCTGTGGCAAATTAAAAGCCAAATGGTTAAGTGATGTTATTAAAAACAAACAAAACCAACAAATTTTTAAAAATAGATGACAAAATTTACCAACCTCAGATTATTCCTTTAATAACATCTTTATAGGTATCCATCATTCTTAATAGTTAACCTTGCATTTATGTTAAATATGTATTTATTGCATATTCTTCTTGAATGCTTATTTTAATCTAGTTATCATTTATACCTTTGAATTTTTCATAGTAGATAATCTATGTATAAAAATACAGAAATCTATTTTTTATTTGCTATAATTTTAATAATTCAGTCCTGTTTTTGAGAAAATATGAACATTTGATGGGTTAATGAAATTAGTATATATCTTTGAGTTGTACCAGCCTGTATCCTTCAAATCTTGTTGCGATTCTTTCTCTCTCTTTTTACGTAAAAATAAAGCATTTTCTAAGTGCTGATACATTCTACAGCTGGAATAAGGCTATAAGAGATTTAGAGAGCACCACCCTTATTCCTTGGGGATATTTATTTAACTTCTGAACTGTGGAGTAGTTAAAAATTCATGTGAGAGAAGGATTGAGATTGTGTGCTGAAAGTGATGAAAACTCACGAAGTGGGGTCTCTAACCCTTCAGGCAATTAAAAGCTTGCTTATCTTTTTCAACTACTGAGTTACACAAAAATTACTCCAATTACCTGCAAGTTGAATCTCTAACTAAAAACACCAGTACTCACAATGAAAGCCAGTTTCTCCATCCCATGTGTTTTGTGGGGTCAAAGCACTGGCAGGATGTGTATATTCACGCTTCGGTTTTTAAGTTCGGCAACTGACTGTTTCACTTATACTTTATTCTCCGCTGGGTTGAAATGTATTCTTGAGGGATGCCTGTGCTTTATTTCCAGATAGAAAACTACCTGCTACGAAATCACGAGACTAGAAAATACCTTCAAGAGCAGGCCTACCGCCTGCAGCAGGGTATTGTCACCAGCACCACCCAGCAGGTAAGCGAGCCAGTGCCTGTGACTTCTCCTTCTATTCTTAACTGACCCTCTGAGAGCAAAGGACTTCTAGCATTCGAGTAATTTCCAATGGGTCAATAAGAACTAGTTTTTGAAAATGACAACAAATCTAAGTAGAGTTTGAGGGAAGATACTGAAGGAGGAAAAGGTAGGCTAATTCTAAGGCTAAATATGCACTTTTAATTATCAATCAACAATTGCCAGTAAGATAGGTTTCTATACAAATATTAGGAACTTTTGATTATAATAGATAATAAAATCTGAAAGTGATCAAATTTGCTACTTTGGAGACATTCTGTTCCTTTCTCTTTATTCCTTCACACTTCCATGGGTAGAATACAGATTCCCAGATTTTATGTTCACAATGTCAGGTTCATTAAAAAAAGAAAAAAAATTCCGAGATTCTTTTGAAGAAAAGTTTGATGAATATTAATTAACACATGCTGAAGAGAAACTGAGGTGTTTTTCTCTTATACTGCATTCCTCTTCTCTCTACCCAGCTTTACCAAAGAAACAGAATTATAATAATTTAAAAAAATGTGAAATATTTCTTTTCCAAAAATTAACCAAAACCAAAAATCACAAGATATTTGAGGAAAACAATCTATGTGTCAAAGAGCGAGATGAACAAAGGAATTGAGCTCAGATAATGCAGAGTACAGCAGAGAGCTTTAAAAAAAATTGTTATTGTAAGTTCATTGGGACTGCAGAGAATGATACATCCATAAAATAAGAATAGGCTGCTAGAATGGCGTGAACCCGGGAAGCGGAGCTTGCCGTGAGCCGAGATTGCGCCACTGCAGTCCGCAGTCCGGCCTGGGCGACAGAGCGAGACTCCGTCTCCAAAAAAAAAAAAAAAAAAAAAAAAAAAAAAGAATAGGCTGCTATGAACAGGAGTAGTCAGAGAATAAGAAACAATGCTTAACAATTAAAATTGTGATACTGTAGTACAGAATTAAATAAACTGATGGACACAAACTAAGCTGGTCCTCTGGAAGAAAAAGTAGAGCAAACCTTTATAGCTTATAATAAAAAAAGACATTAAAAATATGAAAGCAAAGTAGGTGAAATGGTGAATTGACTTAGAATAATCAACAGCCTTCTAATGGAGCTTCAAAATTATTATAAAAATGAGAGATATTAGAGGACAGGAAAGAATAGAAAACCATTTCATATGAGTCTCGGGGTTGATATAACCCACTAGAATTGATCAGAATGAGTGGGCAAAAGGACCCACACCTAAATATATCTTGGTGGAATCTCAGAACACCTAGAATACAGAAAAAAAAAAAATCTTAAAGCGTTCCAGAAAGAAAAGAGTTCCAGGCCAGACACTGTGGCTCACGCCTGCAATCTCAACGCTTGGGAGGTCGAGACAGGTGGATCACAGGAGTTTCAGACCAGGCTGGCCAAGGTGGTGAAACCCTGTCTCTACTAAACATACAAAAGAAAAAGTAGCCAGGTGTAGTGGCACAGACCTGTAATCCCAACTACTTGGAAGGCTGAGGCAGGAGAATCGCTTGAACCTGGAAGGTAGAGGTTGCAGTGAGCCAAGATTGTGCGAGACTCTGACTCAAAAAAAAGAGTTCCAGAAAGAGTAAATCGGCTATCTTACAAGGGAACTAAAATCAATTCTTAGCATCAATCCCAATTAGTAGACGTAAACGAGGTAATGTCTTCTTCCTCGTTTGGAAGCGGATTTATTTTGGATCAAAAATTCTATACCTAGACGTTTTCAGACATGAACTCAGAAATTCTATTCCCGTCATATTCCTTATGAAAAAAAAGTTACTTGAATAAATTCTCAAACAGAAAAGTACGCAATATGAGGTATAAATAGGATATGATAGCAGAGATGAAATCGTAGAAGTTATACAAGCTGAGAGAAAGTTTTTAAAAATCGCTGCTTTGGGAAAATCTACTTTAAGCTGCAGGGTTAAGGGATTGGCGTGTCTTTCTCTGGGGCAGCCATAATCACAACTTTATAGCTACATTTTAGAGGGTTTAAATTTTTAATGTTAGACAAGAATGGCAAGCTTAATTATTGCTACATAACAGATTGTAAATGTTGAAAATCGCAATAATGTAAAGGTAACGAAACAAACTAAAATTAGAAGTTTAAGAGGGAGAAAGTTGAATGGTAGTGTAAGTATGCTAAATGTTTAGTTTTTATTTCGTGGAATCAACTGCTATTTTCTGTAATTCGTAAATCAAAAACATAAAAATAAGTATCCTATTTAAATTTAAAATGGAAGCCACCAGAGGAATTAAAGAGGCAGAGGCTTTCAAAAGAATTTTTCTCTGCAAATTGAAAAGAATTGACTAGTAGGGAAATTTTTGTCATTTTAGACCATGTTGAATGGTTTGCATTATTTTCTTACCTTGTTACAAATGTTATTTAATTTTTTGTTGCTTCTTCTTTGAAAGAAAGATGTCCATAATAAAAATGTCATGCATAATATTCCAATTAGGTAAACTATGGGTGACTGTATAGATAGGCATAGAGACATGTAAAAGGGTGTTCATCACAATATTAATGATGGTTATTTTAGGTGGTATGAAAGGTGTATTTTATTCTCTTCTCAGTATGGTTTGAATGTTTTACAGTAAATATGCATTATTTAAGCAAGAAAAAGTAAACCAATATGTGTTGAGAAGAAAAGTTATACTAGTGAAGTAGCAGGACTTTTGAGAAAGAAAGCCATTATTTTGACCTTACCAGTCCCTTAAAAATCTAATTTCTTTTCCTGCAAGGAACTAATACTACTAGCCTAGTATTTTATGGTTTACTATTATTAACAGGTTTTAGTGTTTAACATGAAATGCAATGAAAGTTACACTGAAACTTTGTCTTGTGTTCCTTTATGAGCTACAATAATAAAGACTTCTCACTCTGTCGCCCAGGCTGGAGTGCAGTGGCGCAATCTCGGCTTACTGCAACCTCCGCCTCCCTGGTTCAAGCAATTCTTCTGCTTCAGCTTCCCGAGTAGCTGGAATTATAGTTGCCCATCACCACACCCAGCTAATTTTTGTATCTTTAGTAGAGACAGGGTTTTACCATGTTGCCCAGGCTGGTCTCAAACTCCTCACCTCAAGTGATCCACCCACCTTGGCCTTCCAAAGTGCTGGGATTATAGGTGTGAGCTACCATGCCTGGCCCAAGACTTCTTTTCTTTTCTTTTTTTTTTTTCTTTTCCTTTTTTTTGAGACAGAGTTTCACTCTTGTTGCCCAGGCTGGAGTGCAATGGCGCAACCCTGGCTCACTGCAACCTCTGCCTCCGGGTTCAAGCGATTCTCCTGCCTCAGCCTGTCTTTACTTAATACAACATCTTTCCAACTTTTTCCCCCTAATTCAGAGTGGATTTTGCCCATCCAAAAAAAAAATTACAGCAGCAACCTTTAATGCTTATTCTTAAAAGTACGTTTCATCTATTGAGAGAAAATTGCACACAAGAGCAGTATGTGGATGTTTAATTCTGCATAGATGGCATTATTCTGAATTATCTGAGTTATGTAGTAGGTATATTGCCACGTTTTCACTTTGGGAATTTCTTAGGACATTATAATTAGCAGTTTTTAGACTTTAATCATTTTAGTCACTTCAGGAGAGATTTACCTTGAAGATTGCAGAAACCTGAATATAGAAAGGATAGACCCTCTGTGACTAATGCCCTTGCCAACTTGATAGCCATCATTCTCAGTCATCATTCTCAGGTGACACCAAAGGCATTAAAGAATGTTTTAATGAAATATTGAAGTCTTGTAACTGGTTGTATTTGTTTTTGTCTGGTGACTTTGATTAGGAAATATTTTTATAAGACTCAACATTCTATTTTCGTTTTTGATGCCTTCTTTTCCAGATGATAAAGCCTCTTAATTAGGACTCAGCAAACCTTTTCTGTAAAAAGCCGTATAGTAAATACTTTAGGCTTTGGAGCCCATAGGATCTCTGTTGCAGCTACTCAACTCTGCTGCGATAGAGTGAAAGCCACCATAGACAACATGTAAATGAATGAGTGTTATTACAATAAAACTGTAGTTATAAAAACAGGCCCAGAATTGCCTGCCACTCGCCAAGCTCTTCTCTTTAGCCTTCTCACCAAGAAAGAAAGAAAAAGAGAGAAGGAGGGAAAGAGAGAGAGAAAGAAAGGGTGAGGAGGGGGCTTTACTTCTTAGAGCTATTTGCTCGTTATATTCTCTTTCCTCTTTCATGTGCACATTTTACATTTGCAGTCCTAACTTCTTTGTTAAACACTCACTTTGCAACCTTTTGAAACATGGCCTCTGTCCCTCTTTATCTACTGAAATGGCTCTTTCATTGGTTTCTTTGTCACAATGTGCAGGGGCCTTTTCTCCTTCTTCATCTCTTGATAAAAGGA
Organism: Homo sapiens; assembly: GCF_000001405.40. Taxonomy (NCBI): domain Eukaryota; kingdom Metazoa; phylum Chordata; class Mammalia; order Primates; family Hominidae; genus Homo; species Homo sapiens. Next base: position 25,533,291 of record NC_000006.12, read on the forward strand.
GGCAGAATATTATGGTTAAGAACTTGGGCTCTCAAGTCAGATGACCCCAGATGTAAATCCAGGCTCTACTATTCCCTGTGTGAACTTATGTTAGTCACTTACTCACCTCTTTAAGCCTCAGTTTTTTCATCTGTTTATTGGGGATGATGATAGTACCCATCTATGAAGGTGATGTAAAGAGTAACTGAGATAATGCTTGAAAAGTATTTGGCTTCTTACCAGTAAACATTAATGGGTTTTTTTTGGCTGTTATTTTTATTATCACAATTACCATCATTATTATGGACCATCTCATCTTTCTTAAAACTCAGTTCTTAGTTCACTGGACAATGCACCATTCTGAATGTCCTTCTGCCACTCTTGTGTCTTACCTTCTGCTTTCTACACAACTCTTTCTCTTTTCATATCCCCAATGCAGGATTTTTTTTCAAAGCTTTGTATTTAGTGTTCTTTTCCTTTGGCTATTTGCTTCTATTTTAACTCTCTCATTTGTAGATGACTCCTGGATCTAACCATTCAGTCCCTGTTTCTTTCCAGAGAGTCCTATCTTCCCAATTATTTTTTTCAGCATCTCCACCACTTTGGCCTTCTGAGATATCAGTCATTAAGACCAAACTCATCCTTTTGAACTCTTGATTTTGCCATTTCACTCAGGGACATCATCATTCACTGAGGGTTGAACCTTTGGAGTCATCTTGAACTCTTCATTTGCTTTCCCCATCCATTACCCACTAAACCCTGTCCAGTGGCTGCAAAAGATACTTCTTTTGTTTTTATTTATACTACGAGCTCTCTTGCTAAGGTCTTTTTACTAACTACCTTCTACGTCTTTTTTTTTTTTTAACAAGAACTACAAGAACTAGTTTTTTCATTTTATGTGTCTCCTCCTGCTTTCCACAGCCCATGTTCTTTGTATCAGGGAAGCTGAGCCACCGTGAATGTTTATGGGGTAAGGGATTTCTAGAGCTCACAATTGTGGGGAGGAGCTGGGGAAATGACGCTCTGTGCCTTGGACACCATGTTCAACCTCTTAGCCTGCACTGGAGTGCTATACTGTCCTGCCTTAACCCATCATTCCAATCTGATCTCCCACTGTAAGGTGCCTCTGTTCCTAACCAGGAGATAGGAGTCATAGTGTCTGGATGTACCACTGCTTGGGTTTGTTCTTTTGTTTAACGATCCCTTCTGTTTTTCTCAATCCGTACAAATCTTTCAGGACTCAGCTAAAAAAAAAAATAAAAGTTATTTTTAACCTCAGCTAGGTGTGATTCCTCCTTTGGATAAAATTTTTTTAAAAGCTTATATCATTCATTTATCATTGAATAAACAGTTGTAGAAGTCTATGATATGGCAGGCACTATCGTAAGAAACAGGGATTCAGCAGTGAAGAAAATAAAATGTTCATGTCCTTGTGGATATTACATTATGTAGCACTTTATGTCCTGTGTTACTGCTAATTGTGAATATTTCTTCCCACTTCCAGGTTTTTAAGTTGCTGGTGGCAAGGGGTAACCTTTTTCAAGACTGTAGCTCCTCTATGCCAGGTGTCCAGTTTATTTCTCTTGAATGGAATAAAGAAACCAATGTGGAAAATGATAAAATTTTCTATGAATAAGCTGTTTGCTGGAAATAAGAACAGTTGTATCAACTTGTGAGCAACCACAGATGGCATTTATTGCTAATAGTTGTAATTCTTACCCGTGGGTTCAATAGCCCAGTATATCTGAAAAAGCCTAGGTAGTCACCAGCAAGTGTGATATGAGTTAGTGGTGTGATGTAGTTGCCAAAGAAGTCAATTTGACTTGTACCGTATTAATGAAGGTATACTTTCTACAGTAAGGAAGACGATAGCTCTGTTCATCTCAGCTCTGTGCTTTCCAGTCCACTCTTAGTTACAATCCATTTCACTAAGGAGACTTCATGAGGTTCTAGGTGGAAGACAGAATGCAGAAGTGACCTACAGGAAAGGAGGTCAAGGACTGGAGAACTGTGTCAGCGTAGGCATGGGAAAAGGAGCTGGGAATGTTAAACCTGAAGAAAAGAAGGCTAAGGAAGAAAAATAAGTGTATTTAAATATGTGCAGGACTGTCACTAGAAGAGAGCATATGATTGTGCAGAGTGTTCTCAAGGGGAAGATATGGGACCTGCAGGAAGGGTGTAAGAAGACAGATTAAGACTCAAAACCTTATCTAGGAATGACAGGGTACATTTTCTTGGAAGGAATTGAGCTTCATAAACTATGGCCGTCAACAACTTTTCTGTATTGCTTTAGAGAAACTGAACACTATAGGGTTAGGGTGAAGTAGAGAGGTTAAACTAAACAGCCCTAACACAACCATCTTCTATGAGGTCTTCTAACGGGGTAACCCAAGAGATTATAGCCTTTCAGATTGCATCTCCTTTATTTTTCGTATTTATGTACTTGAGAGACGAATTATGAACTGATAAACCCCTTGATTTACTTTTTTCAAAATTTTCAATCTGTACTCTGTGTAATCATTGCATGTCATCTTAAATAGTTTACCTTTTCTGAGCTTTGAGCTCTTTCATGGTAAAGGATCTAAATGTGGTCTGCTGAGCTATGCTCAGAGGAATCTTGGAGACATGAGATTTTATGTCTTCTTTGAATTGAAGAACTTAATTTTGATTGTTCTTTTGCATGACATTTTAAATGTTCTACTTAAAGACCATTTTTGTTGAGTTCATGTAAATCCTCTCCCCTTGGTGAATGCTTAAGGGCATACATTTCAAGTGTCTCTTTGTTCTCTCGTGGTGATTAAAGATACCAACTTTATAGTGCCTCATCCACATGCCTCTCAAATTAGCCTTTTGCAGCCCCAAATGTATATCAGTTTCTTTCTTAGTGTGTGGTTTGTCTCTTGAAATTAGGCATTCATTCTTGGTAAGATATGAATTATTAATGACCCTTTTTGCTTCAGGAGGCACAGATCAATACAATAGTTAGAAGAGTTATGATTTCTATCAATTAAGATTTTAAAAAACTTATAGTTAGCTCTATGCAGGGCATTGTGTAAATGCAGAAAGATATGATTCCTGCCTACAATCAGAGGCAGGAATCATAACTTTCTTGTCTTAGATTTTTAGGGATTTTAGGCAGAGAATTTGATGTGAGAAGCAATATTCATACAACTTCTTTTTCCTAGGGGGATCTCAAGATAATAACGTATGTAACCTCAATATATTTTACAGCAATAGGAGCTGTTTTTATTATACATAAACTTTGGCATTACTGGCCCTTTTTCAACAATAGGTGCTTGAGTGCTGTTATTTTATTGAATTGTCTTCATAACACACTAATAAAGAATGTGCGGTAGATATTATGAACCTGACTTTACAAAGAAAAAGGCAAGAGAGATGGCAGTGCTACAGCAAGTAGACATGGGCTCTGTAATCAGACCTGAAGTCTTCGGAATAGTGTGTAAAGTCTCTATCATTTTGAAATTTATGGGGGAAGAAGGGCAGACTTTAGCTTCCTATCGTTATGATATCAAATAATTCAAAATAGAGAAGTGTGAATTTAACTAAAAAAGAATATTGTTTGTCTCCTCTGCCAAATGAATTATCAGATGGAAGAGGACTCTTGACATGTAAGGCCTTTGAAGAATGAATACTTTTTTTAAGAACATGAAATAAATAGACAACCGGCAGCTCTAACGAAAATATTGGAGACACTTTTAAAACCACACTGTGGTTATCTTTTTCTTCAGACTTCTTGGCTTCCTTCATGCTTTTTTGTATAAGTACAAATATAGAAGAGCATAATCTTAACCTTTCTGAAATATTTTTTGTCTACCATAGAGATCCACCATCTCCCATTGGGTTTTGTGTTTATATCCGTAAAACAATTGAGAATGATTTAGGTGCAATTAAACTGGTAGGGGAGGCATCTTATTGTAATAGAAACTAGATGATATTGACTTCATTACTACCTATGTTAATATAATAAAACCTCAATTTGTTTTTGTTTTTTGGTGGCTCTTAATTTACAAAGAAAAATACTTGATGTAATTGAATCGATTTTTAAAATACCAATTTTTAAGAGATGTTCTGGTTTCTATAGTATTGAGACCAACTGGCTGTTGGGCATCATTTTGTAGTCATTACAACAGTCTCAGTGTTGCACATTTTATTTCTCTGTTTCCTCAGTACCTAACTCTATGTCTAACACATAGAGGGTGCTCACTAAAAGTTAATGAAGGAGTTAGTATCTAGCAAAATGTCACTGAGTGAGGTTCTGAATCATCAAGAAGTGTTCACTTTTGTTCTACGTGCTGCATTTCCTAAGGCAGGAAAGGGAACTGAAATGCCTTCAATTTTTTTCTGGCATTAAAGTTGCCAAAGGTTACTTGCATGAATAAAGTAAATTAATAATTGCTTACAAGCAGCATTCTCAGTGACTCCAGTTAGAAGGGTTTGAGGTTTTCATCCTTGTGCATTCTGTGGTTTGCTGAAGTTTTTTTCATACTCCTTCGTTCTGTGTTTCCTTCTATCTGAATATCGGCTGGGCTGACTTGGATGCTTGCCTTTTTCTGGTTTGGAGCAGATGATTGACAGAATATGTGTGAAAGTACAAGATCATCTCAACTCCTTACGAAATTGTGGGGGAGACGCTATCCAGGAAGATTTAAAATCAGCAGAGCGGCTCATGCGTGATGCTAAGAACTCTAAAACGGTGAGTTTCACTTCAGGCTGTGTGAGAGTCTGGTATAATAAAAACGTTTCATAAAATTTAGTTTTAGAAACCAGTTTCAACTTTCTCTCTCTACCCAATTCCAAGTTTACTAACAAGTGGCAAAGTGAACTGAATTAGCCTTGACCTCCTTTCTGTACCTGTGCTGATTACCAATAATCAAGATATAGAATAAAAAGCAGAGGGCCAGTGTGATTCACAGAGGGTGTGATTGGGCCCTCAACAACTGAGAGGGAGCTGTCGTTTAAATGAGTAACAGCTCATTTAAAATGATTCTGCTTCTAAGCTGATAACATGAAACTCCCCTCTGTTACCCCTAAAAGGAAGCTTCTCTCACGTTAGACTTTGGTTCCCAATGTGTGACTTAGTAGAGTAAGGACTTAACTGTGAGTCAGAAAAACTGGGATCTGGTTTTGGTTCTGCTGCTAGAATCACACAATCACTGAATGTCATTAGTATGAGGAATCTGTAGATCAATCAGATACTCTTGTGATACAATAAGAGATGTATATTTGGTCTTTGTTCCCAGTTCCTGATATGGAGCTTCTAAAACCTTGTAATTTCCTGAGTGATAGGGATGATAGAAGCATCTTTTGTTATAGTATTTGGTCTTTGTCCCTGGTTCCTGAACCAGAGCTTCTAAAACCCCTGTAATTTCCTGAGTGACAGAGATGATAATAGCATCTTTTGTTATTAATAAAAAGCCCCTCTCATCACACCAGAGTTTATCCTAATGAGGTGACTCTTCCTGTGCCCCTAGAAAGTTGCAGGATAGGGGAGGTTGCCAGAGGAACCAGCCACGTTATTAGTGAACTGAATCTGTCAGCCCACCCCCTGGACGCCATGGAAATGGAGAGGGGCTGGAGATTGAATGGACACCAGTGGCCACTGATTTAATCAGTCGTGTCTATGTAATGGGTCCTCCATAAAATCTCTAAACAGTAGGCTTCAGAGAACTTTTGGGTTGATGAACTCATCAACGTGCTGGGAGGGCTGTATACCTGCAGAACTCCCCCGAAGCTCCCCTGACCCCTTACTTCACCCTATACATCTTCTGTTTGGCTCCTCCTGAGCTGTATCTTTTATAATAAACCAGTAATCATAAGTAAAATGCTTGGCTGAGTTCTGTAAGTCATTTTAGCAAATTATGGAACCTGAAAAAGGATTTATGGGAACCCCTTGAATTTAAGGCTTATTGGTTAGAAGTACCAGTAACAACCTGGGACCTGTGAGTGCCATCTGAACTGGGGATAGTCTGGTGGGACTGAGTCCTTCACTTTTGGGATCTCAGGCAAACTCTGGGTAGACAGTGTCAGAATTGAATTGAATAGATTTGTAGGACACCCATTTAGTGTATGCAGAGAACTGGAGACTTGCCTGGTGTGGCAAACACCTACACTTTTGGTGACAGAAGTGTTGTGAGTAAAAGCAGCTCAACTTTCATACCCCAGATGAAGACATTAAGACATGAAGGGGAGCTGGGCATGGTGGTATGTGCCTGTAATCCCAGCTTCTCGGGAGACTGAGACAGGAGAATCGCTTGAACCCGGGAGGCGGAGGTTGCAGTGAGCTGAGATCGCGCCATTGCACTCCAGCCTGGGCAACAAGAGCGAAACTCCATCTCAAAAAAAAAAAAAAAAAAAAAAAAAAAGACATGAGGAGGTAATGTATTATTCCTGTGGTTTCAAAGCTGCTTAATGACAGAAGTGGTCAATGTGAAAGTCTCCTAATACCCAGTCTAGTGTTTCTTAGGGTTGCTGTGACTCATTGAATAAAAAGGAATGCCCATAGTCTGGACCTCAGTTTATTAATCTGTGCAAAGAGCCTTTGACTGAGAAGAGATTATCCCTAACAGTATTCCTTCACCCTTCTCATTCACTCTGCAATGACTTTGATTGAAATATTTACCCAATTCTAAAGAGGTTATTTTTTATTTCTCTTACAGTTGTTACCAAATTTATACCATGTTGGTGGTGCATCTTGGGCGGGAGCCAGTGGCTTACTATCCAGTCCAATTCAGGAGACCCTGGAATCAATGGCTGGAGAAGTTACAAGAGTAGTAGATGAACAACTAAAGGTTTGTGGGGTTTGTTATTTGGGAAATGAAATTGTTAATATTTAACTACGCATGATAGCATTTCATTCCATAGCTATCTATGTTTTATAGACTTGTATGTGTGCATGCTGCAAAGATGTAGTAAAAATTGAATACTGTGTCTTTTCCAGCTTCATTATAAGTTTTGGAAAGACTTCTTACATAATCATTTTTGGGTAAACCTCTAAATGTACCTAATAAATTATGGGTTGCCACTGATAAAGGAATGATTGATTTCTATTTAGGGGGTAGAAAGAGAAGTGTGCTTCTGGAAAAAATACCTTCTGTTATTAACATCTGATTTAGAGAATGGGGAAAATGATAGTAACTACATTTACAGTACCTAGATGGTGCTTATGTGGGGAGTCTGCCACTAGGTAAATAGATAATCTTCAAAGGGGCTGGTTGAAAGACTAGGAAAGGTATTTAAATGTAATTACAAGGCACCCAAGGTTGCAGAGACCTGCCTATAGATTCACTGAAAAAAAGGTAAGAAAAGAAACAAAAAGTTATTGAAACTTTTGGGGAATAGAGTAATCTAAGACCAACTTTTGCTTAAAGTAACTTCAAGAAACAGCTACACTAGATAAATTTCACATTCAGAAAGTTTTCATCACTTCCAATCTGCCTATCAAGGTAGCCTTTAAAAACTGTGTCTGAATTTCTATAATTATTTGGCCTGTTTTCTTCTGAGAACACAATTACTACAGCATGTAGGGATTTGAAATGCAACTCATTAATAACTTTGCAGCATGTTAATTACTCTCTTTGAAAATTTAAGTTAATGAAGGAGAAAATGTGGGGTTTTCTTTTTAAGGAGTTTAATCCCCTGTCTTCCTGTGCATATAATACAGAGGGACTCTGTGTATCATTTTTATTTTATTTAATCACGGTTGTTTTGAATCCATCCTGAGCAGAGACAAATGGGCAGAAAAAGGACTGTGGATGGTAGAGTTCTGCTAGACCATTTGTTACCTAATAGCACTTGTTTTATCCTGCATGAAGGATAACATATTTAAAACAAAATTGGCTTTGTTATTTATTTTTAACTGTAGAAAATGACTTACTCTTTGTGAAATGTTTAAACAATACTAACATATAGGGAAAAAAAGAAAGTGAAAATCCCGTGAGATCCCAGAGGTAGTGTCTCTGTTAATATCTTAGTGAATTTCTAGACATTCTGTGCCTATATACACAGTTTTTTATATAAGTGATAATACTATACATACTGATTGGTAACCTTGTTCTATTTGGTACAATGTCATGAATACAATTATAGGTTGATGAATAATCATTTTTAATGGCTATGTGGTATTCCATTGCATAGATGTACCAGCATAATTTATTTTATAATTTCTGATTAGTTAGGGTAAATGTCTATAATTTGACATTGTTATGTCAAATAGTATTAGTCAAATAGTATTATACTTTCATATGGATTCACACACTGCTATTCACTAGTGCGAGCAATTGCTGATTTTGCCACATCTTCAACAATGCTAAGTTGTTCAACCTTTTAATATTTTTCAATGTAATGGGAAAAAAATTTTCATTGTGTCTTTTTGTTTGTTTTTTGAGATGGTGTGTAGCTCTGTCACCCAGGCTGGAGTGCAGTGGCGTGATCTCAGCTCACTGTAACCTCTGCCTCCTGGGTTCAAGCTATTCTCCTGTGTCAGCCTCCCAAGTAGCTGGGACTACAGGTGCCGGCCACCACACCCGGCTAATTTTTGTATTTTTAATCGAGATGGGGTTTCACCATATTGGCCAGGCTGGTCTCAAACTCCTGACGTCAGCTCAAGTGATTTGCTTGCCTTTGCCTCCCAAAGTGCTGGGATTACAGGCATGAGCCACTGCTCCCGGCCTCATTGTGTCTTTTGGATTTCTTCAATAACTCAGTGATGCATCAAATAATTTCATTCCCCCTTTGTATTTCTTCTTCTGTAAATTGTGTATTCATATCCGTTGCCTAATTTGTTTCATTAAAGTATTTGTAAGAACTTATTCCATACTGAAAATTGGCTAGAATTTAAATGGGCATGAAACATTTGTAATAGGACCTTTCCTATCAAACAGCTTCAAACTGTTAATTGTCATTTCAGCTGGTCTAAACGACAAACCACCACTTATACCTTTGGTGTTCGTTTCCTTCTCATTGCATGGAATTGTTGAAATGGATTCTTGCCAGTCTCTTTCTTAGGAAAGGGCAGAAGGAAAATATCCGAAGTATAACAATTTGAATTTTTTAAAGCCTAAAATAATATAAATATATTTAGGATTCAAAATATTTTCTGTAAATAGGCATTTCCTACATTCTTTTGACCTTGATTTCTCTGACCCCTCTTTAAACATCACCAGTGTTCTCCATTCATCATCGCCTCCTTATTTGCAAATATCATAGCATGCTTTTCTCTCATTCTCACTATTTCTAAGGTCCCAGGCCTCCAAATGGCCTTTTCCCCACCTTTTCCTGTTCCCTACTCACTTGTTTTTATTATTCTCAATCCTTCTGAGTTTCAAGTTTCTTTTCCTTTGGGGATGTCTGGAATGAATCAGAGAAAATCCTCAACTAAAACGTCTTAATTAAATGTATTTTAAAATGTTCTTTTAACTGGGTGCACATTTCATTTTTGATACTTATAATGGACTTCCTTATATTTCCTTCCAGTTTACATGACAAGTGGACAACCTTTTACTATTAAAAAAAATACCATTTGTCTATATAAATTTCCAATGCATTGATTTTCTTAAAATTATGTAGGGAAAATGTATTTTTAATATAACCAGTGTTCAGTTTTAAATTAAACTATTGTGGCTGTTACTGAATTCACTACTACTATCAAATTTTCCTAGTTAAAAATTTTCCTTTTTCTGTTTCCCACATTCTCTAAAATTAACATGTTAAACTTGCAAGAGCTAAAGTCGATGGATTATCTTGTTTAAATGTTATTTTGTAAAAATAGTTTTTATTATAGTGAGTGGTAGAATAAGAAAAGGAACCTAGCAGGCCTAGATTTGTGTCCTGGGCTTCCTGCTAAGCAAGTTGCTTAACTTTTTTGGACCACATTTCCTTCTGCAAGATTATCTTGGCCTCATGATAATCAGGGGGATTTATTCCAGCTCTAATATTTGATCATACTGTACCATGGCCAGTCATAGACATTTTGAACATTGAATAAGTTCAAATAGCTCTTTAAGCCATCTTTCCAAAGTATTATTTCAGAAAGCAAAATAAATGGCCAGATAAGCCAGCCTTCTTAGTATACTTCCTGGAGGAGAGAAAAGCAGTAAGTCTGGAGAAATTCCTTCTTTGAAGGGGATGATGTTTTCTCTAAACTGGCCTGTTTTAGATATTTCAGAATGACAACACTCCCCTGTTTTCCCTCTTTTGATCCTAACATTCATTCCTGGAGTAGTAGTAGATGAACAAGGGGGATTTGAATGTTTTAACATAAGGAAACATTCATTTCTCCCTTCTGGACTTAAAGTCTAGGGTATTTGTGTTGGCCTAGGAAATTCTTAATTTCATTCAGGGCTTAAATGGTAAAATACTTGACTGGTAAATTTCAGCTTTACTTATGATATGAGGCCTGAGGGGTTTAGGTGGCATTTTGTCAACTATTAACTCAGTTTGGCCAGAAGAGTTTTCTGAGTTTTCTTCTTTCTAGACTTTATATTTTCCAAAGCAAAAGAAAGGAAGATTTCAGGGCATTTTAGTGTGGAAGTTGTATTTGCTTGTAATGAATTAAAAGTCACTGGCTCACTGCAAGATTGTAAGAGCATAGCTGCCATGTTAAGGATATGAATCCAATTTATTTTACAGATTTTAAACAGGTTTCCTAAGTACCATTAGTTATTTTTACAGGTAAGAAATATAGACCCTCATAACTGTCATTAGAGATACATCAAAACAAAATCGGATTATCATATTTCAAAAACAGGGCCTGTTCATTGCAAGTTGTCTGAAGGTAGTAAAACAGAGACTAACAAAATGAAGACTATATAAGAAAAGTTAGGAAATATGGATAGAATGAGAAATTTAGCATAAACCTAATTTAGATTTTCCCCCAAAAAGAAAACAGAGACTAGGGGAAGGCAACATTTGAAGAGATGACAGCTGAGAATTTCAGAGATGAATTAAAGGCCAGAATCTTCTGATGCAGGAAGCCCAGTGAAATCTAAAGCAGGATAGATAAAAGCAAATTTACATCTAGAATCGTTGTAATAAAAAGTGAAGAGTGCTGAAGATAAAGATCTTGAAAGGAGGCCAGAGTTGGTGGTTGGGGGCAGGCAGGGAGAGGCTCTTTTTTTAAAAAAAGACCGATATTAACACTGACAGCTCACTTCTCAATAGTTAATGGAATCCAAAAGACAATGAAATAATACTTTAAACTTTAGAGAGTACATAACATATCAATCTAGAATTATATACCCAATGGACCTAGTTTTTACAAATGAAGATGAAAGCATTTTCATCACTGCAAAAACTGAGATCATTTACTGTTACTAGACTACACACACACACACACACACACACACACACACACACACACCCCAAACACTAAAGGATATACTTTAGGACAAAGAAAAATTATCCAAAAAATGTAGTCTGAGCTACAAGAAAGACTAATGAGCTGGGAAGGTCCAAATATGAGTAAATAGTAGCATTACATGAAACAATGACATTAATGTCTAACACGCTATAAAATTTTAAAAAGCAAGTACTGAAAGTGAGTGTATAAGTTAGTAGAAAGTTAGTTAAAGCAATCCAAGGTCCTAGTTTTATTCTAGAGAAGTGTTAAGAATTCAGCATTAGACCTGTATTGTCCAATGTGTTACACATTAACCACATGTAGCCATTAAAATTACAATTAAACAAAATTCAAAATTCAGTTTCTCCCTTGCATTATGTACATTTCAAGGGATCAGTAGCCACATGTGGCTAATGCCTCCCTTATTGGACAGCTCAGATATTCCTATCATCTCAAAGTTCTATTGGACTGTGTTGCTTTACACATGAAGTAAAATATGCATGTTAAAATTCCTAGTATAATCACTGAAACAGAGGCACTAAACTAGAAGTTACAGTGCATTTCTAGAAGAGCATTAGGAAATGTTGGGTTATTTTTGGTGTCATAGTGACTGACATGGGCAGGTAACAGTGATCCTAAATATCGTACAAGGTTGAGTTCCAAGCCAGAATTGAATCCCACCCAAATGGCAATAGAAGAGGTATCACCAGAGAGAAACAGGTCCGTGAATAATGACAAATGGTCCAGTTTTCCAGAAATATGTAAGAATTTGAAGTGTGTGAGCATCTAATCATATGGCTTCATATATAAATGAATGAATAAGTGGACAAAATTACAAAGAAAAATGGACAAATTTGCCATTGTGGTAGAGATCTTTTAAAATAACTGTCCATAATTGATAGATCAAGTAAAACAATGATGAAGAAGATTTGAACAACAGAAATCTTAATTGTAATCTAATGCAGCTATTCAATCAGTGCACAACAAAAGGAGAATGTGAAATTTTTTTCAGGTGTCCATGGAATATTTATGAAAAATGCCCATGAAGCCATAAAGGTCATCTGCACAATTTCAGAGACCGTATTTTCTGGTCTCAATTCAAATAAGTTAGAAATTAATAACAAAAGATAACTAAAAAAGAGCCCACATGTTTATAAATTTAAAAATTCTAACTCATGGGTCAAAGAGGAGGACATAATTTAAATCAGAGGATATAAGGAATTAAACAGTAATGTAAATAGTAACATAAGAACCTGTAGGAGACAACTAAACCAGTACTTAGGGTGAAATACATGATTTTAAATACCAATATTGGAAGTGAGGAGAGCCTGAAAACTAATGAGCTGTTAATGGATAACTTAAGTTAGCAGTAAGGGTCATGATGCCAACAACATGCTTTCAGGTGTTTCAGAGAGGGGTGAAACAAATATTGCAAATTATTAGCAACTGGTGAATTTTAAGAGTTAGGTTTATAGATGCTTATTGTCCTATTTTTTCCAATTTTTTGTAGGTCTACTTTTTTTTTAAATAGGGGAAAATATTTCCTTTAAAGTCAGGAATAAGGCAAAGATGTTTATAATCATCACTTCTATTCAGCTTTATACTGAAGGTCTTAGCCAGTGCAATACGATAAACAAAAGAAATGAGAAATGTAAGAATTAAAAACGAAGAAAAATTATCAGAATTTGCAGATTTTATGATGTCCTACCTAGAAAACCCAAAAGAATCTGCAGGTAAGTTATTGAATTTGTGTGATAAGGTTTCTAGAGGTAGAGCAATATGTAAAAAGTTAGGCCAGGCACGGTGGCTCACACCTGTAATCCCAGCACCTTGGGAGGCTGAGGCTGGAAGATCTTTTGAGCCAAGGAGTTTGAGACCAGCCTGGACAACACAGTGAGACCTCATCTCTACAAAAATTTTAAAAATTAGCTGGACATGGTGGCCCATACCTGTAGTCCCAGCAAGGTGGGAGTGAGCTATGATTGCACCACTGCACTCCAGCCTGGGTGGCGGAATGAGATCCCGTCTCAACAACAACAACAACAAAAAAAAAAAAAAAAAAAAAATTGTGTTTCTATATGTCAGCAACAACTAGTTAGAAAATATCATTAAAAATACTCACCATTTAAAATAGTAACAGAGAGCCTGGTATGGTGGCTCACGTTTGTAATCCCAGCACTTTGGGAAGCTGAGGCAGGTGGATCACCTGAGGTCAGGAGTTCGAGACCAGCCTGGCTAACATGGCAAAACCCCATCTCTACTAAAAAAAATACAAAAAAAGTAGCCAGATGTGGTGGCAGGTGCTTGTAATCCCAGCTACTCAGGAGGCTGAGGCAGAAGAACAGCTTGAACCCGGGAGATGGAAGTTGCAGAGAGCCGAGATCACGGCACCACTGCACTCCAGCCTGGGTAACAGAGCGAGACTCCATCTCAGAATATTAATAATAATAATAAAATAGTAACCGAAAAATCTAAAGTACCTAGGAAATAAATCACACAAAAATCTCTAACACCTCAATGGAGAAAGTTTATTGAGAGACTTTAAGGAAATTCTAAAATAAAAATATGTGTCATATTTGTGGGTAGGAAAAGTTATTGTTACAGATGTCAGTTTTTCCTCAAATTTATCTGTTATTTGATAATTCTAATAGACATTCCAATAGGTTTTTAATAGAACTTGACAAAGCTGATTCTAAACATATGGAAAAGCAGTGCTCAAAAATAGCCCAGACACATATAAAGAAGAACAAGAAGGTTGGTAGTCTTGTTCTACTGCATGTTAAGACTTAGGATAATTAGGAAAATATGCAGAGGTAGATGAACCAAAAAAACAGATCCAATAAATAGACCCATACATATATTCAAATGTTAGAAATGACAGAAGTAGCACTGAAGTTTAGTACAGAAAAAATGGACTATACCCGTACTTAGTGAGTCCTTGGGCCTGTAATACTTTTTAATATGTTCCTTAGTGATTGTTTTCAGAAGTGTGCCAGGCCCTGGGGATGTAAGATGGGACTTCACAATTGCCACCAGGTTATAACTTTGTATCTGGAGTCTGATGGCTCTAGCTCTCTGTGAAGTTCCAGAATTCTATTAAAATTGCATATAAATTTTTCTGGATGAGTGTTCATCAGATTCTCAAAGGCGTGTCTTGGCCCAAAAATGGGTAAAAGTCACTAACTTCTTGAGCATTTTATTTTATTTTTTATCACTGAGGTTCCGACTGTATGGCAGCAGGAAAGAGTGCATGTCATCAAATACAGCTTGGAGTGTGAAGAGAGTAGGGGAAGAAAGAAAGTCTTCTCAAAGAAAAATATTGAGCTGAGTGTAGAGGAGTACAGATGTTTTATTCTGGCCCAGAGGGGAAAATGGAGGAATCTAGGCCAAGAAAACATTGTGTGCAAAGCATGGAAACAGAGCCTGGATCATACGGGGAACTGCAACCATGATTGGATTATGAATAGTTATAAAGGAAATAGAGAGATATGGCAAGAAATGAAGCTGGCAAGCTCAGCATCTACCAGATACTTCAGGGATTTTTATTCTGTGCTAAAGAATAATAATTTTGACATATTTCCACTTTTGAGGAAATATCTAGGAATAAATTTAGCATGTTTTGGAGATAGTTGTGGTGGAAGGGGTTGAGGTAGGTAGAGTCTAGTGAGACTTGCAAATTTCTCACCTAGTTTAATACCATTCTTCACAGTAAAGAACTTAGCAAGAAAGGCTGATTTTGCTGTTGTAGTTGTTATTGTTTGAGTGGGGAGGGGAGGACAATACTTTGCAGTTGACCTTTCCATGGCATATATTCAGGCGGAAAAGTTTCCTAGGCTTTATTGTGTATATGTTTTATCATATGTATTGTATAGGTGATTGTAGATAAATATTTGGTTGAGACTCACTGGAATAACAGTTTGAAGCCACGGGAAGGATGGATGTTGAACAGGCTCTGGTGTGCAGAGGTCCATGGGGGCATGAAGGAGAGGCTGCAGTCCTCTCTTATCTTTCTCCCAGCCCTGCCACTGCAAAGTTTACCCTGGCAGCCCTAGATACTGTTTATTTAAGAGAACAAGGGAACAAACTTATAAGTAATGAAGCAGAGACGGAAGGCACATTCTTTTGGATACTGATCAGGGCCATTAAATGAGGATGGGTATAATAGGAAACAAGAGTAGGAAACAGAAGACCTGAGTGCCCATCTCACCAACTCCAGTGACCAGCTGAGCAACCTTGAGCAAGTCACTTATGTCCTGTGAGCCCCAGTTCCCTCATCTAAAGTCTATCTTCACCTACAGAGTTGTCATGTGGATGAAAGGAAACCCTGGATGAAGTTACTTTTAAAGTGCTGTATTGTACTGTTGGGATAGAGGTGGTGGTAAGGAACTAACTGCAGAATATTTGCTGGATTAGTTAAATGCCTAAGACAGGCTAAAATTCGTTTTTATAGGGTCAAAGTTATGTGATCATGGAGCAGAAAGAGACTTTATATAATTTTATAGATGAAAATGCAGAGATCCGCAAAGATTATTCACTTAATACTACTCACTTAACATTCCACAGAAATTTCATGTCAGAGTTTACATTGGAAGCCAGGCTTCCTCCCTTTAGGTGTGAAGTTCATTCAAACTGAATTAGCACTGTCATGCAGGGAGACCTTTCAGAAAGTAACTGATATGTTGAAGAACATGACAGAATTAAAACAGAGTATTGGATTCCTGAGGTTGTTTGTATCAGGAGTGCCGGACTATTACTCCATCTAGAACAAAATGTGTTTATCTCAGTGTCAAAGAGGAGACTAATTTGCCTTAGACTGACTTACTTGCATCTCTTGCAGATGATTGGTATAGGAGCTTTCTTGAAAAATATACTAATTCAGTGATTATTCAACCAGAGTTATAATGGGGACAGAGCACTGTCAAAATAGGAAAGGCTTTTGGAAACTTCTCAAACGGCTGCCTCCCTCCTCTCTTCCCCTGGTTTTCCACATTATCCTTGTAAACAGCCTGCTACTCTGCTGCTCACACTGCAGTGCAATGAGAAATTTTATTGGTGGATTGTGCTTTGCATTTTAATATGTGAGCAGATAGACCACTGTACCAGTCTTTTGATAACAGTGCTTCATTGGTCCTAATTCACAGTGGACCAGTAATAGGATCCAAGCCTTGCTTTCAAAAACTGCGTTTCTTATCATTAAGAACAGTCTTCGAAATCAGATTAATAATAATGTCTGTGATGTATTGAGCTTTTAATATCTGTGATATACTGAGCTCTTACTGTGTGCTAGACACTCTGTGGAACACATTAGACATGTAATATTATTTATTCTCAATAATCCTATGAGGTGAGAACGTTTTTATTGTCATTTTATGGTCAAGGAAAGTCAAATGGAGAGATCAGTAACTTTGTCCAGTGTCACTCAGCTAGATTTCAAATTTAGGTCTGACACTGATGCTGATGCCCTTTCCACACTTTCCAACCGTATCACCCATCTCAGACAAATCATTTAACTTCCCTTAGCTCACATTCTTCAACCGTAAAATGGTGATCACATGAATAGCTGCCCTACCCATCTTCACAGATGTTGGAAGGATAAAATGTGCAGAAACATTTTTCAAACTCTAAAGTGCTATATGAATGTCTTTTGAGTGTTACTATTAATGCTGTCTATAAGGTGCTATTAATGTTTTTGTCTGTTATTTTCCTATAGTTTATTGCTGTCATAATAATTAATATCTTACCTAAAGCTTTTCTTTTAAAAGAGTAAAATTGGCAGTAGTTTCTGTGATTTTTCTGCTACTGCTGTTTTGATAGAGCAATTGAATGGTTCACCCTAATTTGGAGTTTCTGTGATTTGCAGAATCTCAGAAGCATTCAAATATGATATATTTTCTAGGGTTACCTGTGACTTTGTGTTCTAGTACCAGGGAAAACAAGTTCTTGTGGTAAGGGGGTGTATAAAGGCTTGATGTTTGCATTTTTTAATCTTCTCGTTAATGGCTTTGTGTTAAGTACAGCTGACACGCCATAACACTTCAGATGCCAGCATGAAGCTTGCTTGGTTCTGCCAAGTGTCTGATTTAAAGTGATTACCAGAGATCAATGATCATCCAACAGTCACAAGTCACCCTGGGGCAGCTCAGAATTCTTGGTTGCGCTCTGGGACTCCGTCGTGCTCCTGTTCTCTGAGGGCTCCGTGTCATATATAACCACCTTTCAGTTTTATGGCGGGCACCTCGGGTGCAGTGTCATCATCTCTTCCCTTCACTTGTGCTGCATTGCAGGCGTTGCTTGAGTCCATGGTTGATGCTGCTGAGAATCTTTGTCCCAATGTGATGAAAAAAGCCCACATTCGACAAGACTTGATTCATGCCAGCACCGAAAAGATTTCTATTCCACGTACCTTTGTTAAAAATGTCCTGTTGGAGCAGTCTGGAATTGATATCCTTAACAAAATTAGGTAGGTTTATAATGTTAATAAACCTAGGAGCTGCAGTTTCTGTAAATGCAGTCGAGGCAGCTGTAAAGAGGGTTATTGTTGGCTGTATCCATATATAATGTGTTTAGGCATGTTTAATAGGCAGAAACTGTATATAAATATAACTGTGCATAAATGCATAAGTTTTATACATTTCCAAAATGAGATGATCACGTAAATGCCTGCATTACTTAAGGACATAGAATTATCTGCTCTGTTTAAAGGTTTTATATTTAAGAGAGGGTACATGTTTGTAATCCCTGTTTTCTGTTTCTGAAGTTTATCTTTCACCTTTACAGATCACTAGCTTGAAGATTGAGATCAGTTTGCTTTTTACCGTCATACACTGTGAACAAATGCACAGCCTCTAAATAGGGAGAGGCCCACTTTGACCTTCCCATATTTTCCTTCTGGGTTATTTTGGTGGGTCTGTAATACTATATGTGTATTAATGGTGTCTTTGCAGTGTTTACCTAGATTTCTGTTTGAAAAAGTTTGAAAAATATGACAAGATGTAAATATTTAGAAGCCGTGATTACTGGCAAACTTTTCTGAATTTTTATGTAGAGACTCTTGGTCCATCAACAGTATTACATTATAGCTCAGCTAATTCTCATAATGTTTCTTAGTTGGGGAATCAGATAACTAAAAACTAAGTTCAGAAGCATTTTTTAATTTTCCATTTTAACCATTTTTGAATATTGATAAAGATATTTAGATGTAGCAGAAATAATAGCTCCTGTCTATAGAGCTGGGGGCGGTGCTAACACACAATGATACAGCTAAATGACAATCCATGAGAAAAACGAGCGAAAAACAAAATGAGCCCCAAATTATATTATCGTTAACTAGATATCAAAGGCTGATGACTCTAAATCCAGATTATAGAACTTTGAGGATTTAGAAATTCTGCAGTAACTGAATAATCTCAGGTCTTTTTTGTTTGTTTGTTTGTTTGTTTTGTTTTACTGAAGCCCCTAAATCCTACTCAGCTGAATTGTAAGGCAATTGGAAGGACTTGAGAAATTTTAGAGAAGACTTCTAGAGGGTTTATAGGACCCCATAGATTAGTGACTTTATAAACTCTAGCCCTTCACTAGGTGTGCTTACTTATTCTTATAACCTGTGGTTTGAGAATTTTTTTGTTGGAGATGCCTAAACATTAAGGAGAAAATAATGTATTGGCCACTATTCTTTCATAATAGTGGTTTCAGCCACAAATAGATCATATTTTGATAGCTTTGAGTATCAAATTCTGTCAAATATGATCATTTCCTTTGAAAATGGGCAAATTCTGAAAGTTGAACAGCAGTATAGAATACACATCAATGAATCAATTTTATGTCCATTAACTCCATACTTGGCTTTTTATAATGCATTATACTGAACATTGATAGAATGAAAATATTTACACCTACACATGCATGTATGTATACATTCATATAATATGCACATTTGCATGGGCAGGTTAAGTTGACTGTTTTCCTCTAAAACCTTTGCAAACTGGAAGCTTAACCAGGAAGGAAGCATAGTATCCGGTAGCAAAATGATAGAATGATCCTGAGATATTAAAAAATAATTGCGTTTTTAAGACTCTATCTTTTTTTGGTGCTACAATTTGAAATAGATGAACCACTCCTCCCCACTTTCAGAGAGAAGGAGAGAAAGAGAAACTATTGAACCTATAGTTTTATGAGGAAGTATAATTTCTAAACATGCCTAAAAAGAATCAGAGGAAGTACTTAAAATTAGATTTTCAGGTCCCTCTGAAAGTTTGGGGTGGGACCCAATAACCTGTATTTTTAATATGAGACCTGGGTGAATCTTATCAGTAGACACCTCTGGGGAATAGTAAAGTATCAGATAAAGCAAATAGATAGTGATACCTTGTTTCATGGGCAGAAATTAAATGTATTTTTTTATCTTTAGCTTAAGATAATTTTTACTCTAAGTAAAAAACTAGTACTTCTATTCAGAAATCTCCCCAGGCAGAGAAATCTCCATGCAAATTATTGCCTTTAGGTTAGCAAGATTTTTTCCATGTTACATGAATATATTTTCAACGTTAGCTTATGCGACAATATTGGAATATAGGTATGTATTTCTCTCACGTATTTACCTTTAAATGTATTGTGCTTAATGTACATTTGTACATATATCCATTAAGATATTCAGACCGAGAACACACATGAAAGTGGAATTCTTGGGAATACCAAATTTGCAAAAATGCAAACAAAAATACCAGCCATCTGACAGAATCTTAGTGGCTGGGTCTGTTTATTAGTAAAAACAACAAGCCACTTTTTGCTGTGTGGACAACTCTCTGAGGTCAGGCAACAGGCACCAGAACTGCAAATTTTAGTAACCTCTCTTCATAAAAGATAGGGGCAGGTGATTTTGTAAATAGTCAAAGTAAGATGGTCAGTCAAAGCAGACGCAGTTATGGTATCATTTGATTGGTGAAAAGTTTTTTAAAAGGGTGAGTGATACGCATACTAAAGCAGTAACTAAGACTTAACAACCAGGCTAGACTTTCTTAATTTACTCCAGCCCAGGTTTGTTTTCCTTTATGTCAATGGATGAATTGTTCCTCACCACATGGTACATATGGTTCCCATTAACTTTGTCTTTATCCAGACGTTTTTCATTTCTACCATTAAATCTTGAGTTTTGAAATTGCAGAGGCAGGTTGAAATTGGTAAAGAAAGTCTATTACTTGTGTGTTTATGGCAGTGTTTAAGGTTTATTTTTGGAAATCCTTAGTCCTGTTCACACATTCTTATATTCCACTTTCAAAGACAGAAATGGAATCACAGTTGACCTTATCACTATAGCAGCAAGGGTGGATCATTTTCCCCTCTTGCACAAATTAAAATGGTACTCTGTCCTTTTGATTTTCACACAGTGAAGTAAAATTGACAGTGGCCTCGTTCCTGTCTGATAGAATTGTGGATGAAATCCTGGATGCACTCTCACATTGCCATCATAAACTGGTGAGTGCTGTGCACATCTTGAGCAGGACCTCCTGTTTCAGCTCTGCTGTGATGCAGGATGACTTCCGGTGTGGGGATGTGATTTCTTTTCTGTATTTCACACTATTACAGCTTTATGGTTTGTGATCTTGGTTTTCCTCCTTTCTCTTCTATGTTGCTTCTAGCCATTCTGGAGCATGTTAGAACTTCTCCAGAGGGAATGATAAGGGAAAGCAGAACTGATTGTATCCAGAAATCTTATTGTTCATTTATTATAAAGGTCAAAAGCTTGGGGAAGAAATGTTGAGACTGAAGTCTGAAATTAACATTTTAATTTATCTTTGCTCATTTTGTTGTTGATATGATTATTTGATAATGGACTATTCTAAAAACATGGGAGAAAATAAAAATATTTGAATAAAGAAAGTGCAAGAACAAAATGGGCATAATTTAGTAATGGATAGCTGCTGACTGCCCCACAGGTGCCTTGGATATAACCAAGGTAAAAAAAAAATTTCTTCATCTAGAGACTGGTTCTGCCTCAAGGTAGGGGATTTTACTTCCAATATCAGTGCATATGAAAAAATGTATCAGAAACTCAATGTTGCGCAAACTTCAGGAAGTTCTCTGAGGTACAGATGAAGCTTTTATAACTGGTTATATCTAATGCCTCAATATGATGCAGTGGAAGTCTCCCAGGAAAGTTATAGCAATGTTTCCTTCAAGAAAAATAATTCTTCAATGTTTTCTTAACTGTGCGGGATGGAGATACCAGTTTTATGGCATTGAATTGTTGGGTGACCCTAGAGAATCCTAAAATGAGAGGAGCAGCAATAGCTTCTTCTGCGTGAAACAGACAAAATGCATGTTTTTGAAAAATTCATTTGAGAAAAACGTGTAAGACTGTCTTCCAAAATCTGAAAGACAAGACAGATATCTCTAATAGCACAATTCAAATGCTGCCTGTGGACCAGAGGTGGCCCACTAATGGATGGTTCCCCAGAGGAAGCATCCAGAAACTTCTTGAGCTTCCAATATCAGTGCATATGAAAAAATATAGTTTTTCATTGTAGCACCAAAAAAGATAGAGTATCCAAACACATGTTATCTTTCTGATTTTTCTTTTTTATTGTATTTTAACAGTGTATTGGTTTGTGCTAAATTGGAAATATAAAAAACCAGTTTATCACCACATTGAATGTAAGAAACACTGTTTTCTATTTCCTGGCACAGTAAAGAGCTACATGATTGTTTAGAGCTCCTGATTCAGCCTTTTTTTAAATAAGTACAAACAAAAGCAATAGAGTATTCATTCATTCATTCATTCATTCATTCATTCATTCAGGATGGAGTCTTGCTCTGTCACTCAGGCCAGAGTGCAGTGGTGCGATCTTGGCTCACTGCAACCTCTGCCCCTAGGTTCAAGTGATTCTCCTGACTCAGCCTCCCGAGTAGCTGGGATTACAGGTGTGTGCCACCACACCTGGCTAATTTTTGTATTTTAAGTAGAGATGAGGTTTCACCATGTGAAATCCTTTCTCAGTCTCCTGACCTCAAGTGATCCACCTGCCTCAGCCTCCCAAAGTGCTGGGATTACAGGTATAAGCCACTGCACCTGGCCTAGAGCATCCTTTTAAAATAAACTTATTTTAGAAACAGTTTATTGATAACCCATGGCTCCAGGAATGGCCTTAAAATGCTTACTTATGACACAAATAGTACATATTATACTAACAGAAATCTTCATGTGAGAACTACACTGAAAGTTTGAATTTTTCACTTTTTTGCATTTGTTTTTTCTTAAAGAATTTACTCAGAAAGTATTGATTTTTTTAATTGCGAAAAAATTTGCTGAATGCACTTTTGGTTTGAACTTCATTTTAACATTAATACTGCTGATTTAGATTATAAGGAAAGAGATTAAGTCTCATATGAAGGAAATACTGTCTTCAAAATGAAACCTTGGTTTCAATGACTTTCAGATACCATTTTCACCAACTTAAGTTTGTAAACGTTCTCAAAGTTTCCGTGGACTTGCCAACTGGTTTTCATTGTTTCAGAAGAATTAAATCAAAGTTCCTGGTGTCAGATCAGCTCAGCACTGAAGTTTGTTAATTTCAGCCAAGCTTATTCTACCTCTTATTTAATTTTTTATGTTTACCTAAAGTATAACACTGGAAATTAAGAAATCATATCAAATATGGTATTCATTATATGAAAACAATGAAAGCGAGCAGGAATTAAAATTTTGCTAGTAATTTCCTTCTTTTCAGTCCTTTAAAAATAATGAAAGTTGGAATTGTTTTATTACTCTCAGATACTTTTTAGTATAGAAGGAAATTTCTTCAGAGGAATTATCAAATAAAATTAATAAAAAGAACACTACTATGTTGTCTCTTCATTTACTAAGAGATTTATAACTTATTGCTTAAAACACTCTGTCCTCCAAAGAAAGATAATAAAAGGAGGTAAGTTACTGTACTGTGAATGTATTAAGAATTGTCCTTGTCACTCGTCAGCTTTGTGCTCCACTGCGCCATCTTGTGGAAGACGTCTTCAGGAATCCTGCTAACCAGCACTTTCTCTGTACTTTAATTTCTCCTCGTACACGTCTTGACCTTCTAGGCTGACCATTTCAGCAGACGTGGCAAGACCCTTCCTCAACAAGAATCCTTAGAGATCGAGCTGGCTGAGGAGAAGCCAGTTAAACGTTCCATCATCACAGTGGAGGAGCTAACAGAGATAGAGCGTTTGGAAGATCTGGATACCTGTATGGTAAGACACATCCTCTGGTGGTACCGTTACCCTTTTCACTGGACTGTGCCATTGTTTTTTTTTTTTTTTTTAAATCTCACCTTTTGAAATCAGACCAAACAAAACACTGTCCCCACCCTCAGACAATTCTTTCAGAAAAGTCCTAAAGAGGCCGCTAATGAAGTGAATAAAGCTGAAGCTTCAGCCCCCTTCTAAGGCCCTGTAGCCATAGTGGGAAAATTCCTAATTAGGAGAAATAGATTAGGTAACTCTTAAAGGTTTTTGTGACAGGAAAATATCTTCAAATAAAATTATAAATAAGCCATTAAAAATGTGGAGAAAGACTTTTTCAAATAAAAAATATATATAGGGTGACTCTTTCTTGGTCTTACCTGTTTTCTTTTGTTACACAACTTTTTGACAAACCCTTAAATTTGGGCTTCCTGTTTAGATGAGATTCTGTTTCGTTAACCTGATTTGATGTGCTTTAGAAGATGGAATGCACACTATAATGTTTACCTAACTGTAGGTCTTAATTTCTTATCCATTTTCTAAATTTCATGTAGCATATCCATCTGGCCCTATAACTAGAGTATTTAGGTTGTTAATACCTTTTCACTCTAAGGAAAATTTTATCTGAATCCTATTTCATTATTTTAAAATTTATATTAATCAGCATAGCTACTTCTCACTTTACCATGAAACAATTGTTTGTGTCTATATCATCCTCTGTATTCAATATGTTTATGTCTTACAAAATGTTTACTTTTTAATAATTCCTTATAATCTGAGGTGGTGGTGGTAAGACTAGGTTTTGGTTACTTATATGTCCAAATGTTTCTACATTAGCTTGTGATTTTAGTAATTTTTAGATGAAGCCATTGTTAAGAAATAGTACTTGTTTTAACTTTGAACACCAAGGATCTGATATGGCCGATATTACTTTTCTAACCTAGGAGGGAATGTAGTGTGTTAAGAAGTTTACTTATTTATAAACCACTGTTATCATGTTTTAAAGTCTGTGAATAAAATATTTGAGGGTTCTCTATGTAAAGTCCTGTCCTATACAAGGAGAACAGCAAAGAAAGCCTAATGTATAATCCAAGATTGTAAGCAACATTCTAATATCACTAAATAAGGCTGAAAAACAGTTTTCTATATAATTATATAAACCTGCACATATATTTAATCTGGGTGGAGGAAATTGTCAAGTTTTTAAAAACTTGGTTGTCCATCTTATTATAACATTTATATTTCATAAGTATTTTGAGTTTGTTTGCCTTTTGAGGCATTAGAAGTTGGACACTATGTTATAGGATAATTGTTCTGGAAAGCTCTTAGACTAGCCCTAAAAGAAAACAAATAATAAGAAATAGATTTGAATTAAAAATTTGAAATCAACTCCACATACCACGTTTCCTACCAGATTTATTTGGTCATGTGTAAATTGGAAAAGGGTGAAGGAAAAAACAAGCTAGTAAAATGTATTTTATTAGGTTTATAGATGATGTGGTTTGGAATGAGGAAAAGTTGGTTATGAAAGACTGGCTCACCTACTGTAACGTTGGTTTTAAACTGTGTAAACTTTGTTTGGAAGTAAGTTTTTTTGTTTGTTTAATTTGGTTTAGTTTTGTGAAAGGAAGAAAAAGGTTGTTTGTTTGTTTTAAGTGAGTGAGTTGAGGGTGGAGGAAAGGAATAATTTTAAAAAATGCAGTTGGAAGACCACCCTCAGAACTTAAGGGACAGGCCTGCAGCAGGCACAGCCCCTGTGAGTCAGCATCCATTGTAAAAACATTCATGTTGCCATGATGCCTAAAGAGGCAGGAGTAGATGTAGATCTCTTTGAATTCAACTCTCAGGACAAGCCACGTTAGGAGGGTAGACTTTATCTGGTTTAAAGGGCCAAGGAGGTAAGCAGGGAGGGCCATTCCTGAGATGAGCCTGTGTTGAGTCCTAGGGTGAGGAGCAGGGCCCTGGGTGTTGAGGGAGTGACAGAGAAACACAAGAGCTCTTCATCAAAAAAAGAATATATAGGTAGGCATGAGTTTTTAAGTCATGAAAGCAGCTTTTGTTCTAATAAATATTGTCTTCATTCATTGTTCTAACTAGGCTAATAAGTTGTTAAGTAGTAGAAAACCAGAGTTAAATTTGCTGTTAGTGTAATGAAAAAGCATATTTTTGTGTGTGTAAAAAGTGCAAGTCGGGATTTTATACTATTGATAATAATTTCGTGTATACTTTCAGCCTAACCATCAATTCCAAGCCACCCAAAGATAGAACCTTTCACATGGCAGCAGCTGCCCGAAGTGCAAGGATCCCTCTCCTAAAGGAAATCGATTTTCTGAGCTGGTACAAACTCATAGCTAATTTGGAAGGAGTAGAGCAATAGATTGCTCTTTTAATGCCTCCTTTCATAATCAAAGTAGCAAACCATTATTGTTTGTTATTGACATCTATTACCAGATATTTCAAGCTGTGACCCTCATACGATGCCATTGGGGGAAAAAAGTTTGCAGTCCATATTTCAAAGGGAGGTGCATTTAATTCGTGATGGTTTTCTAAATGAGTGTATGCATTTTCCTTGGCAGCATTTCTATCTTAAGTGATCCGGAAAGTTAGGACTCAAGATTAACTGTTGTGTAGAAAACTATCAGAAGGGCAAGTACATAAGTACATGCACGCAACCTTTCCCTCATGGAATTAAAAACCCCTGGTGGGTAGAATTTGTGCCACAGATGGAGCTTACAGCACTGTTGAATTTGATTGCTTTGGGAGATGTTGTAATTTTACTATTACCAAAAATGTTTGTTTATAGCCCAAAGAACGGTGAAACTTTCCCTATGAATTCCAAAGGAACTTTGACACATCACCAACCTGCTATTCACAGATTTAAGTTTGTTCACAGATCCTGGCATTTTTTGTGCAGGATGTTCATAGCTACTAAACCCATTTTTGAGCATTTCTTTAGGAAACTGGGCAGAGATTCTGGGAACCCTTTTGTCCCCTGCCCCTGGATTTCTAGTCTTCATGTTTTCTTCCATTTCTCTCTGGTCCAAATGTCAATTCCATTTCAGTGCTTAAGTCTCTTTAAAAAACCAACAGTTATAATTGCACTAGGGGAGGTTTAAGGGCATGTTATGTGTAGAAATTTATATTAATTTGAATTTTAATGTTTACCTTCCTGGAGTTGGAAACGATAATCCATACGATTGATTTCTTTGAAAGAAATTCATCACTTAGTCAACAACAATTAAACTTTTGTTTTGACTAAGCGAAGGCTGAAGTAAGAATGATTTGAGTGATTTCTTGGGACCTGTTATCTGCTGGAGGATAACTAAGCTTCTAATCAAACTTAATTTTATAAAGTTAAAGAAAAAGGCAGTTCTTTTTAAACAGAGTGTCAGAAAAGGGAATTTTGTTTGTTTCCCATAAGATAAATGATCTTTTTCTTTTAACGAGAAGAAACTAAGAGGTAATCTAGTTCAGGTGGTAGGACACAGTGGGGAGGAAGATAACACAAACTATTAAAATCACCTGCACTGTTTTACAGCCTGTGTCTACTCTCTTAGCCCCCGAGAGTCTGACATCTCCTTAACTGCAGGGCGGAAAATTAAATGGTTTAAAAAGCCTTCTTATTCATGTGCTTAACACTTATGTAGTACCTGTGACGTTCAGGCACTATTCTGAGCTCTTTGTGACTGTTAACCAGTTCAATCTTCATAGCAACCTGAATAATAAGGTCTTATTAATACCTTCTGTTTAACAAATGAGGAAACTGAGGGAGAGAAAAGTAAAGTAAGTAACCCAAGGTTAACCAAAGGCAGGCAGTTTGGTGCCAGAGTCTGCATTTAACTAGTCTGCTATAATGAGTATATGGATTTCATCTATGGTATTTCTTACAAAAGGATTAAAATTTGCATTCAATTTAGTTATACCACATTGATTTCTGTAAAATAGGTGCTTACTAGCCCCAGATGAAATGAACATGTGAACAGAAACACAAATAGAAGGCGTAGTGTAATATAACCATAATGGTAGCCTGTAGTTTTTAAACATTGTTGGAAACGTGTGTCAAATATCTGCTGTGTTCAGTTGTTATCCAATTGTTAGAAATGAAGTTGCCCACTTTTGGCTTACCTGAAACCTCCTGTGCCTCTCTATATGTTATTTTGTTGGTGACAATGATTAATTAGTTTTCCTATATGCTTCTTATCATTTCAACCCACATGCCTTATATGTCATGCTGAAACGTGTATTTCTTTAGAATCTTTATTGTTCACAGACCATCTGTTCTTCTGCAGTTGGGTGCTCTTAGGAAATCAGTATTCTGAACCATATCTTTGAACTTTGGTGTCTTACTGGTCCTTGGGGTATTGAAGGATGCAGTTTTAGTTCTACTGATTAGTTATCTCTAAATATTTAATTTGTCACCATATATAGTATACCATCTTTAAAAAATAGCAGAAGTTTGGGATTTAAGTAGTATGCCAAGTGAGTGAAGAGCCAGTGTCTGCTCCTTAGGCATAACTAGCTCACTAATTGTATGTAATTCTTTCAATTATTTTAATGAGCGTCATACCAGTTTTAAATCAAAAGATATTCATGCAGAGGAGCAGTTTGTCCGCTTATTGCTGTTCCTAGGAAAAGAATCTTAAAAAGCTTGAATTATTACAGAACGCATCTTTGTGAATCCTGTCTCCAATGATAAAATAGCAATTATTTTCCCTTAACAAATTCAACTTCAAATTTCAGTATATATTTTTTAAGTTTTTAAATACAGACTAAAATTCAGCAAAAGTCTATTTGACTTGGTCAAAATACTATTTTTGAGAAGAAATTTAAACAAATGGCCTTATTCTCAAGTACCAACAGTTATTAATGGAACTAATCTATTCACAGGGTCGCCAAGCACAGACTATTGAGTCAATATGTCTCATCTAAAATGGTTTACACTAATATTAACTATGTGAAGAGGGTTGTTCAAATCATAATTGTTAATTTTCTCATAATTTTATTCTGTAATGTCTTTTTCTTACTGATATTACTTTTGAAAACAGAGTTAACTTTTTAACTAGTAGAAAGCAATTGATTAAAACACCTTTATTTCCAAATTCTAAGTTTCAAAATTACACTCTGAGTCCAACGAAAATGGTTAATGTGTGTTCCTCAAAATTTGTAATAGTATTTTTTTATTTTTTATTTTATTATTACTATTATTTCTTTCCTCAGAGATCCTTGTTCTGATGTAATAATATTTGTTACAGTCCTTTGTCAAAATGCCGGGAATGCATGTCCCATCCCTGAAGAGTTCATTGTTGCCTCAAGACCCAGAGTTACTCTTTTAATTTTTAAATCACATGAATACCACTATCAGAGGCCCTATTCCAGGGAGCTTCCAGAGATCTGACCCAGATATCTTTTTTTTTTTTTTTCTTTGAGACGGAGTCTTGCTCTGTCGCCCAGGCTAGAGTGCAGTGGCATGATCTCGGCTCACTGCAGACTCTGCCTCCCTGGTTCAAGCAATTGTCCTGCCTCAGCCTCCTGAGTAGCTGGGATTACAGGCGCCTGCCACCGCGCCTGGCTAATTTTTGTATTTTTTAGTAGAGATGGGGTTTCACCATCTTGGCCAGTCTGGTCTTGAACTCCTGACCTCATGATCCACCTGCCTTGGCCTCCCAAAGTGCTGGGATTACAGGCATGAGCCACCGCACCCGGCCAGACATCTTTTTTAAAGGATTAAAACAAGGCCTAAGGTACAGTGTTGACTGCCCTCACAGGCTACCCAAGAGACAAAAGATTTCCCTCTTATTGCAGTTATTTCTAGAAAGAGATGAATCCTACACCTTTGCCCTGCAGGTAACAGAGCAGGCTTCACCTCCCAGAGCCCTAAAGCTCCCAGTAGGAGCTAAACTCCTAAGGGAGAAGATGGGGCATACTAAATAAATCCCTCCACAAAATGACTTCAAACATGAACCAATTGTGACTAGTCAGGGCATTCCAAAACCAGCACCCAAATTGGGCACCTGACTTGTTGATTGGAAATGGTGATTCTTATGAGCTTAATTTTGACATGTAATTATCATTATAAAAGGTAATTTTGTAATCATAAACTAAACATGAACTATATTAAATGTCTCTAGTAACCTGCAGATTTATAAAACAGAAACCATTCCATTTTCTGTGTGTGTGCATATGACATAGGAATATACTTAAGGAGGAAAAATTGCAAGTGAATTTTAATTTTAACTGAGTCTAAATGAATTAAGTTATTTACAAGCAGTCACAGATTTAATGGCTCCTGGGTATAGTACAGTAGAGCCAATAGTAAGTGAAATAATTTCTCTAAACTCAGTCTTACTTTTCCTCCCTTAGAAACCTCATGCTTTTCAACATGCCATGATGACATTTGCATCAACGACGTTTCGTTTATGTCAAAAAAGCTCCAAATTATCACTGCTTTCCAGTTAGAATAAAAGATCAAATCCCTTTGGGATGAAAGGTTTCCTCTTTAATTTCTGAGTTAAACAATATTCAAATTGGAGAAAACAATGTTTTTAAATACTAAGGATGTAATTCTTGTCTGTATATATGTATGTGAGAGAACCTGCCTAAAGAGGAAGACAATGGGAAGTCCTTAAAGAGGACTTGTTTACCCAGGTGATGGGGTAAAAGAAACATCTGGAAGAAGGTGGCTGCTGGCTCTCAACAGAGCCCAGAGGAGGAGGCAGTTGTACTTGATGTTGAAGTCTTAGGTAGCGATGAGCTATCAGAAGATCCCTTAAGCCATGCATAGGCTAGATGGCCATTCATTTTTTCAACAAATGCTTATTGTCCATCCATCATATACCAGGTATTCTTGGCTTCTTGCTAGGAATGGAAGGTGAAAGAACCATTGTATCACCCACCAGGCTTGCTACATTGAGGGGAAGAAGTGGCAAGGTAGTTTTGGTGGATCACAGAACCACCGTCTGTGTAAATCACTTGAATTTGCTTGGATGCTGGAAGCTATGAATCTACCACTGAAATGAGGTCATCAAGAAAGGCTTAAATTCATACAGGTTACATCTTTCAAACCTTTGGTAACAACCCACTAGTGAGTCATGAAATCAGTATAATGGTTGCAACCAGGATTAAAAAAAATGATCTGACATAAAGTATGAATATATTTTGTATCATATTAAGTATCATAAGTAACATATTATACAAAATGTATCCATAAGTATCATATTACACCAAATGTTTGTTTCAGTTATACATACATGCATGTGTAAATTGGGGTGTGACATAATAACATATATGTCTTAGGAATAGGTCACAGTCAAAAAAGTTTGAGAAACTTTCATCTATAATAACTCTCTCTACCTGGTGTGTTTCAACTTTCTCAAAATATTAGCCACACAGCAGCTCATGCATGATCTTATTATTTCTCCACTGCACTGTCCAGGTCAGGAAAGGGCCTGAGCAGAGATGCAGGAGTAGAAGAGGATTTGGTACCCTGGAGAGCCTCTTCTAAATAGGCTCATTGTTTGTTTCATTGTTTTGAGCTCCCATGGAATCATTTTTACTGAAGAGTGCTTTTGCCTTATGTTGTTGATCTTCATTGAGGACCACTTTAATAAATATCCCTATGAAATTTGTTACCATATGTACTCTTTATACTGTCTATACCACTATTATTGTCACTCTGTTTTATCTTAAAGTGCAATTGTTACAGATACATCCAGGTGAGATTGCAGGCAAGAGTAGTGGACGTTCTGAGTAGTTTGCCTTCTGTCTTATGGACACGATGGATTGTGCCATGTGTCTCACTTTGGTATTGTTAACTGAGAGGCTCAGAACTGAATGTGCATTTGACCTATAAAAAGTGTGCAGTACCTGAAGAAGTGTAGTTTGTTGTATTAAGCTGTAATTCTGGCTTCATTTTTTTCTTCATTGTCTTTACTCATTAAAAAAAAAATATTGCTGTTACATATGGGCCTCAGCTCATTTTCAGACTGAGGTGGTTATACATTAGTAAAGTGAAAAATTAGATATGGTGGGAAAGTGCTCTGGTAAAGGTAGGCAGGTTGCTATGGAAGCACAGAGAAGTGGTGTCCAGCCCAGCCTGGGGGAGGGGTGTTGTTAAGGAAGGCTTCCTGGAGGAAGGTTCTATGCATCATGCCTGGCACATACTAGGCCCTCAGTAGCTGCTGTTACAATGAGAGATGGCATGAGAAAGAGAAGTTTGCTGGAAGGAAAATGAGTAAGTAAATTTAGTAGGGAGAGTGGCACATATAGAGCTCTGGAGTGAAGACAGAACAGTGCAATTTGAGGAACTAGTATAAATTGAGGAACCCAATTTGGGGAGGCTGGAAGGGAAGGCATGAGCCTTATCACCCAGAACCTTGTAGATCTCACTTAAGGGTTTGTTTGTCATTTATTTGTTTATTTTTAAGGTAGCAAGCAGCCACCAAAGGTGAGGAAGCTGTAAGATGGGCTAGGTTTTTGCAGAAACAGTGGTGACTTCTGTTTTGTTCATCAAGATTGAGGTACTCACAAGGCCCTGGTTGTGATGTCCAGGAGTAGCTCTGGGGCTCAGTAGTCAAGTCTGAATAAGGAGTCATCCATGCCCAAGTAAAGCCACAGTACAGGTACGCTCACCAGACTGCCTTCCCTGAAGTGATCATTGCCTCTTTAGTTCTATCAGCATTGTTCTTTTTTCACATTCATGATATTTATCTCAATTTACCTTCAGCGGCTAGGTACAGTGGCTCACGCCTGTAATCCTAGCACTTTGGGAGGCCGAGGCGGGCAGATCATGAGGTGAGGAGATCGAGACCATCCTGGTCAACATGGTGAAATCCTGTCTCTACTAAAAATACAAAAATTAGCTGGGCGTGATGGCACGTGCCTGTAATCCCAGCTGCTCAGGAGGCTGAGGCAGGAGAATTGCTTGAACCCAGGAGTTGGAGGTTGCAGTGAGCCGAAACAGCCTGCACTCCAGCCTGGCGACAGAGTGAGACTCCGTCTCAAAAAAATAAAAATAAAAATTTACCTTCAGCTACAGGTACATATTTTCAGCTTCCTACTTGACATCTCCAATTAGCTGTTCAAAAAGTATCTCATATATAGTATGTCCCAAATAGAATCATTGAGTTCCCCCTTTCCCTCCCTAAGGCTTCACCATCAGCTTTGTGACTTTCTATTTCTACCCATTTGTTCTGAACTCTACCTGTCAGCCTCAATCTCTCTTGTTCTTTCACTGTCCAAATCTGCCTTCCCTCCCTCATCCAAGACATGTTTGATTCTTGTCTGGACTCTTGAAACAGGCTTGTACTTCACACTTCTACCTTCACTGTTGCTTCTGCAGTCAATCGATCCCCTATTCAGTATCCAGAAGAGTTTTCTAAATGGAAATCAGATTGGTATCTAAGGTGTCAAATCCTCTGATAGCTTCACATTGTACCCAGAATAAGGTTCATGGTCCATAAAGTCCTACATGGTCTGCCTTCTGTCTCTGTCTCCTAATCTTACTTTAGTCTCTCCTTTGTTCTCTTCCCTCCAGCCACTGGTGCTTTTCTTGCTTTTCCCTAGAACTTGTCCAGGCTCCCATCTCAGCTCTTGTTCCTTCACCTTGGAATATTCTCCACCAACTTGTCCCATGGCTGTCTTCGTGCTGTTTAGGTCACAATTCCAGTGTTTCTTTCTCAGAAGTTGTCCTTGATCCTCTGAGCCAAAGAAGCCTTCCAGTCACCTCGCATATTATATTATCTTAGCACTTATTAGAACTTGAAGTGATCTTACTTACTTGTGAAGGTATAAGCTTCTGGCAGGCCAGGACTTTGTGCTGTTGACCACATATCCCCAGTATCTAGAGCAGTGCCTGGCACAAAATTGCTAAGTAAAATTCATTTCCCTCCTCCTGGCTTTGAATTATAATTACTTGCATGGGTTTTCTTTGTATGCTTCTTGAAAGAACTGGAATTACATGTTATTGATTTCTATATAGCTAATGCCATCAATAAATATCAGTAGTAGCAGATTAATCTGGGAGCTATAGAAAATAATTCTTGCATGAAAAAGTTATCTTTAAACTGATGAGGTTCAATTAATGAGAACATTATAGATTACCAAGCTGTCAGCAAGTTGCTGAGGAGAAAGAGATTAAAACCACCCACCCACTGTAACCAGTGCTTTGTCATAGCAGCCAGGTGTGGTAGCTATTTTAACCCATTTTTCAGATGAGACTCTTAGAAGTCAGGGATGTTAACACACTTTCCCCCATCACATTGCAATAAGGAGTAGCTGCAGCTGAAAGCCCAACTCCACATGATCTGACTCTCAAACACGTTCTCTGTCTGCAGAATTCATGGTCTTCAGGCTGGCCTGAATCCCAGGAAACAAAGACCCAGGAGAGGTTTGTGGTGGGAAAGAGCCTTTGCACTGAGGGCTTACACTGAGTGTTCGGTGGATAGTATCTTTATTCCCACGGGCCAATTATTTCTTTATAGAGGTTTATTATTCTCAGTGGAACTGGGGGAGATACTAACCTATGGTAGCAAATCCATACCTCCTCCAATTATGGGGCAAGCAATGGCATGGATTGTAGATGCCTGAACTGATGGAAACAGCAGAAAGATCTGGGGTAGAGGACTCTGCCCCTGGAAGCTGCCCATACATATAACACATGTGATCCTTCCAAATTCAGCCCTTGTGGTTAATCAGGCTGTACTTCTTGCCCTAACTTTGAATTGGATTGTTTTCCTTCTTGCCTGATAGAATCTCAGGTTTAACCAAATATTCTCTGAGATTAAAGACTTTCTGAGGAGGGAACAAGTAGGGTAGATTTACTTGGGCTGAAATTTGGGAATGACAAAAAGAAGTGGCCTAAATGTGGGTGGAGGGAGAAAGAAAACTAGTGCATGACTCCACTCCACATTATGCTTTTGGCCATTTAAGATTAGGTCACAGTAGATAAATTAAGTGATTCTGTCTAAATTTCTAATTGTACTGTTATAGTTTAGAAACATCAATTAAAGTTGGGATGAGTTAAGCTTCATTCTTCAGCTCACATGTAGACATTCAGAGAGTGAAATGGGCCTGTCAAATTCTCAGGTTCCCTAAATGTGCCTCAGAGGAAACCTCTGTCACTACAGGAATTTATATTTAAGATTTCTTCCATCTCTCAGGGCCGAGGCCAAACCTCTATCACAAGCCTATCCTTTAAAAAAATCAAAATATAAAATAAATGGTTTTTAGCTTTGGCCTTTGACGTATGTGCTGAAGAAAATCACATTGACTTTCATTCTGAAAAATAACACTTGGAAACTGGACCAAAAAAATTACTTCCATGCTCCAAATATAACTGCAAAGGATTTCTTTTATAAATTCTTGTCTAGATTATATAGCCTTATATAAATGTATTTCTTGGATTTGTATGTGTTTCTGACTTATTTGAGAAACTATTTTAGGCAGCAGATTTAATAATTAATAGAAATTAAAAAGGTAAAGTGGGGTGAACAGAGTTAAGAGGAAAGAAAACCTGAAGGAGTTGTAATACAGCAAACTTAAGGATCAGCGCCCAGCCTAGGACCACATGGTGCTCTATTCTGCTTGCTGGCTAAGGGTGGAGCCTTAACCTGGAAACTAGTGCTGCAAGTTTTGGATCTAACATTTGATTATCCAAATTGGGGTATGTGATCATTTCTGTTGTCCAGACAGAAGACCTTCTAGCCAGAGCCGAGCTGTAGGGTGGGTACCTGCAAATCAAGACAGGGTTTTTATCTGAAAGCAGCTGCAAGTCCACCTCAGCCCTTGAGCCAAGTACTTAATGGAAATCCCCAAATGCCAAACTCAATTCAGCATGGCCAAAATGACTTTTTTTTCTGAAAAAGATTTCAGAGCATTCTTTATCATGGCCATAAAAACCTTAGTAATGCTTCTAGTTGTGCACTGTGTGACCTCTTCCCTCTAGGTAACTGAATGAACTGGCCACCTGTATGTGGTTATTTGATATTGAAACTTTAAATGTTGGAGAATGTCACTGGAAGATTCATATGGGGTTTGTTCCAGTTAACATTAAATCAAACAATAGCTAAGAGATTGCCCTCATTATGCTCTGAAAGCCAGTTTTGTTTTGTTAGAAAATAATGCCCTAGTGGCATATAAGTCATATGTTTGATAGAAAATGTACCCAACTTTTCATTATACCTTGGCTGTAAATCGATAATTCATTTTAAAATGAGATCAAAGCCACAAAAGATTAAAAGCAGCAAATAATATTGCATATTTTTTTGACAGATGTTCTCATAGGTAGAATAGAGTGTATGAATGATGATCTGAAGTTATGGAAAAATAACTATCAAAATAATTGATCTGTAATTTAGAGAGTGATATCTTGAGAATTCACTCTTTTGAGAATCTCTCTTTAGAATTCATTCAGTAGGGATGTTGATTAAAAGGAGTTAAACTGAGCATGATGAAAATCTTGGTTTCCAAGCTGGAGCAGGTTTCAGAGTTTTGGTGATAAGCCGTCTTTCCCTGAAGCTCTGTTTGAGGTTGAAGAGTTGGGGTTTTAGGGCCTAATTTCAGTAAAGCTTGGGGAACCACTTGCTCTGTGGTTAAAAAGTATAGGAACCATGTCTTCTGATTACTGATTGATTACCACAGCTCTATAACTAGGATCCTAAGTCACCAGGCCCCAAAATCACCCTCCACTCTTTTTACTTGGTACCTCTGTAGTTTATTTGACTCAAGTTTCTTAAAGCAGTAAAATAATTGTTATATTTAACCTGGTTTTTGTTGGTGGCAGTGTTGTTGTTAACTACTAATTTTTGTCATCATTATAAAGCTGATATTCCATGAAGGGAGCAAATGTGTTACCTGAAGAATTTAGGCTAATTTTGATTATTCATCTTGATGTCACTGAACTATGATGTCCATTCTAGAGGAAAGTATTTAAGTCTTCTCCTAAACTCCTAGTTTTTGCCTTTCATTTTAACATGGATTTTCCAAGATTGCGACTTAAAATACCTCAAGTTTAATACTCAGTAGGGTTTTCCCCTTTGTTTATGTTTTCACAATAAAGAAAATATTAAAATGCTATTCAAGTTTTTATGACCATCAGATTAACATCTTGCTTACTACTGCAATAAAGTAAATAATTTTCCCACTTTTTTTTTTTGAGACGGAGTCTCGCTCTGTGGCCCAGGCTGGAGTGCAGTGGCGCTCACTGCAAGCTCCGCCTCCCGAGTTCACGCCATTCTCCTGCCTCAGCCTCCAGAGTACCTGGGACTACAGGCGCCCGCCACCAAGCCCAGCTAATTTTTTGTATTTTTAGTAGAGACGGGGTTTCACCGTGTTAGCCAGGATGGTCTCGATCTCCTGAGCTCGTGATCTGCCCGCCTCGGCCTCCCAAAGTGCTGGGATTACAGGCGTGAGCCACTGCACCTGGCATTTTCCCACTTTTTAAAAATTTATAATGCTACAGGGATATATACCTGATCTTGTAGTAATAAACATCATGCTTCTGTGCCCAACAGGAGTCACACACATTATGGTGGCAAGATATTTGCTTGAAATCAGTGCCAGAGAATTCTATTTTTGGACTACTCTTAAGAAAAATGTATTAAATTTTATTTGCTTTTTAAGGAGAACATTCAAACGTGAATTTTTACTTTTGCAGCAGTTGCAAGATGAGTTATGAGGAATAAAAAGTGAGGCATTTCCTGTTTCCTGGAGAAAATGTGACAAAGGAAGATAAATATTTTGTATCAAAAAACTGTGCAGATCTGGAAAATAAGGGAAACATTTTAATTTCAAAATAGTTCTCTACCATGATCTTTTCAATAGTCTCTCATCAGTGCCGTTCCCTAAGTGTTTTTGTTTTAACATCATGATGCCAGTTTAACTTTTATGTGAAATGAGACTCTGGATATAAAAGTTAATGAGTGTAGCGTGAATAGCTGGATTTAATGTTGTGTTTAGTAGGAAATGTGGCACATCACTAAATCTCTACATATCATTCCTCCTTTTGTCCATTGATTTATTGCAGCTTTCTCAGAGTTATAACTTCCCTATACCTTTTCTTCCTAGGCTTGCAAAGGAATACTTTATGCTGTCCAACAATTGTCTTAGAAAGAATTAGGTATCTCTTTTTCTTAGTGAGATTTACACCATCTCAGACTTTTAAAAATGGAAATGCACAAAAATTACTTTTTGTAAACTACAAATGTGATAATACTGTTTGGTTAGATATTGAGGGTAAAAGTCAATTAAAAATTACTGAGTTTTCTCGTTGAGCTGAAAATCTAGTAGTAAGTATTTAGTTTTTATAATCTAGTTCATTAAACAGGGAAGGTAGGTCTAGGATATTTTATATCAAAAAGCAATGATTAGCTCTAAATTCAATGGGATCATTTCAGAGCTCAGAAAATCCAGTTGAAAGGGCTTCACTGAGACATTCTGAGCACCAAAAAGCATAATGACTAGTAATTTAAGATACACTGAAGTATTAGAGAACCATGCATTCATAGTAATACTCAGAAAACATCGAAATGCCAGTACAGAGG
This sequence comes from Homo sapiens, assembly GCF_000001405.40. NCBI lineage: Eukaryota > Metazoa > Chordata > Mammalia > Primates > Hominidae > Homo > Homo sapiens. The sequence goes on from NC_000006.12 coordinate 25,571,379, forward strand.
ATTGTAAGAGAGGAAATGTTCTCTTTTCAGAGGAATGGCACCTAATAAATATAAGAACAATGAAAGAAGTAGAAAGTTATAATTTTGCAGTTCTGATCATATCCATTAATTCAGGCAAGGATTACCAATAGTTGCTTAAAAATCTACGTGGACTAAAAGTATCACCTCATAGAGTTACTATTAATTACCAAGGGAATTAATACTTTACAATTAGTACTTTACAATTAGTACTTTACAATGGAGCACAGCTGGAAAGTCCCCATGCTAATCAAGGGATCAAGGTCAGTCTTACCAGTAGTGGAACAACCTGACATATGTGCCAATCACTGTGATTCAGTCAGTAGTTCACAGCATCCCGTATGTGGTATTCATGCTAAAAATGTTTCACTGAATCTAATCATGAGGAAACCATCAGACAAATATAGCATGTGAGGCAGTCTGTGAAACAATCGGCCTGGATTTATCAAGAAAGTCACTATTATGAAAAAGAAAGGTGGGGATGGGAGTGGGGAGGGAGGATGTGCTAGGTGAAAGAGCCTGAAGAGACATTACCCTATATAATGAGTGCATTCTCTATTAAGATCCCGAAAGGGGAGGGGATGTTTTAAGGCACTTGAGGGACAGTTGGGGGAATTTGAATATGGACTATAGTGTGTATGTTAGATATTATGCAATTGCTGTTAATTATCTTAGATGTTGATAATAATGTATGGTTATATAGGAAAATATGATTCTTAGGATATTCATGCAGAAGTATTTAAGGGAGAAATGTCAAGATGTCAACAACCTTTAAATGGTTCAGAATTTTTTTTTTCTGTGTTTGTGTTAGAGATAAGAATGAAGGAAATAAAGTAATTTTGTGTGACAAAATGTTAACAATTGCTGAATCTAAGTGAAGAGTATATTTGTATTTATTAGACTATACTTGTCCTTTTAATTTTGCTAAATTTGAATATGTTCAAAATAAATAGTTGGAGAAAAAGGGTGGGTGTATGTATTTGAAAAGTGTATTGTTGAAGGAGGTGGACATCATAGCTGGGTGCAGTGGCTCATGCCTCATGCCTGTAATCCCAGCACTTTAGGGGGCCAAGGCAGGAGGATTGCTTGAGCTCAGGAATTGGAGACCAGCCTGGGCAACAAGGCAAAACCCCGTCTCTACAAAAAATACAAAGGTTAACCAGGCATGGTGGTACGTATCTGTAGTCCCAGCTACTCAGGAGGCTGAAGTGGGAAGATGGCTTAAGCCCAGGAGGCAGAGGTTGGACAATGAGCCAAGATTGAGCCACTGCACTTCAGACTAGGTGATAGAGCCAGACCTTGTCTCAAAAAAAAAAAAAAAAAAAAAAAAAGGTGGACATCAGTACATGAATCACTAGGGTCCATGAGGAAGTTTTTGTCTGTGTAACAAGAAATAGAAAAAATACAGACACCAGATTTTTCATGAAAAATAAATGTCTCTAAAGGACTATTGTTTATAATAAATAAGTCTTTACTATTTTATCTTTGTGCCTAAATGCCCTTTTTGGTAACAATGGTTGGTACTAGTAATATTTTCTTTTTGAACAAGTCTATAGAACCTGAATGTGGGGAGCGCATTGGATTAAAGCACTGATTCAGTTCATTCATTCAAACACACACTTCTTGAAGGCCCATTATATGCCAAGCCCTCTATGGGCTCTGGGGATCTAGAAGTGAACAAGACAGAATCCTGGCTTATGTTTTTCACCCAAGAGATGTTCATTTTGTCTTCCCCAGGGATGACCAAGGGGAGGAGGATGGGGAGGGGCACCTAAAGGAAATCCTTTGAGCCACTCTAGGCATTCCCCTATGTCACCCAAATTATCCCATTTATCTATCATGTGTTTTTGACACATTGCTTAAGATGTTTCAAAAAGTGTTCTGCTGTCTATTACATGAAAACCATTTTCATTTCATTAAAATGAAAAAAATTACTTTTCATGTTAAAGGATGCTATAGTAAATTTCTTGGCCATTAGATAAAAAGAATTCTCTCTGCCTACACACCTGTTTCTATTCTAAACTCATTTTTAAAAGTAAATATACTTGACAAGGTGACTCTGTAGTTGAAATTCTTGTAGGTTTTCTGCTTTTCTTCCCCTGGAGACTGAGGGAGGACTGATGAGACAGTGGCCAAAAGACGCCTCTGCCAGTTTTTTGCCAGCAATAAGAAAACGGAGGGTTTACCTCTAAGCAAAAAAAAAAAAAAAAAAAAATCCTTTTTTGCTTATTTCTTTTTTGCTTAGTGGTAAAACCCTTCATTTCCTTATTTTTTTAACTAACTGGCTTTTTTCCCCTTCACCCAGTCTGTCCAGTTCTGACCATCTAGTCCATCTCAGTTCTGTATTAAAAGGAGGTGCTGAAATGACCGGCAAAACATTTGTGTATTTCTGATAGAGTGAATTCTATTAAGGTTAATATTAATTTTTTTAAAAAATCCCTTACATGTGAGGTTCATGATAAAGAACATGAAGAGGATGTGGCACTGGGATTTTTATTTAATTTGAGTTCTTGGGCTCTGGAAAACAATAGTTCCTGAACATCAGGAAGCCAGACACTTTTTAACACTTCCACAGAGCAGCACTAACACTTATCAAACACTTACACAAACAGAACAACTCCGAGTTACTTCAAGAAACTTTAAAGTTTCTTTCCATGTGTTGTAGTTGATCACTTTCCATCCCCAAGCTATTATGATCTGGTTGGTGTCTTTGTCATTGTTATCCATCAGGAGGTAGCAAAGGTGGTGGAAGTATATGGTCATTCAGACAGGCTCCTATTAGAGTGTCTGCAGAATAGTAAGTCCAGATAATCGGTCAATACCATGACCAGAGTGATTTCTTTAAGTATTCCTAAATAAACTTTTTGGGACATTCCTAAGAAATTACAAAAATTACTCACAAATGCCAAATACCTGTGTTCCTAACACCCTGAAGAGCCACCTGTTAACATGTTAGAATCTTTGTTTTGCCAATATACACTGGAACACACACACTAGGAGTGCAAGAGCTTCTCTCTCTTATTCACTGCTAGACCCACGCCTTTCTCCAAGAATGCCTGATGCACAGTATGTGCTTGGTAGCATTTGTTGAATCTTAATACAGGGCATCACAGATAATGTAATAGCATCATTTGACCACTACTAACAATCTCAAGCTTCTCCCCGTTTCTCCTGAGGCACTCTCATGAGTTCAGTTGGACACTTCCTGTTTGTTTTTTGTGTTCAAACATACGTGTATTCATGAACAGTGTATAATATTATTTTGCATGTTTTAGAGTTTACATAAATGGCATCGTACCACGTGTATCTTTTTTGAAACTTGCCTTTTTCACTCAGTATTATATTTTGAGACATGTTCATGTTGCTACAGGTAGTTTTTATTTTTCCTTTTAATTGATGTTCCTTTAATTTTAGTTATTCCTCTACTGATTGGCTTTTTGATTGTTCTCACTTTTTTTGCTGTTATAAATCTATTTCTTATTAATGGCCCCCCTCCTTAATACTCTCTCTTTGGGAATAGAAGAATTTTAAAAATGATATTAACCTCATAATCACAGCCAATTATTGAAGCACTGAGAGGTCACTGATTGGCACTGTTTGCCAGACACTGTGCTAAGCACTTGGCATTTATTATCTTATTTAATCCTCACAATTTATTTTACAAACTAGAAAACTGGAAGCTGACTTTGCAAAAACATTGGTTAAAGTCCCATAACCCAGTAAGTAGCAGGTTCAGGATTCATGCCCAGTTCTTGGATGCCAAAGCCATGAGCATGAAACATACTCCTTCCCTTGCCCTTGTCCTAATGGGGGGATGTTGAAGTCATTGTAGCCCAAATGAGTTCCAAAGAGTGGACAAGAGTAGCAGAATGAACTATTAATCTTCCTTCTATCAAAAAGTTGAAATGTCTGTTGCCACGCTTTCCTTCTTCGTGGGAACATTTTTTGCTTGCCTGTCATTTTAGGAGTTGAACCAATTGAAAGGTTCCTCACCATCACTTATAATGATCTTTAGGTGGATAATTGGGACAGACTACTTTTCTTGATGAATTAATCTTTCACAAAGAGAAGGAAAGTAAAAACTCATCTATGGGACTTAACCATCAGCTGTAACTCTTTTATGTATGTATTCATAGTCATACCTTTAAGAAAGCTTCTGAGGGCTATGTGTTAGGACAGGGCAGGAGTCTTTGTTTTGGGCAATTCGGGAAAATATATTTGAAAATATATTTTTACTTTTTCTCCTTTGATCCAGCAAGGATGTTTTCCTGCTAATTTAATGGGTCATAGAATGAGTTATATTTGAAGTAAATTGCCTGATCAAGTATGAAATCAGAAATGTGAAGAATGAGAAATTTTCAGGACTTTGCCAGTGGAAGCCTTTCTGATAAGCACATAATACTGGTGCCAATGATGGTGATGGTTATAGGGAATGCTTTTTACTTATGTGCTGCCTTTACTTTAAAGAGACACAAATCATTTACATTCACAAATTGAGGAGCCCTGTATTTCCATCCCATTTTATATTGAAAATAATTGACATGAAAAATAAAGAACTTGGAAAAAAGAAAGCCCCAGCCCCAGGTGGAAGGAGTAGGTGGCCTTCCTCAGGAGGTTTGGAAAGGATCCCTCAACCCCTGACACTTCGCTTTCACAAAGACTTGCATTCTACAACTGGACTTCTTTTTTGTTTTTAAAAATTCTTTTATAAATGAATTTTTAAATTCATCATTATTATTTCAGAATAATTATCATTCATTCAGACTAAGAAGAGGATGCCCTAACAAAATTTAATGATGACCAATGGAATTTTAAGAATTATTTAGAGATTTTTTTTTAAATCTAAGGTGAATGGAGAAGGAAAGAAAATAAAGAAAAAAATTATTTAGAGATGTAATGTAAAATGTAAGGTGACCTAAATTCCCACTAAGGTATAAGGTATCATCAATATTGAATTACACTGTGGGTAGGTAACTTGTGCTGAATCCTGTCATCAGATCTTTTCCTGAAAAGTTTTAATGACTGAAGAGGCAAAAGAATTCAAAGCTGCTGCTCCTAAAATGCAGTGGGAGCACAGAGTGATGTAAATGGCCCCAGAAGAGACGCCTGTACATGCCTGCAGATACACTGTCCCCACTTAGTTGTTGAGACTGGTCCTGTGGTCCAGGAGCCAGGACTTGCATGGGGTTCTTTAACAACCATCCGCTGCTCTGTCCATTATATGCTTTGGAGCTGATAAAGCCACCATCCCCCAAATGAGGTTAATGCCTTGTGGGGTTGGTAAATATCACTTTGTACACACCTAGCAAGAGACATAATATCTGTAGGTTAGGAGTTTCTGAAATTTTTCAAGCTGTAATTGTGCTTCTGCTTATAAAAAGCTAGATTGGATGTCTTAAGCCATTAATATGTTGGCCTCATTCCTGCCTTATTCCTTTGCTATGAAGGCTTTTTATGTGTTTTAGCTTTTCTGTTTCTTTGTTTGTGAATGGTATCCCTCTCCCTCCCCTTTCCTAGTAATGCTGTTGCTTTATCTCTCTTCCATTCATATTTTTTTTCTTTCTTTTTGCTGCATGGAGACTCTCTGCTGTACAAGTGTAAGTATTTTTTGGTGGCTCTGCGGTTTCTGGCTGTACTACTTTATATTCTTGTGCTCCATTTGCTTCTGTGCTGCCTGGCTGGTCTCCCAGGAGACTGTAGTGTTGTCATCCATCTGCAGATCCTGAATGAAATAGGCAACAATTTAGAGACAAGATTGGATTTTGCAAGATGGTTCAGCTAGCAAAACAGGCGATGAATTTAAAATATCTCCAGCCATGTGCCTGAAAGCAAGCAGAGTGTTGATGAAGAGGATACAAACATTCAAGAGGAGACAAGTGCTTATTCCACTCATGTAATAATAACAATAATAAAGACATGATTACTTTTAAGATTTTTTTCCTGATTCTTGTCATATTACTTGTTTCGGGCCCAGGGTTGTAGAAAATCGACATTATGATTTGCTTCTTATATTAGGAGAACTTTCCTAATCTTCTTCTCAGCTGGTATTGTTATTTTTTTTTTCTTTCTACAGCCTTGGTGGTGGGGGGAAGTAATTATGGATTCTTGAACTTGGAGTGAGAGTGTTATTTATTATTCTTTGAGCAAATGTGGCAAAAACAAAGCACCTCTTTCTATTTTTATGGTGACTTAAGCAACTTGACTCTCATTTTTTTAAAAAAAAAGTATGTCTAGGAATTACATGTTAAAAGTGGGTTTGACAGGAAAAAAATGTTACGTTGTTTGGAAGGTTCCAAGATTAGTCTTTAACTTGTAGTAAAAGTAGACATATCTCAATTGAGCTATGTGCAGAATAGTTTAAAATTCATTAAAAAATTTGATCAAATGAGTACAATTTCAGAGTAATGTAGGCATTGATGCTTTTGGATTCTCAGAAAATAGAGTTGTGGCCTTTTTGTTCACAGTGTCTGCCACAATGGGGACTTATTGATGATTTGTGATGTTAGGACAAGAAAGAAGTCTGTGTTTAAGATTTTCCTGCTAAAATTACATTTAAAATAAGGGTTTAACACCTTTTTCCTCATACTTTTTTGGGATATGGGTTTTGAAAATTATACGTTATTGCTTGCAAGATGCATTTTTTAAGATAAGTTAATTTTGTCTAGGCCTCAAGTTGACAGTGTTAACCATTGATTGATGAGAGGTCCATTTGCAGTATGTACCTCTTCTTTTTCAAACGCTGACCCCCCTTCATCTGATGGACACTTTGTGATTTCTCTGACTCAGAAAGTACTTAGGCATTAACAAATGTCAGGGAAAGGTCAATAAGGACTAAGAAACAGTTTGAAAAAATTGACCCTTTCATTTTGGTACAAAAAGAGAAGAGAGCTAACAGTGTTAAAGAAGATGGTAAAGTCAGATTGTTTTCTTTTTCTGGGATGTATTTCATCAACCCAACAGTTGGGGAGGGGAGGAGGAAGGAGCGCAAATAAACCAAATTTCTAGACAAACATTAAATATTTGCTCCTAAATATACACTTAGGTGGATAATTATAGTACATTGTTATATTTCCTCTTGCTTTAGGTTTATATGTAATGGCATTGTAGGAATAAGCCAATAAGATTAAGGAAGTCCACATTTTCTGTAAAACTAAGGAAGAATTACTTCCAAAGAAAAGTAATAAAAATATGGGAGAAATGAGATTGAGTTTTTTTTTCTCTGTTGTTGCACTTAAATCCCATGAAGGAAAGATACAGAAGCTGGGTTGCCTTCTTAATACCAATTGTAGAAACTAGCCTGATTACAAATTCTATTTTAGCAAAAGACCATTGGCTCTGTGCCAAAACTTCAGAACTACAAGATATGATAGGTATAGATTTATGGGAAATGTAATTAGAAGTTACTTACCCTTGTAAAAAGCACACAAAATAAAGGAAAGCAAGTAAAATACATTAGAGTGAGTTTTTCTGATATTCAAGCTTTCTATACTGGGCTTTGAAGCATTGGAAAACAAGACCAAGAGGAGAAAACTAGCTCCCCTTTGAGTGATATCAACCATCAAATTATCCTGATGATTTCGTGTGTTTCTTAATTATGTCTATGAAATTAAACTAAGCTGAATGACCTATTCACAGATGGACATGAGTTTGCAAATGTGATTCTTTCTGTACATATTATATATTGTCATTTATTTTATATATAGTACATATTTTTATATGTTTAAAATTATAATATATTTGAAATATAATTTTTATATATTTTACATTTATTTGGTATCATAAAGACTTTCATGATATGGAAACTTAAACCAGACTATTTTTGCCTATGAATACACTTCCTGTAAAATATAATCAAGAGTCAGGAAAAAAAAAAAAAGACATCTTCAGTCCATGCATTTTTAAACATCTTTCCTCTTTATTTGTGACAATCTAAATGAAATTGGCTAAAAATTATATCTGAAGCTACTTCTTGATTATTTTACCTACCATGATTGTGCACAAGATGGATAGAATACTGAAGAACTTGTTGCGACCAAACACAGCATATATTTTGATAGCTTGTATCTCCTGAGAATTACTTTCAGAGATTTCACTTGTGAATAGACCAGGCAGGCCACTAACTTCTTCAGCCAACTGCATGGCTAACTTTGGGGAGAACTGCCTTAAACTGGATTCCTTTCCATTTGCATTGAGTTAGCTGAGTTTTTATTGAACCTGCAAAACCTGTTACTTTATAAATAGCTTTTCCTCAGTTTGTCTGCCTTTAACAAAACCTTGAAAAAAGCCAAATCGGCAAGTTTCATTTTGTATTTTAGGAAAACCAGTCTGGATTTCAATACAATTGCTAATCATTTTTTTATCTCCCTTTTCTCTCAACAATAAATAATAGCAAAATGATATTATTAAAACTGGCATAATTGTCAAAACTATAGATTTGTTTGCTTTAAAGATCAGTATCAGCCAGTTTCTCCTTGGAGCTAAAGAATGTTTTTCAATCATGTAGATTGTTTTTTTGAGGAAGCATTAGATGAAAACCTATTAAATGAAAGTATGCAAACTAAGTTCTTTCAGTTATGTTACCTCTTAGTTTATACACGTACCAGTTTCCTGATATCAAACCAGTGAAAACATCCCTAACATCCATCCATCTCTATATGGGTCATGAATGATGTGGCAGGAAGGATGCTGGCCTGACCCTCCTCACTGGGTTCTGTCCATGGCTCTGCTCCTTCTGACACCATGAATGTTAGCCTTTGTCATCTCTGTAACTCAGTTTCATCCTTGGAGTTTATTTGTGTAGGTGATGACAAAGCTTCCCTCCGTCTTTGACATTTGTGTGATCCTATTGAGGGAGAAGATAGTGCCTTTCTGAGGGTTGGCTTTGCACCATAAACAGTTGACACCAATGCTAGGAAAGTGCTCTTCAGTTTTGGCCCTTGGTTTGAGTTTCGGTTTCATTTTTTAGAAGATTAACAGGATCAAAGACATTTCACTGAGAAGTGCCAGCAGATACAGATTTTTGAATCCTAGCACCTTTTCCTGGTCTTTGCCCATGAAGTAAAGATCAAAATCTTGGGGGCAAAATGTGAAACGAGAGTGCAACTACTTAAGTCATTGATGTGACACAGAAAGAGGTCAGGGTTGCTTACATTGATGTTACTGTGACAATGATCACTTAATAGTGTTTTCAGTTTTTCGTGACTGATTTTAACAGTCTTTGATTTTTATTTATGTATCCATTTTAACATCCTCTTACACAGCTTGGAATTAAATTCATTCATTGCTCTTTTCAGCTATATAAGTGGAATTCAACTGGTTAGGGATGAAACAAAGAGGTTAGCTGTATCATTTGAGAAATTGTAAACATTTAGAAATAGTTTGGTCTCTTCAGTTAGGTTTTCAATCATCTTCTAAAGCAGAGAAACAACTACTGAGTTAAACAGTCGATCCAGAATGTTTCAGAAGTTTGAAAGGCAAGTTTTCTGTGGCTACCTAAGTGTTTTTTTAAATTATTATTTCATTTCTAGATGACCCCTAAATCCAAAAGGAAGAGTATCCATAGCCGAATGCTGCGGCCTGTTTCTAGGGCTTTTGGTAAGTGTTTTGCTGCTGCCAATCATTTCCTTGGAACTGTGAAGCACCCTCAGCAAGACCTTAGACCATTTTAGGGATGTTCCTTATGGATGCACTACATGGGTAAATATTGAGAAAGAGTTCAGTGATCTGTGAATGTGTGTTTGCTATTCTATGCTAGACTTAAAATTACTTTTAGGAATTTTTTATCCATCTCTATGCATTAAGCTTTGGCCTTGGGCTGTTTTTTTGTTTTTTTGTTTTTAATTTTAGAAATGGAGTTTGATCTAGATAAAGCGCTGGAAGAGGTACCAATTCACATCGAAGACCCGCCCTTCCCATCCCTCAGACAGGAGAAGCGGAGCTCGGGATTTATCTCTGAGTTGCCCTCTGAAGAGGGGAAGAAGCTGGAACACTTTACCAAGTTAAGGCCAAAAAGGAATAAGAAGCAGCAACCCACCCAAGCAGCGGTAGGTGGACTGCAGGAGAGGCCCCATCTCTCCCACACCCTTTTCTTCTCTGGGGAAAGTTGGAGGGTCTTGCTAAAGTGCTTTGCACAAACATGAAAGCTATGGTTAAGGAGACTAGAACCTCTTTGCATGAGATATACAAAGTATCTCAACTTGGTGCTCAACAATTTTGGAGAATGAACAGATTGTGTCACTTAAATAAAACAACATAATTGTGGAGAAAACAATGCTGTAAAATTTCCGATTCTTCAGAACAGAGCTGCCCTTGGAAATCCTTAGATAGATAAGGTTTATCTAGGATAGGAAATCCTTATTCTAGATAAATGTCTCTAGTATTTTACAGTGTCTGGGCAAAAAAGATACAAGTACCCAAAGAATTAATTGGTAATTAAAAATTGTTTGATTCTGGAGTGCACACATGCATCCCCCACTCCACAAACTGAGGTAACTGAAGTGTTGGAGAAGAGCCCTAAGTGGGAGCCCCAGTGTGTGACTCTTGACATCCTCCTCTTTCTACTCCAGTAGAAGACTCAATTGTGTGTGCTGATGAGCCTTAATGTAGTTTACCCATGTGTCTCTCTGGTTAATGCCTTTTCTCTCCTTTATAGCTAAACTTCTTGAAAAAGTTTTCCTGTGCCAATTGTCTCTACTGTCTCTCTTCTTCACCTTCCTGTCACTCCACAGTTTACCAAAATCTTCCTTCTATATCTACCTACCCTTTAAACCACCCTCCCAAGGTCACTCCAGACCAAATCCTGTGGACTCTTCAGCTGTCCGTCATCTTACTTGATGTTTCAGCAGTTCCTTGACACAGAAAGCTCTGTCATTCCCGACAGGAGATTTCCCGTTGATCTCTGAGTCATCACACTCTTTTCTTTTCCACTCACCTCTTCAGCAATGTCCTTTCAGTTTTCCTGCCAGACCCATTTAAGTTTTTTATTGTCCGTCTGGGTGATATCATCTAACTCATGGTTTTAGTCTCTGTTGTTGACTGTAGATTTCTGGATATCCACTTGCCTCCTAAATTTGAATTAGTACCTTGGGCTCAAAAATTTGAAAGTTAGATCCCACCTTTCCTTATAAGCCTGCCCTTCTCATATCCCTGGTTTTTCTTGGGACATCATCAGTTGACAGGTTAGAAAGCTGAATACGACCCTGATCACCAGCTCTCCCTCTTCCTTCTTGCTAGGCTACCTCCCATCCTGAGCTCCAGCCCTCTAATGCTGCAGCCCTTTTCTTATTGCTTCCCCCCATCTCCTGGGCTGAGAACTACTTTCAAATTTTTTACATCTCTACTACGTCTCTGTAACTATCCACTTCTCTATACTTCTCTGTCCACACAGTACTCTGGGAAAAAGCCAGATCTATTTAGACCTCTGGCCATAATACATTATTTTAGGACTTACCTTTGTGTTACATAGTCCCTAAGGGAAAACAGCCTAGAGTATGCCAACCCTGTGAGTCCTGGCTTCATTGTGGACAAAGGTGAAGTCTCTCCAGAACAGACTGATAAGGTTGGGACATGCTGCCCCAAAATATGGCGCCTTGGCATTTGAGGAAATAGCAAAAGCAGGAAGGGCATTCTCATCTTCCCCTTGCCTTTCTCCCTTGAGGCAGATCATAAAAGCGGCATTCAACAAGTGCCCTCTGTATAGCCAGAGGAAAGAAATGTCCTTATCTCTGAAGACTTGGGGACAGAGGAAAGAATCTGAACAAAGAGGCCTTACTAAGTGCTCCCAGGTTATTACCATTAGATCATAGTTATTTCTAAAGAAGGCAAGGCTTCTTCCAGGAAGCCCTCCTTACCCCTCCCACTGTGTTCCCACAGAGCTAGGGTCACATGACACCAGGGAAGTTGTTCTCACAGGCTGGTTGTGCACAGTGCACAGCCTGAGCAACTCTCCATGGAGGCCCCACCTCCTCCAGTGCCTGATGCTTACTGTCACAGCTCTCATCACACAGAGTTTTCTCAGCTTACTCCTTGTCTTTAAGTTCTGTGTAGGCAGGGCCTGTGATTTATTATTCATGGTAATATGCTCAGTGCTTACATTGGGTTTTGAATATAGTAGGGGTTCAACAATACTCATTGGATAAGTAGGTGGATAGCTGGAGACATAGATGGATGAAGGTCACAATAACTTACCTGCCTGGTTGATCATTTCCTCACTTTAGATCAGGCTTTTGTTGTGTTTGGTTAATTTCTCTCATTTGAATCCAAATAGCTTGATACTGTTTCAAAATACAAAAACATTCTAGTTTGTTGTTTTCTAATTTACTGATTTTTAGATTTTTTAGTCCATTATTACATATTCTTATAGGGATATACTTACCTTTCTCTTTTTAAAATAAGGGAAATACTTTTGTAGATAGATAAAAAGACAACCCCCCCCACCCGCCTCCCGCCCAACAACCCACACTTCAGGTTCTAGGATGTTACTGAATAAATGGTTTCTCTATGGCTCTTTCCATATGGAATAACACTAACAATATAACTTGTCTGCGAAATGGCTTAAGTTTATCCTTGATAAAACTGGTGACTCATGGAAAGAGATAATCTTATGTACTTTTATCTTTTCTTTTCTTTTTCTTTTTTTTTTTTTTTTTTTGAGACAGGTTCTCACTCTGTGACCCAGACTGGAGTGCAGCGGCACAGTCATGCCTCACTGCAGCCTTGAACTCTTGGGCTCAAGCAATAACAATCTTCCCACCTCAGCCTCCTGAGTAGCTGGGACTACTGGTTCATACCACCATGCTTGGCTAATTATTTAAATATTTTTTTTTGTAGAGATGGGCTCTTGGTATGTTGCCCAGGCTAATCTCGGAACTCCTAGCCTCAAGCTACCCTCCTGCTTGAGCCTGCCAAAGTGCTGGGATTGCAGGCATGAGCTACCATGCCAGCCTTTTTTCCTTAAATGTTTGAAAAATAGAAAAGAAAGGAAGGAAGCTGTGGCAGAGTCCTATGTGAGGTGCATACTAGATATTGCAAGGCAGAACAGAGAATTTCTCATGTATCACTAGGTTTCATGGCTGAAGCACCAGTAACAAAAGACAGGTCAACCAGAGAAAAGCATAAGAGAATTTATTTAATGTAAGTTTTATGTGACATGGGAACCTTCAGAAATGCAGACTCAAAGAAACAGGAGAAACCTTTGTATTTTTATGCTAAGTTTGATGAAGTGGATAGTTACAGAGAAGTAGGATTAGACAAAGGGGGTATGATCTAATGGTAATAAACTGGGGCACTTAGCAAGGCCTGTTTGTTCAGACTCTTCTCCCTCTCCCCATGTCTTCAGAGACATTTCTTTTATCTGCCTATAGGGAGGGCAGTTTCTCGAATGAAACTTTTATGACCTGCCTCAAGGGAGAAAGGCAAGGGGAAGATGAGAATGACCTTCCTGCTTTTGCTATTTCCTCAAATGCCAAGGCACCATATTTTGGGGTAGCATGTCCCAACCTCATCAATCTGTTCTAGAGAGATTTCACCTTTGTCCACAATGAAGCCAGGACTCACAGGGTTGGCATACTCTAGGTTGTTTTCCCTTAGGGACTGTGTAACACAAAGGTAAGTCCCAAAATAATGCATTATGGCCAGAGGTCTAAATAGATCTGGCTTTTTCCCAGAGCACTGATGGACAGAGAAGTATAGATTAGCACACCTTTACTTGAGTTCATAGTGAAAATATATTACCTTATGATATCACGCTGCTTACAGTTTCCAAAGTGCTTTCATGTCTAACAGCCCTGTGAAGCTGCCACACAGGCACCATTATTTAAATTTTTCAGGTAAGAATGAGGAGGCTGTGGCTTACTTTTATTATTAGTGTTTAGTAAGAGCAATTATTAACAATTATCGTTGTTTTTCTTCCTAGGATTCAGTAAAATCAGTTCATCCAAAGTCTGTCTTAGCTTTTCTAGAGTTTGTCTCTGAACCCTAATGCCTCAAATGAACTTTTCCAGGTGTCAGAATTGTCAGCGCCAAGGCTGAGTTAAATGCCAGCATGCCAGTTTCTTCCAGGCCAAACATGTTGTAATGACCGATTTTTGTGCCAAAAATGTACAAATAGATATTTATGTAATATGAAGAGTAGATAACCTATTTTTTTATTTATTTTTTATTTTTTAGTATTTATTGATCATTCTTAGGTGTTTCTCGTAGAGGGGGATTTGGCAGGGTCATAGGACAATAGTGGAGGGAAGGTCAGCAGATAAATATGTGAACAAGGGTCTCTGGTTTTCCTAGGCAGAGGACCCTGCGGCCTTCCGCAGTGTTTGTGTCCCTGGGTACTTGAGATTAGGGAGTGGTGATGACTCTTAAGGAGCATGCTGCCTTCAAGCATCTGTTTAACAAAGCACATCTTGCACCGCCCTTAATCCATTTAACCCTGAGTGGACACAGCACATGTTTCAGAGAGCACGGGGTTGGGGGTAAGGTTATAGATTAACAGCATCCCAAGGCAGAAGAATTTTTCTTAGTACAGAAGAAAATGGAGTCTCCTATGTCTACTTCTTTCTACACAGACACAGCAACAATCTGATTTCTCTTTCCTTTCCCCACATTTCCCCCTTTTCTATTTGACAAAACCGCCATCATCATCATGGCCCGCCCTCAATGAGCTGTTGGGTAAACCTCCCAGACGGGGTGGCGGCCAGGCAGAGGCGCCCCCCATCTCCCTAACGGGACGGCTGGCCGGGCGGGGGGTTGCCCCCCACCTCCCAGACGGGGCGGCTGCCGGGCAGAGACGCTCCTCACTTCCCGGACGGGGTGGCTGCCGGGCGGAGGGGCTCCTCACTTCTCAGACGGGGTGGCCGGGCAGAGACGCTCCTCACCTCCCAGACGGGGTGGCGGTTGGGCAGAGACACTCCTCAGTTCCCAGACGGGGTCGCGGCCGGGCAGAGGCGCTCCTCACATCCCAGACGGGGTGGCAGGGCAGAGGCACTCCCCACATCTCAGACAATGGGCGGCCAGGCAGAGACGCTCCTCACTTCCCAGACAGGATGGCGGCCGGGAAGAGGCGCTCCTCACTTCCCAGACTGGGCGGGTGGGCAGAGGGGCTCCTCACATCCCAGACGATGGGCGGCCAGGCAGAGACGCTCCTCACTTCCCAGACGGGGTGGCGGCCAGGCAGAGGCTGCAATCTCGGCACTTTGGGAGACCAAGGCAGGCGGCTGGGAGGTGGAGGTTGTAGCGAGCCGAGATCACGCCACTGCACTCCAGCCTGGGCAACATTGAGCATTGAGTGAGCGAGACTCCGTCTGCAATCCCGGCACCTCGGGAGGCCGAGGCGGGCAGATCACTCGCGGTCAGGAGCTGGAGACCAGCCCGGCCAACACGGCGAAACCCCGTCTCCACCAAAAAATACAAAAACCAGTCAGGCGTGGCGGCGCGCGCCTGCAATCCCAGGCACTCGGCAGGCTGAGGCAGGAGAATCAGGCAGGGAGGTTGCAGTGAGCCGAGATGGCAGCAGTACAGTCCAGCCTCGGCTCGGCATCAGATAGAGACCGTGGAGAGAGAGGAAGAGGGAGAGAGACCGTGGAGAGAGAGGGAGAGGGAGACCGTGGAGACAGAGGGAGAGGGAGAGGGAGAGGGAGACTGGGGAAAGGGAGAGGGAGGGGGAGGGGGAGGGAGAGGGAACCTATTTTTAAAAAAGGAAACTAGGCACAAAAATTTAACCTTAGATCAAACCACAGTCATTTTGAGAACAATGGATATAGATATTTTAGCTATATGTTTTTATTCCACCTCTACCACTCCAAAAACAAAAACAAAGATTTTTTTTTAATAACAAGAGCTAGAATGTTTCTTTCTTTTTTCCTTTTTACTTAATTTAAGTAGATAAAAGAATTCTTAAAAATTACATTATAGCTGCTTAGCCCATAGAATTTAACCTTCTACTGTAGTAGTAAGAGCAGGATGCTAGGCTCAGCCAGTGGGCTCTTCCACTCCCTGGCAGTGTGTGTCTGGACAGAGGCTTGTGGGTTTTTTTTAAAAAACCTGAGCCAACTTGTTTCTAAATACCAGCATTGCCTACGTCGTTGAGTTGTCATAAGAAATAAATAGGATAAAAATATGCCATCCTTTACTTAAAAACATTGTTGTTCAAAGCTAGTATTTCCATTTTAATATTATCTTTACAATATAAATCTTATATTTGTTTTTGCTTTTGTACCCATTCTCCCTTTTCTACACTTAAATGGAGGAGGAAGAGAAAAAAATTCCTGGAAACCGATTTAATACCACACTCATTTACCCTCATTAATTCAAAGGGATTCTTACCCATGTTTACTAAGAAACAAATTAACTAACTTTACATACAATTTTATTCAAAAATTATTTCCTCAGTTGAATTGACTGTCAGAAAGTCTTTGCTTTTGGGAAAAGAGCATCACATGGGTAATCTAAGAGTGGAAATGCCATTTTCTCAGGTACCAGAATGTGCCAGCTACAACAGAGAAAAGGGGGAAAACGTGTAGTGTACAGTGAGCCCTCCATATCCACACATTCTGCATTTGAGATTCAACCAACTCTGGATTGAAAATATTTATTTAAAAGGCAATAAAAAAACCACAACAATAAAAAAATTATATAAATTTTAAAATACAGTATAACAATTATTTACGTAGCATTTACATTGTATTAGGTATTATAAGTAATCTAGAGATTATTTAAAGCACACAGGAGGATGTTTGTAGGTTATATACAAATACTATGCCATTTTATAGCAGCGACTTGAGCATCTATGGATTTTTGTATCCTCAAGCGTCCTGGAACCAGTCCCCCTCGGATACTGAAGTTCAGCTGTATTAAGTGGGGTAACACTAGCTACTATATGAGATAAACCTTTACTATGTTAAATCTCTGATATTTTGGAGTTTATTTCTTGTTCATATCATAGTCCATTATGGGTATTTCTGGCCAGGGGACACTACAGTTGTCAGGGATCCAGGCTACTTTTACTTTGTGGCTCTACCCTCCTTTTTGGTCCCTCAAGTCATATGCATTCAGCTGGAGGATGACATAAAGCATGAAGGTTCATACCTCTGAGGTTTTAAGGGCCAGGTCCGAAAGGATGAGCTTCACATTCATCTGAATACCACTTTCCAGAACTTGGCCACGTGGCCACCTAACTGCAGGTGAGCATTCTAACCACGACACCCAACAGGGATGGAGGCATGCTTATACTCACTCATCCACTGCCAGTTAGCTATTGCTTCTTTCTACTTTTTCCTAACATAGCTATAGGTGACAAGTATTCCCTTAAGGAAAAATCATTGAAAAATTTGCATAGAGGAGTGGAAAGAACACTGGACTGGGATATAGTGCTGACTCTACCACTAACTGGAATAATCTCCTAGTGGAAGGAATTTTAAAGATTACTCAATATTCAAGGGAATATGAAGCCCAGGACAGATACCTGATTTGTCCATGATCATTCTCTGAAATATTATACCATGCAGTGGCTTCACTTTGTGTGATAGGTCAGTATCAGTCAGTTTGCCATATATTCTCGGCATAGGGCATAGCCCCACACTAGTCGGCCCAATGATGAAACAAACCAACTCAAATTAAAATGGACTAACTCCTGGGTAATAGGTTTTCTCCTGTATGCATTGAATCATGGTGTCATAAGGCTGAAAAGGATCTTCAAGTCATCTTGTTCAGCCCCTCATCTGGTGCTTAAAAATCCCTACACAGCCATTGATTGGCCATTCCATCCACAATGACTTCTTTCTCTGAAGCTGCCATTTTCTTAAAGCTCTAATTATTAGCAAATTATTTTTTGTGTTGCTAAAACTCTTACTGTATAGCTTGAACTTAGCCATCTTGTTTCAGTCTTCTGGAGTGGCACGTGGTATCCAAGTCTCTTCTACTTAGTAGACTTAACAATATTTGTGGGCCAAATCTTAATTCTTCAGCTCTTTCGATGTACTTCATATGAAATTGTCTGGAATCCATTTACAAGTCTTGTTACTCTGTTCTGAATAAATTGCAGTGTGGCACCCAAGACAAAATAGAGTACTTTAGTAAGATCTGCCATATCGCTTCTCTCCTTTTATTTATTTATTTTTGAGACAGGGTCTCACCTGTCACCCAGGCTGGAGAGCAGTGGTGCGATCTCAGTTCACTACCACCTCCCCCTCCCAGGCCCAAGTGATCCTCCCACCTCAGTCTCCCAAGTAACTGGGATTACAGGTGTGCACCACCACACTCTGCTAATTTTTGTGTTTTTTGTAGAGACAGGGCTTTGCCATGTTGCCCAGGCTGGTCTCAAACTCCTGAGCTCACACGATCCACATGCCTCAGCCTCCCAAAGTACTAGAATTACAGGTGCGAGTCACCACACCCGGCCCATTGCTTCTCTCCTTTTAAATAGGAAACTTCTATTTATTCAACCACAGGTTGCATTCACCTTTAAAATGGCTATATCATCCAGGTGACTGGTATTGATCTTATTCTCAGGCAAGGTCTATAATCTGTTTTTATACACATATTTCAGACAGAGAAAAAGGGGGTGCATGCAGCAGGGAATCTAAACTACCCGGAAGTCCTAGTATACTTCCAGTTGCATCTTAATGGCCAGAAATGAATCATATTTCCATCCCCAGCTACAAGAAAATCTAGGAAGATAAATAGCCAGTTGGTCACATCAATACTCCAATAAGTCAGGGTTTTGTTATTGAGTCAACAAGAGCGAATAGACACTAAATAGACACAAAGCAGTTTCTGCTGTAATTTATTCAGTTAAGAGACTTTTCTTCTATTTTGCTAATTTTGTTTTGGAATGAATGGTAGTTTGATTCTTTTTTTTCGGTATTTGTTGAGACTGATAATTTTTCTTTTTTAATGTGAAACTTGGGTGAATTTCAACATACTTTTTCTAGTGTTATAACATTTTTAGTCATGAGTTTTTGCTTTGTTTTAATACACTGCTAGGCTTTGCTAATATTTTATGAGAACTTTTGCATCTATATGCATAAATAAGAGAGACTTAACATGTTTATTTTTCTTGTCTAAACCATCCATCTAGTTTGGCTTTCAAAGTTATACTATCTCCATAAAATTGATTGGGAAGCTCTTTCTTTTCTCCTATTCTCTGGAACAGTTTACATATAATAGAGATTGTCTCTTCCTCTCCTGGGATGCCATCTGGGCCCTAAGTGTTGTCTATATGCTTGTGTGCATGTGATACTTGTATGTAGATATATTACTAAGGATTTTATTTCTTTTGTCATAGATCTGTTCAGGTTACCTAATTCTTAAGATCATTTTGATAATTTATATATTTTTAAGATATCTTCCATTTAGTCTAATTGTTCATTTAATTGTTTATAGAATTCGTTTAAGTTTTTAATTTCTTATACTGATAGCTTTAATCTCTTATATAGCTATGTCCCCTTTTCCATTTTAACATATTTTTAATGCCTGTTCTCTTAATGTTGTCATCTCTTTTTCTAAGAGTCAACTGTTTTATCAATCCTCTCAAGTTCATTTTTTTCTTTTATTATATTTTCTTCATTTTACTTCCTTTGGGTTCCTTATATCTTGATTGCTTAGCTAATTAATTTTCCATGTTTTTTACATTCTAATATATGCACATAACATTCCATGATTATTCAGTTCACTAATTAGCACTCCTTGGTATATCTGTTCAAAGAATTACTAATGCACCTAATTGTCCTTACTTCCTGCCCATTCCTCTCCATCTAGCCAATGAAGACATTGTGAGAGATTTGGCAGCTGCCGCATCAAAATCCAGGTGCACCGCCTACTGTCTTTCCCTGGTGTATTCACTGTAATAATCCTGGCAGAGGGAAAACAGGGTGGTCTGAATTGTCTTTAGTCCTCACGATCACCAGCTTATTTTCTCAGCATTCACGAGTTATCCTTTTAGCACTTACACACTGGAGGTGCAAAATCTACCTTCTTTATCAAATATCAGCAACAGCGATTCCTGATTTTATTTGTAAAAGCCTTTCTCTGAGTGCAAATGCAGTGGATTCTGGCCCCAGGCTCACGGCTGAGGTTTTTGCTCCCTCCTTTTCCAACAGCTGTTCTACCCTTTTCAGTCTGAAATGTATTCTCCTTGACAGAAAAGACCAAAAGCAAATGGGATTTTGAGAACTTCTGATAACTGTTTGTCCTTTCCTTTGCTTTTGTTAGAAAAGGAGCTGAAACAGCATGTACATTTGACCTTGAACCCTTTTGCAAACTACATTTCAATTCAGTCTTCAGTTTTTCTACTGCTCTTCACGTAGGCTGATGCCACCTCCTGCTTCCTATTTTAACAGATGCATTTTAAACCATGTCTCATGGAAGATCTCCCAGTGATACTGGACTTCTCTTAATCTTTCTGCTCTCTGTCTCTTTATCTCTAAAATGACAGGGTTGGACTGGAGGATCTGTAGGGGCCAGTCCAGCCCTAAAAGCTGGGCTGTCCTGCAGGAAAGCAAACTGTTTTGTTCAGCTCTGTGCCTCCATCTCTGAAACCCATTGATGTACCCCACATCCCCAGAGAACCTTTTGTGCTGGCTGTGACTTCTGTTTCCAAGCAGGAAAAGAGAAATTTTTCCTGAGGGAAGAAATTATACAAGTAAAACTTTGTTTTTTTTTTGTTTGTTTGTTTGTTTCAAAATGAAAAGAGGAATCATTGGGGGAAGCTGGGAGGAAGCCCTGTGTTAGGACCGTATGTCCTGGGGTCGCATCTTTCTTCATCCATCAATCAGGTGACCAGTGTGGGTGCCGCTAACCTTCTGAGCCACTGTTTGATCTGTGACTAACCAAAAAGTAGGATAGTACTATCTCTTTCAGTTTAAAGGGTAGACATAAGGGTGACATAATAACGTGTAAAACACATGTAAACTGTCAAGAACTATATTAACTTAAGGGGCTATTACTGCTATAGAGATTCTATCCTCAATACTTTTCCAAAAGGGAAAAATAATATAATACAAGCAAGTTCTGTACTACTTTATCTTTTGTAATCAAAGTTTTTCAGTGAGCTTTTTTCTCTGCATAACGGAATTATAGAACTTTGCTGATTGTCTGCTCTTGTGCAACATGTAGGAAAACCTTGCTCCAATATAAAGCACCATTCAGATGAGAGGTGTAATTGTTATTTCATAGGGTTCTTTGCCTATTATCTGTTGTCTCTTCACTTTTCAGCATGTCACAAACATGAACTCAAACACATAGTTCATTTTCGTAATGAGAGCTTCCCAATGAATGAAGCGGATGATTGTTCAAGGGGTTTTTTCTTTAAACAATTTCCATACAGACATAAGCCATGTTCCCCCTAGGCACCTTGAGACTTGCAAATCAAGATTACAGGAAACAGCTTTCCCACCGCTCTATGGCAAGACATCTAGACCAGGTATCCCAACCACATGAGAATTTGTCCTTGTATCCAACAGCATGGGCAAGATGCATGCTCTCTCTCAGTCATCCACAACCTATCTGTGAAATATTAATATACATTGCAGACACAAATCAAGCATCTGACTAAGCTTACTATGAGTTGTCCTTTCAAAGAGACATGCTAACTTAGTATAGCTTTCTGATAGCTTCTCACCAGCCTCTCTCATAAGATCGGAGTTTTTGGCTGCCTGCTGGACACCTGCTTCTGGATTTCCCACAATACCTCAAACACTCAAGAAGATAAGATACAGCTTTTCCCCCAAATATGATATTTGTAACGTGTTCCCTAGAACCATGTCCCCATTTACCTGGCCTAGAAACTTTGACCATATCTTGGGCAGCTCTTGTCTTTCCATTCTCACTTCTCCACTTCATTAGTTCCTCATCACCTCCAGATTACATTAAATTATTCAAGAGTCTTTGATTTCAGCTCCTGAACAGGTTTACCTACTTATATTCTCTGGCGTCTCCAATTGGTCCTTCATACTGCCCCAGAATTACCTCCCCAGAATTCAGGCTGGGCCATGCTGCTGCATTGGTGGCTCCCTATCATCTAAGCAGTAAATTCCTTCTTCCTTAGCATAAGGCTCAAGGCTGTTCCTTATGGGTTATTGTATTATTAGTTGGAAAGTATTCAACTGGATATTATGAAATACTCAATACTGACTCAAAAGTGACTTAAACAATGAGAAATATTTATTTTCTCACCTAACAAAAAATCCAGAAGCCTCAGGATCCAGGCGTGGCTTATTCAGCAGCAGAGCACAGATACCCAGGTGCTTTCCCCTTTCTGCTTTGTTATTGTCAACCAGCGTGCAGCCTTTTATCCTTGGGCCTCCCCATTTGGTGAATGCCAGTGGCCTTCTGCAGCTCAGACATCACATATGCCTCACATAACTGCAGAAAAACACATTCTCTCCTCCTGACAAAACCTGCCCCCATGAGCTCCCTAGCAAATGTCCCCTTATATCTCACACACCAGGATTATATCCCACTCCCATGCCTGTTAATCACAGACAAGAGGAAGGGATTGTAGCTTAAGCAAATCAGTATCCATAATCTGACTCTAGGGCTCTTCCAGCAAGAAAGAAAGTAGTCAGGGGAGAGGGTTAGGGGAAGCCAGTAATAGCATCTACTATGTTCCATCCTTAGCAGCCAGCCTCACCCACACACCTCAGGGCCCTGGAGTCATCACCACTCTCAGAAGTCAGTGCGTGTTTCATTTCTCCATGCACTCCCTTTCCCCTTACCACACGCCTGCAGTGCCTTTCTCTGCCTTTAGAAACACTCGACTCGTCCTATCTGTTAGGTCCAAGCTTCTGATGTACCAGTCAGCATGAATCTCCACAAGGCATGGTGTTTATCGTGCATCCCTCACTTTTGTTTCTTCTTGTCTGTGTTATGATTGTACATATGGCTTCTATTCCTGTAGATTACGTGGTCCCTATTTTAGTGAGCCTTGTCCCTCCCATAGCCCTTAATCACAGTGTCTTAAATCTAGTAATAAATGTTTGCTAAATCAAGGTGCATGTGAATTAACATTACATCTGTTTGTTTTGCAGGTCTGTGCTGCCAACATAGTCTCACAAGATGGTGAACAGAATGGTCTCATGGGGAGAGTGGATGAAGGTGTAGATGAATTTTTTACCAAGAAGGTGACCAAAATGGATTCCAAGTGAGTTCAGAGTAATTTCACTGATAATGCTATTTTATTCATATTTAAATTACTAACAGTTACAATTAAACTTAGTATACTAAGTTTCATTTTATATATGGAAATTACTATTCTGACAGCTTGCAAAATATGGTCTCTGGGCCGGCAATACCAGTGTCAACTGGGACCTTGTTAGAAATGCAAACTCTCAAACTCCTACCCCAGACCTACTGAATCAAAAGCTCTGGAGGTTGGGCCCAGCAATCTGTATTTTAATAAGCCCTCCAGGTTATGCTGAGGCATGCTCCAGTTTGAGACCTATTGTACGAATCTAAACCAGACCACAAAATATACCACCCCAAGATTCTTTTAGGGCTTTATCACTTGGATAGTTCCATTACAGGGTAATGATCATGGTTATGCTGGAATTACTTACTTTGAGCTTCTCCTTGTTCATAATTTGATTTATTGGGTTGGGGGGCTAAGTCATTGCTAAATGGCATGATTTAACAGACAGTGTCAAAATGACAGCAAAATTAGCAGAGAGCCCTCAGAGTCAGCATTTTCTGAAGTTTTCTCCTCATTTTCTTGCTACTGAGACAGTTCCCTTAGAAGATAGTTCAGTGGTACTTTTGTTAACAGTTCTTTAACTTGAAACATTTCAGTCTTTAAGCATGATTTGTACCATGTTATTTAATCCTCAACTAAATACAAATCTATCCCAAAATACACTCTTAACATGGATTTGTCTTTATGAAGATTCTCACCTTGAGATATCAAATTCAGGAACAAACATAAGCCAGATAAGCCAAAGGCGGCAGGCTGGGCACAGGTAGGGAAGCAACTAATCAATTCTATTAGATGGATGTGCCTTATCTTGCCTCGGCAGGATGGTGAGGTGGCAGTGGGTTAAATTTTATATCCATAACAATGTAACTTACTGAATCTTATAACCTTTAGGACCCAATTATTTGTCTTCTTTGACACTGGCCTTGAAGCTTAGCATACTATACTTGGCAAAATTTTGTTCTGCTGTCTTTCAAGAACCAACCTAAATGTCATTTATTCTTTGAAGCTTTTGTGGGACTGCTCCTCCCACCCCCCCGAATTAATTGCTTTTTCTCTGCTGCTGACTTAATACTTTTCTTTCCATCCTTCAGACACATCTGTTAAA
This sequence comes from Homo sapiens, assembly GCF_000001405.40. NCBI lineage: Eukaryota > Metazoa > Chordata > Mammalia > Primates > Hominidae > Homo > Homo sapiens. Next base: position 25,595,681 of record NC_000006.12, read on the forward strand.
GCCCACGGAATCCTTTAAGAGTTTGTTTGATTTTTAATTTTTTTATAACTGAAGGAATAGGTGAATGTGTTTTCAATGTAAAAGATTCAAGAAAAACCAACACAAACATATAGCAAAATGGGAAATCGCTGTTAATGATTTGCTTTCAAGGCTTTTTTCCCAAATAGAATGCTACTCTTCAGGAGCGATACCTGGGCCTTATTTTGTTATAGCTTCAATGTCTAACGCAGCCCATAATATATAGTCTGCCCCTCAATTAGTGATGGTTAAATGAATGGAGAAAATCTCGACTCATCTCCATGTGATTTACAGATACTATTGTTTGCTCTTTTTAAACTTCTGAAATTTATATTCAGTTAGTGAGGTGGTTTATAAGCATTCGATCCGAACTGTACATATTGTTATACCCGTCCCAGTGTGATTTTCTCTCCCGTTAATGCTAGTTTCTTCTTTAATAGGCTCTGAATGAAAGTTGGGTAAATTTTGTAAGGTATAAAATATATTTTTTTTATAAAGATACTGCTCAAGGAAGATTCCGTTCATGTTTCAGTGCACAAATAGAAATAAATACGTCAGTTTTCATCATCAAATAATATGATGGAATCTACTAAAAGTTGTGATTTGAAATTTCTTTATAAATAGATTATTGTCAGTCCAATCTTTAAAGGTCAAGGGATAGGTAAAATCATGAAGTAGTACGAAGAAAGTTTGAAAATCAAAGTTATAAATGCTCATAAAGTGTCAGATGTTCTACAAAGGCTTAAAAAAGTTTCCTTATTATTTTCCCACTCCCTATTCCCCAGAGGCAACTAATTTTTATTCCTTTAGCTGTTTCTTCCATTTGTCTTAATAGCATGCTTTCTTTTTTCTGTTTTCTGTGTTTCATTTTTAGATAGTACTGTAACCGCTAACTTCTTACTTAAATGATGATAATACAGACTGAGTGTCTCTTATCTGAAATGCTTGTGACCAGAAGTGTTTCAATATTTGGGATTCTTTTTTGAATATTTGTATTATACTTGCAGTTTTACATCCCTAATCTGAAATTCAAAATGTTCCAATGAGCATTTCTTTTGAGCATGTTGGTGCTGAAAAAGTTTCAAATTTTGGAGCATTTCAAATTATGGATTGCAGATACTCAACCTGTATACTCTGTCACCAAACACACAGACACACACACACACACACACACACACACGTACTCATGTACTTAGACACACACTTTTCCTTGCCCCACTTTCTTTATTTAATTTTATCATAATTGGTGTCTTTGTCTGTTTTCTGTTGTTATAACAAAATACTTATGAGTGGGTAATTTATAAAGGAAAGAGGTTTATTTAGCTCATGGTTCTGGAAGCTGGGAAGTTCAAGTTTGGGTGGCCACACTGGTTGGCTTCTGGTGAGGGCCTCATGCTGCATAATGGCATGGCAGAGAAGTGAAAGGAGAATTGAGTGTGTGCAAAAAGAAAGGAGGGATGAAGGAGGCTGACTCACTTCATAACAACCCACTCTCTCAAGAATGTATCCATTCCCATGAGAACTAATACAGTCTCAGTAATTGATTTTAATAACCTAATCAACTCTTAAAGGTACCACCTCCCAATACTATCAAAACTCATGTTGAGCCCAAGCCTCAACATGAGTTTTGCTGGGGACAAACCACAGGAGTTGGTTAGATCAATATTTAGTGTTTGCTTCATCCTAACCATGTAAATATTGACAACTGTGTTAGATCGTATACTGTGATTACATTTTCTTTCTATAGAATTTTTTGTTTTCCTTGGTGTTAATTATTGTCCCCTTTTTCATTTGCTTTGTTTTCTGCATTCCTTTCACTGACTTATCTCCTAAATCTCCAGTAAGGATATAAATTTCCTTTCAGTTTGTTCAAGTATTCTCAGTTTTTTTTCTTCTTGGACACACCTCTCACCAGCATCTGACCAGCTCCAGTGTGACCTCTAGGCCCATTCCACTGCTGTTGTCTGGGATCTCCCTTCATCATCTGCTGGGGGATTCCCTTCACCTCGTCTCTGTGTCATTTTTCTGTTTCCATTGGCCCATGTTGGTCTTAGTTTATGCCCCTGTTTTGGTGGAGCACCTTCTTGAATTGCTTCCTGAGAAAGACAGTTTGGAAAACAAGTTTCTGTAACTGTTGCATATCTTTCATTTGGATTAATAGTGTCACTAGGTATAGAATTGTAGGTTGCTCTTCATTGTACCTTAGCATTTTGATAGCTTTCCTCCATTATCTTCTAGCTTCCGGTGTTGCTATGAGAATCTGATGTTGACTTGAGTCTTTCTTTTGTTTCTGACTTGCTTTTGTTTTCCTGCTCCTGGAAGCATTTGGGATCTTCTCTGCATTCCCAGTGTACTAAAATTTTATGATGATATGTGCCCTGAGGTGGGTTTTTTATTTTTTAATTTTTTTAAAAAACCAATTTGCTTGACACTCATAAGCCATTTCAATCTGGAAACTCATGTCCTTTGTTGCTGAATTTTTAAAAATTATTTCTTTCATAATTTCTTCCTTTTTTCTCTGTACTTTTTTTCTTAAACTTCTATTATTATTATTATTTGAGATAGCATCTCACTCTGTCACCCAGGCTATAGTGCAGTGGCGTGATCATGGCTCACTGCAACTTTGACCTTCCAGGCTCAGGTGATACTCCTACCTCAGACTCTTGATTAGCTGGGACTACAGGCATGGACCACCCCTCCCAGCTAATTTTTGTATTTTTTGTAGGGATGGGGTTTTGCCATGCTGACCAGGCTGGTCTCGAACTCCCAGGGTCAAGCAGTCTGCCCACCTCAGCCTCCCAAAGTGCTGGGATTATAGGCATGAACTACCATGCCCAGGCCATTACTCAGATTTTTTATTTCCTCTGTTAATCCACTAATTTCTACCTTTTCTCTCCTATTTTTTAATTCTTTATATTCCCTTTGTTTTTCTGGGAGATTTCCTCAGTTGTATCTTCCAACCTTGAGTTTTCTACTTCTGCTATCACATTTTGCTATTATTCATGTTGGTGGATGCAATATTTTTTCTCTTCCGTGTTGAAAAGGAATGGGGGCACCGAAGAGCTTCTTGGAAATTTGTGGGTAGAGCTTGTCGACTGGTGGGCTTCAATGTAGGGTGGTCTTCCTGGACCATTTTGTTGCGGGGAGAGGGTATCCCTGACTCTCAGAATCTTTAGGTCCTTTCTGTTGAGCTTTGGAAACTTTGATCTCCTGCCTGGCAGGTATAAACCTGCCTGTCTGATTCTGGCATGCAGAGGGAGAAAAAGTCCCGGGGATGTCACTGCTCACTGTGCAGGCTTTCTTGAGCCTCCCTGTTTCGTGATCCTCACTCAGCTCAGCTGCATTTGGAGTCCCCCAGCTCAGCTTCTTTGGTTCATTCTTTCCAGAGAGTGAACTTGGGTGTTGGGATGGGCATCATTGGCTCTGTGGTTTAGGGAGAGGATCCGATGAATTTTTGAATGGGCTTCACAAAGAAGAGAACCTTCCTGTCTTCATTTCCCCTTCACTTCCACTTGCAGAGGTGCCCGCGTCTCCTCATTCTGGAGCCAGCACAAATCAAATGCTTCTGGGTCTCCCCGACTGTTGGCTTAGGTTTCAGCTTTCTCTGATCTATTAAGTCAATTTTCACACATAACTAGTGTATTTTGGCTTCCAAATTTTATTGTTTTTGCCTTTTCTCCCCTGTAGGGCTTATGCTTTCTTTTATAAATCCTTTGTTATTATTTTAATGGCGATTCAGGGGAGCTAAGTGGATATTCAGTCTGCCAGCTTTAAATGAGACAAGTTGTCTGTGATACTTCCTACTTAGCTCATTTCATTGACTCCTTCTCCCCTTCCATTTCCCAAGTTTCAGCATATTCTCCTTCTGAAAACTCTCCCAGAGCATACTCTCTGCCTTTTGGAACCAAACTCAGGTTTAGCTGCTTGCCCCTCAAAAAGTCAAACGCATGAGAAGCAAAGTTTGGTTTATGCAAGTGCCGACAGCTTGGGAGATGGCCAGACTCAAGTCGCAAAAAGCCATCTCAAATTTTCAGGCTGGCTAAAGGGGTTTTAAGGTGAAAGGCGGCATGAAAACTATGCACAGGAGTGGTGTGGGGTGCAGGTCTGTTGGTTGTTTTCTGATGACTATCTTGAGTAATGGACCATTTGGAGGTCTGGTTGGTTTCCTCTTGGCAGGGGTTAGGTTATGGATTAACTGTGTACCAATTTCTACTTGGAAGGGAGAAAATTGTACCACCACCTCTGTTTTATGCCTGGATTGTTTTAAGATTACCCTTTGGAATTCTCAAGCAGAGCAAGTGGTTATATATATATATAAAACAAGAAACAAAGGGAGAGGGGTTACTTTTAGAGTAAGCTAGCAAACTGGCTGTACCAGTTACATTTTCATCTTTCATTCTTAATGTGTGCGTGCCTCGATTTTCTCACGTGAATATGATAATGATATTCCACATTCCTTTCTGTTTCCTAAGGGCGGTAACTCAAATCTGCTTTTAAAAATGCTTCTGAATGGTTACTGTATATGTAGCAATCTCCATATTTATATTTTGACTGATTCTTGCTGGAACTTATTTACAGTAAAAACAACAGATCTGTGTCTTGGTTTGAAATGCAGGAAATGGTCAACAAGAGGCTCAGAGTCCCATGAGCTTAATGAAGGAGGAGATGAAAAGAAAAAGCGAGATTCTCGGAAAAGTAGTGGCTTTCTCAATTTAATCAAATCCCGGTCCAAATCCGAGCGACCACCAACGATCTTGATGACAGAAGAACCCTCCTCACCAAAAGGGGCAGTCAGAAGTCCACCTGTGGACTGTCCCAGGAAGGACACAAAGGCCGCCGAGCACAATGGCAATTCTGAACGGATAGAGGAGATAAAAACACCTGACTCCTTTGAAGAGAGTCAAGGGGAAGAAATAGGGAAGGTGGAACGGAGTGACAGCAAGAGCAGCCCACAGGCAGGGCGGAGGTATGGGGTCCAGGTGATGGGCAGTGGTCTGCTGGCAGAGATGAAAGCCAAGCAAGAGAAGAGAGCTGCGTGTGCGCAGAAGGTAAGGGTGGACCTATTTTTAATTCATTCATTTATTTGATATATAATAGATGCACACATTTTCATGGTGCATGTGATATTTTTATGTATGTCTATCACCTTAAACATTTAACTTTCCTTTATGCTGGGAATATTCAAATTACTCTCTTCTTGCTATTTTGAAATTGACAATAGATTGTTGTTAACTAGAGCTACCCTACTGATCTGTCCAATACTAGGTCTTGTTTCTTCTATCAGCTGTGTTTTTTGTACCCATTTTGTACCTCTTTTCATCTCCCCCCATGTCCCCACACTTCCTGCCGTCTGGTAACCCCCAATCTACTCCTTGTCTTCGTGAGATAAGTGGGGGTTCATTTTTGACTTGGTTGTCCTTGTTTGTGTTTTTGCCCTCGCTGGGTTTATTTGGGTGAGAAAATAAAAATAGCCTGTTGGTTAAATAGAAATCCAAAACCATAACTTATTGCTAAAGAACCTGGAGCACAGACCCTAAAGAAATGGCCATGTTCTCACTTTGGCCTGAGGGTCACAGTCTTGTGGAGTGCCGGCATTCTAACATAGGCTTTGAAGACTCCGGTCTTTCCCCACCTGCCCAGGGGCCTCCTGTGCATGTTGTGGAAGCATGTCAGAGATGTTCCGGGGCCAGGTGAAATGCTCACATCTGGGGGAAAAGACAGTCGGCTGAATCCAGATGGAAGACTGAGGGTAATATTGAAGATAGGTGAACTAACAGAGGGAAATAAAAACACTGAAACTAGATTATATATAAAAATGGGAACTATTTTCTAACTTATTCCCTTTTCAAACCTAAAAATTATTCTCTTTTTAAACCTAAGAATGCCTTGCTATATTCCAGATTTAAAAGACAAAGACAAAAGAAAAAACACTCAAGGTATTCTATTAGAATTAACTGAATATTTGACCATTGATATATATCATCTGTTGCTACAGAGAATAACTTCATAGTTTAAAATTTGCTGAGTTCCCCCCAAATCTGACTTAAAACATTATTTATTCTTCAAATCTCCTTTTAAAGTATAAGGAGTCTTTTTCACTTTTCTTTTTACCCCTGTTTTCTCTTGTCACTCACTACATGAAGGATTGTATCTGTGTGATAAGATGAACATACCTATGTTTAAGTCAGGTTGTGGTTTCTGTGCATTATCTTGAGCTCCATTATTTTTACACAACTGGTTCTCCAAGAAAGGAAATCACATGTCTATTTTATTTGAAGTATCACAATAAAACAGTTCATCCCGGTGAGCCCTTGACTTTCAGAAAGTAAACAATTAACTACATGGCAGGTGTAGGGAGCTCTTTTATATGGCTTCTAAACAACCAATGTTTAAAAATTAAACTCCACTTCCCACCTGATCTTACAACTATTTACCAAAGTTCTCCCACCAACATCAACATTATTTAGCAATTCTTTAATTGCAGAACCCTCCTAATTCACTGAGCAACCCTTAGAGTTGGGAGAGACCACAGAACTATATCCTGCTCACTCAACAAAGGAGGCATGGTGTGGCCCTCACTGGTCAGAATTCTGGATAATACTACAACCATGTCATTAGTGAGTCAGATGCCCAAGGAAATGTTAAAATTTTAATCCATGTTGTGAATTTCTTTATAACAATGAATGTGCGGTTTTGATTAATATGCTGTTTATGTTTTTCATGATTAACAGTTTCTTTTTGGTGTAAAGATGACATTTACTAGAGTGTTTTATTCATGTACTTTGGATTTGATATATAAATCGACTTAAAGTGACAAAACCCTTATGGTTTTATATTTGTTTAGGGCTTACACAGTATTAATGATCTGTTAGCGCCATCTAGTGTCACTTTAAAACAACCATTGTTAAAAATTCTTGCTATTTAAAATTCAGACCAGTCATGGGTCTTCTGTCAAAATCATTAAATAATGAAGTTTTTCAAAAATTAGCTTTAGAACATTTTTTTTCTAAAGTACCATGACTGTATTCTTTCTAAAGGTAGCAACAATAGCATCAATGATCAATATACTGTTGATAAAATATATGATGTCTTCACCCTCCTATAAGTAATTCTCTTTGCGTTGCTGGCATTTGAGATATATACATATAAATATGTTTAAAGAAAAAGAACTGTAAGTATGAAGATATGACACTTTTCATTTATTGACAAAAGAGAGAAATAAGCAGTGAATACTTAGAGTTCATATATTTTCCTCTGGGGCCTCCAAGTCATCTGTCCACACACAAAGGCAATGGGCATTGTATTATTTTATCCTTATTCCCCACAGTCACTTTGGGATTTATAAATAACTTTAAAAATCTGGGAGGGAAAAGAGAACAACTCCCAGGATTGCTTTAGAGATGCAGGCAAATGGGGTGCCCCGGGTACAGAATTTAAGGAGGTCCTCACTTTCAGGTGCCTGCCATGCACTTGGAGGAACCTGAAAGGGAAGGATGTGAAAGGGGACTTCATGGATGGTCCCCAGCCCTGTCCTGCAGACACTTGTCCTGGGCACAGAGGGCTGGCATGGGACTTCCTTTTTAGGGGATCACTTTTCCATAGTGATGCCGAATAGTGTGCTTGTGTTAGCTGCAGTGCTTGTATACACATTTCCTCCTGGAGATCTGTTCAGCACCTTGCATTCATGACAGTGGAGCTTTTGTCATCTTCCTGAGAAATTCCTCAGCCTTCCTGCCACTTGGGTGCTTCCTTCTGATAGAGCCAGCACTCCTGGGGAGTGTGTGACTGGGGTAGATTGATGAATTCAGGGAATGAGGCTTATCTCACCTGCATTTCAAATAATACTTCCTGTATCATCAAACACAGTTTAAAGTTAGGAATTGGCTGCAGAGCTTTTTAGGTTTGTCAGAAGCATGGGATGAGCAGGAACCAGCAGTCTGAAGGTCAGACTGCCTTGGGAATCATCATGCCTGCTGGTCTACTGGTCCACAGTGTTTTTGCTTGTTAGACAGGCAGTAGATGTAGACCATCTTTGTCAATATAATTCTTAGATGTTATGAAGTAAACACCAGACTTTGCTTTGTATATCTTTTTTTTGTATCTAAATGCCTCAGTCTAGTGTAGACTTTCTAAACTTTCTACTCCTACCCCAAGACAGTGGCATTTTACTTTCCCCATCATCACCATCACTAATTCCTCCCACCTGCAGATTTTTAAAAAATTTATTCGGTCCTGTTCATCTGTATTTACCTCCTAAATAATAGATCTGTGTCATGTGGTTCTACCTCAAAGCAAGGAAGACCCTGCCTATTTCAGGACCCCTTTCACCTGTATTATCATTGAGGTTGGAAAGGTTTCTGCTGCTTTGAAAATTATATATATATTTTTAAATAGATAAGGTCTCGCTCTGTCACCCAGGCTGGAGTGCATTGGCACGCTTTTATAGTTCAGTGCAGCTTTGAACTCCTGGGGTTGGTCAGGTGATCCTCCTGCCTCAGCCTCCTGAGTAGCTGGGACTTCAGATGCATGCCATCATGCCTGACTAATTTTTCTATTTTTTGCAGAGATGGGGGGTCTCACTATGTTGCCTAGGCTGGTCTCAAGCTCGTGACCTCAAACAATTCTCCCATCTCAGTTTCCCAAAGTGCTGAGATAGATTACAGGCATGAGCCACTGCACCCAGCCAAAACTAGATTTTTGGAAACCAAACCTAGAGCAGATTCTGTACATTTCTAGCATGCAAGGGCCCTCATCACATAAAGCATCAGGGGCTGCAGAGCCTGCATAGGTGTTCAACAAGAAAAACAGTAAAGGTCACCAAGCCCACTGACTTTCCCTGGCCCCATGCACCTCTCACCTGTGAGGAGCCTTCCGAGGAACCAAACCGGCCACACTTTGGACCCCAGAGTCCTGACCGTAAACACAGAATAGAATGTGTTTCTCACAGTTTTGTCCCAGCCAGAGAGCCTATGGAGACAGGTCAGGCACAGTCACCATAACAGCAGCTGAGTTAAAGAGCCCTTCTTTGCTGTCATTTATTATCTGCATTGTTTTTTCACTTTTGCATTAAATAAATGTGCACTTTTTGGGGGGATGGTGCTTGAATTTTTTAGAAGCTTGGGAATGATGCCGTATCCCAGGATTCTTCCAGCCCAGCTTTGAGCGGCGTAGAACGGTCGGATGGAGGTGGGGCAGGTAAGTCAGGCCATTGCCATCACCCCCTTAGGAAAAGCGCTTACCTTCTGATTGCAGAGTCACATGATTGACAGAAGAAAAATTTAAACAGGGAGGCAAGAACTGATCTCTTTGTTGTGTGTTCTCAGCTATCATCTGAAAGACCATATCCCTTCACCTGCCTTATCTTCCCCTGGGGCACATCCTGCCCCACTGTAGCATTGTGCCTGGACAGGGCACTTTTTGATTTCCCAAAGGGAGGAAATTCTGACTGTTTTTTCATTGCAAACTCCTCAGCTTTGAGCATTTTGGAAAAGTTGGGGGTGGGGGCAGCATACAGGATCATGGCTGATGTATTTAAGAATAAGCCATGCATGACATATGGAAGATGGGTGGCTGTCTTGTTTGGTATGAACAATATGCTTCGCTTGCAGCTTGAATATGCATGAAATCCAATATCCCTTGTCCCTCTGACTTCTTAGGTATAATAAAATAAGAAAATACCTTAGATGAAAACTAGAGAGTAATGCGTTAACTGTGTGATAGAATCCTCACTTTGCTATTTGAGAGTCTTATGCATAGCTACAGTATCTTGGTGCAGTAAGAGTTGGATGATAAATCACATTTTATGGGCTTATTTTTGCCAGTTGTCTTGTTAAATTAAGGCAGCAGTATGGATGGAGGTGGGGGATGAGATGACATTTCTGGAGCTGTTCTCACTAAACATGAGATTGCAGCCGTCAGCATCACCCTCCTCACTCAGAACCTGTAGCCAGAGCCCTAACTGCTTATTGTCCAGAACCAAGGCACTTACATTCGGTTATACCTGTACCTTGTGCCAGATCTGAGAAAGACCCAAATATTTCAAGTGCATGAAGAACCACTGTTTTCCTTGTATGTGATTACGGCACTGTACATTATTAAATATAAAAGCTTGTCATCGCTGGAATAGTCAGGGGTGATCAGAAAACAACCAAAAAGTTTATTGCTTTTCTACAAAGAACGTCACTCTTCCTCCAGCATGTTTTGATTTTAAAACATGCTAGAACAGCATATTCTTAAAATACTCTTAAAACATCCGTGATGAGAAACGATGGCAAATGATTACAGCAGTTTGTACCAGACTTCTAGCTTCAAGTTATTGGCTTCTTTGACCTTTGATTTTTAAAGTGGCCTTTTTCATCTTAGTGCCTAAACTGCACCCAGGTCTTCCAGAGAACCGCTTTGGTTTGGGAACACCAGAAAAGAATACCAAAGCAGAACCCAAAGCGGAAGCAGGCTCCAGGTCTCGGAGCTCATCCAGCACACCTACGAGCCCGAAGCCCCTCCTGCAGTCCCCCAAACCCAGTCTGGCAGCACGGCCCGTCATCCCGCAGAAACCAAGAACCGCCTCACGGCCTGGTAAGAGTTTTGCAGTTAGGGAGTTGCATTGTGACCAGGTGGCTTCCCAGAGCCAGCTGGATCAGACTCTGCAGGTGGTTTCAGGGGCAGCTGGTGAGCGAGGTACAGCGGCTTCTGCAGGAGGGGATCACAAGAAACCTATGCAAAGCTGTGAAAGTGATGAGAGCTGACGGATTCTTTTATTTAATGCAGAGGCCCACCATGTGTGAGAGTTGGGGACTCTGAGACTGTCCTTGCTTTCAGGGGTACAGGTTAGTTTGTAGGCAAGACAGGGAAATCAGTCTTTTGTCATGTTGACCCATCTGTAGTGCTCGGCTTGGCTTTCTAATATCTGTCTCCAGGGCGTTCAGACATTTTGAAAAGCAGCAGTTTAAGGAGGAAGGCTACAAATGGGGAAAGCACAAGCTCTGTGGTGTTTATGCCATATTCTATGATATAACAAGGGTTTAGAACAAGACTTGGCAAACAATGGGCCTGTTTTTGTGAATAGTTTTAGTGGACACAGCCATACTATTTTTGCGTTGGTGTCACCTGTGGCTGTGGCTGCGCTACAGTGGCAGAGTGGTATACTTGCAACAGGGCCATATGGTCTGCAAAGTGTAAAATATTTACTCTTGGGCCCTTTACAAAAAAGTTTGCTATTAGTTTAGAAAATCTAATGATAGAAGAAACTTAAAAATATTAGAAATGGATTGGTCTTCACCTTATTCTCTCCTGCACAAAATAAGGCCAGGTGTGGTAGTGCACACCTGTAGTCCCTGCTACTTGGGAGGCTGAGGTGGGAGGATAACTTGAGCCTAGGAATTTAGGCTGTGATCACACTGTGACCACACCACTGCACTCCAGCCTGAGTGACAAGACCCCGTCACCCTATCTCAAAAAAACCAACCAAACAAACAAAAAAACACACAAAAAAACACCACACACACACACACATTAGGTTTTTTTTTTTTAATTTAACTTACCATTATAAGAATTTTCAAACATATACAAAAGTAGGATAGGTAATATATGAAAGTTACATCAATTCTTCACCTCTTCCCCTTGTTCTCCCACAAAAATTAGTCAAACAGGGATAAAAATAGATAGTCAGATCATCATCATGGCTAATCTTTGAGCACTTAGCTGTGTCCTTGGCACTATAGTAAGTGCTTTTTGATGAACTCTCAATATCCTCGTCACTGCTCCATTTTACGGATGAGGAATATGAGGCACAGAGATACTGAGTTTGCCAAGTCACGCAGCTGGTGTGTCTGTGTAGCCGCCAGATGTTCTGACTCCACCAACTGTCGTGGTAACTGTTTCTATTGACCTCTCCCCCATGGACATGTATATTGTAAAGTAGGATGCACAGCTCATCCTAATAATTTATCAATGTGCAGATGGTTTGGGTAGAATGAGCAAAAAGGTAGAATCCTGTGTGTCCAAACTTCTTCCACTTGTGGTTCTTTCCCATGTTCCGTCACATATTTTTTTTCATTTCCCGAGTGGCCAGCTTGGACAGTCCCTGGTCTTCATAGCCCATTGGTCCCTTGAGAAAACCAGTGAACTGTTTCCAAAGAGAAGCCACAAAGAAAGTGGTGTACTGGCTTTACCTCAAGGAACTAAGCCTTGAAACAAACCCCTTAGGACTTCCTAATTCTACTCAAACTTTTTCCCAAACCAAAGTTTATGATGGGGAACACAAAAAATTTCTTGGTCCATACACAATGTTTTCATGTAGAAGGAGTGGAGAGAATGGAGGCAAAGAAAATAGAAAAAATTTTTAATAGAAAGCAAAGCAAATAAGTACTCAAAAGGAGCCTTGCTCCTAACATTGTCATCAGCTGGGTGTGTCTCTACTCTGCAATAAAGAAATAGTTCTTATAGAATGAATCTAGTTTGTAGAGTAACCTAGTTTGTAGAGGACAGTAGGCCCCTCTTATCCAAGGTTTTGCTTTTTACAGTCTCAGTTATTCATGGTGCAGATATTTTGAGAGAGAGAAAAAGAGAGAGAGACCACATTCAGATAACTTTTATTATAGTATATTGTTATAATTATTCTATTATTGGGTTTTAGTGTTAATCCCTTACTGTGCCTAATTTATACATTAAGCTTTATTATAGGTGTGTGTGTGTAGGAAAAAACACAGCTTATGTAGGGTTCAGTACTATCCCGGTTTCAGGCATCCACTGGAGGTCTTGGATTGTATCCCATGTGGATAAAGGGGGACCACTCCCCAGTTTCTAATGCTGAATATAAAACTAGCTGAATTCCCAATATTCTGTTGCAAGAAGTTTTATTTTGTTTATTTACTAAATGTGTTATTTCATAGCACTTAGTATATCAAGAATTATGTTAATAAACCTATGTTTTTATAGAGCTTGGGAATTCAGCAGGCATTTTCAAATACACCATCTCATTTCCTCTCCGCCACAGCTCTGACAGATGGTGAAGGTGGATAGTGTTATCTTCACATGTCTTATCACATCCCTGCTTATTTTGGTTAAGCAAGTAGGCGACTGGAAGTTTAAGACTGAAGAGAACGTGGCTGTAGATTGTCTTCTACGTGCACAGACACTCACACGCCAACTTAAGAACCACCTTGCTGATAACAGCAAAGGAAGAAGAATGATCCAGTAGTCAAGGGTGTCCAGTCTTTTGGCTTCCCTGGGCCACAGTGGAAGAAGAATTGTCTTGGGACATACACAAAATATGCTGACACTAACAATAGCTGATTACTTTTTTTTTTAAAGCAAAACAATCTTGTAATGTTTTAAGAAAGTTTACAAGTTTTTGTTGGGCTGCATTCAAATCCATCCTGGGCTGCATGCTTGTCCAATCCTGTGAGCCATGGGTTGGACAAGCTTGTGGTAGATTCTTTCAATTAGGGTGAAACAGCCCTGGTTTTTGAATTAAGAGACTAGAATTGGCCAGGCGCGGTGGCTCACACCTGTAATCCCAACACTTTGGGAGGCTGAGGCGGGTGGATCACGAGGTCAGGAGATCGAGACCATCCTGGCTAACACAGTGAAACCCCGTCTCTACTAAAAATACAAAAAATTAGCCTGGCATGGTGGCACGTGCCTGTAATCCCAGCTACTTGGGAGGCTGAGGCAGGAGAATCGCTTAGACCCAGGAGGCGGAGGTTGCAGTGAGCCGGGATCGCACCACTGCACTCCAGCCTGGGCAACAGAGCAAGACTCCATCTCAAAAAAAAAAAAAAGAGAGACTAGAATTCTAGTCCTAGCTATTTAGTCATCTTTTTCGTTTTCAATCTCTTCATTTGTCCAGTGCCCAAAGTCTTTTCTGGTTCTAAAAGACCATGATTCCAAATTATTGTTAGTGACCTACATATATGCATGCATGCATGCATGCATACACATACACACATATGTATAGTGACTATTGTACTGGGTTTGACAACAGGTAAAGGCAGTGTCTTATAAATATTACATATTTTATGAAAACCAAACAGCCTTTGTGTTTAAGTCAGAAGGAACATATGGTTCACATACAGTCTAATTTTCAAATAGCTGTGCATTGAAATTCTTGATCTACAGGATAGATTCATATTTGTGCAGATATTAACTTTTTATGAGTATTCATTGTTTTTCCCTTTTGTTTGTGGATGTTACTTCACTGAGCAAAAACACAAAACTAATTTTTGGCCAGAAAAATTCTATGATGCTTTATTTTTTTAAATGACTTATTTTTATATATAGATTTACCAGGCTTTATGTTCTTGGAATCCAGTTTGTGGAACAGTTTGATTCACGTGTTTGTGTCTCCTTAGATGACATTCCAGACTCTCCATCTAGCCCGAAAGTTGCCCTTCTTCCACCTGTCCTGAAAAAAGTTCCTTCAGACAAAGAGAGAGATGGCCAGAGTAGCCCCCAGCCCAGCCCCAGGACATTTTCACAGGAAGGTAAGGATTGTAAGGATTTCTTTTCTCTGGGTTAGCTCTCCCCAAGGAGGGACATTTCAAAATAAAGGAACTCATCCTGGACTTTACTAATATCTTAGAGTTTGTTAAAGTCAACATTGCTTGGGTTAAATTTTTGGAAATGGAGTAGTTTCTTAGTTCAGAAACTTGATTCAGCATGATTGATGACATTGGATCTTAATGACATATGAAAAAAGCAGCTGAGACACAAAGGTCTAACTTATTTGCAAGAATAATTTCTAGATGCTTCTGAACTGACTTCCAGCATGTTAGGAGCTCCTTAAACATGATTTTATGACGTATTTGGGGCTACCTATAGATTTCTGAGTCCTATTATTTTCAATGAAATCTTTTCCTAGTCGTGGCAAATCAGTACTGCTATAGTTCAGGAGCAGCACCCCCGGGCCTGAGCCACCTTGCAGCTCACTGTGCTCGCTCAGTCACAAGGTCAGATGTTCCTTACTCTCAGAAGTGTGGTGCAGACATGGACATTCTCAGGGCGACCCTGCACCAGTTTGCTCCTTCTAATTTGCTGAGGTAGAAGCACAGCAAGCTAATCCTGTGACGAGAATGCTTTCTTCCCAAATCAGACTGAGCTGTTACCAATTATTATCAAAGGTGAGGCATGGTTGTGGCTTCAGCACCCATGCCATTTCTTTTAAATGTGTGATTGACTTTGGGGTTCTGTCCTATGTAATGTATAGTGTAAATGCCATCTCTGAGCCCCACCTATAAGGAAATTCTGGAGCCACACAAGTCGTCTACACCCAGAAGGCTCTCGTTGTGGTTTGGAGTTGCTGTGTTTTATTTTAGATTTTTTTAATGCTTTAGAACCTTTGATCTCTCTGTCTCTGTTCTCTTCCTACATTGGCCTATTTTCTTTTATTGATAATAGTATTGGGTTGAAGTTAATAGAAAGTGTTACTGAGTACTGTCTTTGTGGCTTGGAAATCTAATAAAAACAATAACACTGCCTGCTTTCTTATCTCCATCCTACAGATTTATTTGTTGGGTAGAAGCTTCACTCACTTATTTGCTATAAATAAAAGATGGTTGGGTTGAGACCAAAGCTGCTAAACCACTTCTGTCAAATAGAGAAACTAAAGCTTTTGAAAAGTAGCTGGTATCTATAGTCATTTTACATGAGGTAAATAAATACAGGGTTCAGCATTATAACTGAAGCCTTTGGAAGACTTGGTGTAAAAGGAAGGACCTTTGGTGATGCCATCTCAGAGAGACTTGAGCCTGCAGGTATTCTCTGACAGTCCAGTTCTCACCACCAAGTGCGTCTCCCATTCCTACCCTAATTTTCCATCCTTTCTGCAACTGCTGACTTTACATCTTTACTTTTAAGGAAGCGTTGAAAATGCCTGAAAGAGTTCAGTTGGAGAGAAAAAGAAAAGTGAGGAAGGGATGGTAGTGCTAAGTAGGAATGTTCATCTATCTTGTCTGAAGCAATTGAAATATTGAAGGATTTACAAAAATAGAAGAAAAAAGATCAGAAGGTTGAATACAAAAATCATTGTTTTAACATTTCTGGAAAGTGGTGTTTTCTAGATGCCTATAGATTATCAAAACAAGGCCTAGAGTAACCCACCAGCCTCACAAGTACAAATATAGATCATGGAGCCTCTCTGGTTAGCAAAGTCGGGGAGATACTGGATACCACTGCAGGCTCTTAGCTGCCGTGAAAAAGTTGAATGTTCTTTCCCCTGGAAGTTAGAAATAGAATGTGTTCCTCCTTAAATGTTTCAGAGCTTTAGGGGTATATGTTTGATTCCCTTCCTCATCCTTCTCCCTCCCCAAGTAGCAAATCTTAGGAATGGCTCACGCTCCCTTCTTTCCAGTCAGACGGTAGGGATGGCTGAGCTGTGGAGACCATGACTTTCCCATCTGGGATCCAGAATAAGTTAATCATAGACATCATCCTGGTGTTATCACTTGGTATTGAAATTGGACTGAAAATGTACATGAAGTCTGGGAACAGTCTGTAAATGTCTGAGGTGGTAAGATTTTGACTTTATCAGCTTGTCCGCTAAGGTTGCCCAGAAATGGCAGCCACTTGTGAGTTCTATCTTTTTCTTTATAAACTGTCCATATTGTGCTCATTCTGTTTTCTTATCTATTATTCATGCTGATTACTTCATTTCCCTGTTCTTTGCCTCCCTTTGGACTAGCATGCCCAACTAATTTCTGAAACAGGTAAATTGCTATGATTCTTCTGGATTATTCCATAGTGAATGTGATTTTCATTAATCCATCGTGGAATCAAAATGGTAATACTGGAGCCTTTTTGTTAATACTTTTTTGGGGCAGACTCGCAGCTCACCTCATTTTGCACGACATTTCCATAATGTTGGCTGTTGAATTCTGTAGATAATGATGCATATCTGCCCAGGACCAACACTGTAGGTTCCTTGAATCCTAAGTGGGGTGGGTAAGCTGATATTTAATTTTTAATATTTTTAAATATTAATGTCAACACATTGATGTATGTGCTAATAATATAAAGGGTAAAATAAATCCCTTTTCCTCAGTAGTGCAAAGAGGAGATTATTACAAAAGACATTCAGATCATGACAGTGGCAAGCCTTCCAGTAGAGGGAAAAGATCTTCAAAACTGTACTCCACCATTGCAGAAGAGGAAGTGAATGCAATTGGGCACAGGAAGTCACAGCCAACAAATGGTTAGAGCCTTCGATTATCATCCCTCACTGACCCGAAGCTTATGAACTGGCACTAACAAAAACAAACTGTAATTGAGTGAATTCTATCGTGGGACTGGGTCAGGGATTAGTCATACAAGAGAGGTTTTTGGTTTTGTTTTTTTCTAAATCTCAACAGGATGGTCCTTTTATTTGGGGCAAAAAAAATATTGACTTAAAAATCTAAAATTAGAAATTCTTATTAGGAAGATCAAGTTACTTTGGTGACTTGTCCTTTTAAATTTTTGTGATCATGCAAGTTTATTTTTATAATTGGGGTTAGGCTTCCTATTCTCTTCCTTTATATCTTTACTCTCCTGTTAGGTTTCAACTGTGGTTGGATCAGAGATTCTTAGAATGACAGAGTTTATATCCTTAGAGAATATTGGCCTAATATCTTACACTCTTTCAGGAAAGGATCAATAAAAAGTCACTGACTCAATGCAGACGTTGGATCATGCACATGATCTTTCACCCTTTATCATTTTATCACCCTTTAGTAAGAAAGAAAAAGTACCATTTAACTTGTCAACCATCAGGAACAATTTATTCCACTTTTTAGGAGTTGCTCTCTGACTTCTGTCTTTCATTTGGCCCTGTAGTAAATTCTGTAATGTTCTGTTCAGGTGAGAACAATCCCAAGAGACAAAAAGAAGACAGATTTCAAATCAGCTCTGCCCTCCAATGGGAAATTGAAGGACAAGTATTGCTGACTCAGAGAAAAAAATGTCTTTTTTGTGCCTAAAGTACTCATCTCTTCCCTGGTTAATATATTAACTTCTTATAAACATGACTTCAAAAATCCGTTAAAGGAAATCTTAGTATCTGTAAGGAATATAACATATTCTGATATGTGAGATTTCTTTAAAGGACTTCTGCTCTTGGAATGAGGCTCTTTTCTTCCTGTTAAACCATATCAGGGGTTAATAGATGCATGTATTTAGGCTCCCAGGGATCAGGTGTGGCCCAGCATTCAGGCTGTAACACCATGCCCTTCACTGCCTCCCAAGAAAGCATTTCAGAATACAAGTTAATGGGAGTGACCTTATTATAGGGATACCTTCTCTTTATTGCAAAGGGATAAGCCATTCTTGAATTTTCACACTTTACTATTGATAATAAACTTCTTATGATACACTTCACAGCTTAACAGCCCAATGAGTTATGATACCTGAAGTGGGAACGGTTCTCTTTGAGAATTTTCTTTGATATAGGTTTTAAAACAAAAAAACATCTACCAACTGCCTGCCAGGGACAACGTTTGGAGCCTGCCTTCTCAGCCAGTGCCATGGGCTCAGCCACATGTGCTCACTTGCCTGGGGTTCCGGCGTATACTAGCTAGGTGGCAGGGTGGGTTAAAGACACCTCTCAGAGCATAAAGCAAAGTCTACAGGACAAGTAAGGTTAAAACATTGTTTGGGCTGGGTAGCTCCTGCCCTAGAGAAAGCCAATTAAGTTGACCCTTTACTTTTATAGAGTATCCTATGTAGTGGATTTGTTTATAGACACATAGTTACAATAACTCCTCTCTACAAGAAAGTTTCTCTCATATGGCCAAGAAAATCTCTATCTTCAGTCCTAGAAAAGTTACATAAATGAACACCTAAGACATTTATTTTCTGACAAGTTATTTTTGAGAATTTGTTAGGCCAGAATCTCTGTCTCTATATTGCCCCTTTTGTTAAGCATACCTAAGGTTGCATAGACGTTTCTGGTTTCTGGAGCTTTACATTTGAACTATTGTTTTCATTGACTTATATCACTTGATTATTAACAAAGCATCATTAATGCAATGTTCCTTCTTCAAGAGGCCACTAAAAACACTTTATACAACACAAAAAGAGACGCTCCCTGCTACCTGCCGCCCAGTGCCTATTGATCATCCAATGAGGCTTTGCGTTAGAGTAAAAAGAGGATAAACACAGAGATAACCCAAATTATAGAAAAGCAAGAAGAGATTCTATATCTGTCTCAGATTTGTTCATGACCTCTTTAGCTTAAAATTCTCATTGTGAGGAGCTGGTCAAATTTTGATGGAACTAAATAGGACCATCTTGTATTTACTTTTCTGCTTTGATTTCTTGAAATAATGACAGGCATTAAGAAGTAATTTTTACAGGATCTTCAATTAAAGTGATTTTATGCATAATATTTTAATTTTGTTTTGTTAGTGCCGATTCCTAGCACTTGACTGTCTTCACCTTTGAGAACTGCGTAGCAGTCTGCTTTCTGAATAGTTCCTGGTTAAAAAAATAACATTTAGCAGATCAATTCTATTAAATAATTGCTTATACTTTCTTTTAAGTCTTTTAAGAGCAGCTTTGTTTACACTAAAACAGCCTTATTTTCCTAAAGTATGTATTCATGAAACAAACAGAGGCTATTGTTCTCAAATATTGTTCTCAAAGCATGCTGCATATTTTTATCACGAATATTATGTTTTGTGTGGCTACTATATTGATTTGACAGGTAAAATGCTTAATTTCTTTTACTAGAAATATTTGTAAGCACATTTTTTTCATTTCATATTATTTCCTCTCTACATTTAATTATAAGTTGTGATGTTCTTGTAAGAGTGTATCCTATTTTCTTGAAGAAAATAGTTGATTTTGGCTTTGAATGCGTTGTAATGGCTCCTGTTTGTACAGGGCATCTAAGATTCCTTTTATATATCACTTGCCTCTTCCATAATCCAAGCTACAGCCAATAAATACTTGGCTGTGACTTGCAGTCTGTAAGCCAGTGCTCTGCTCTACTTTTTCCACCAGACTCAAGTTCTGCTTCCCCTAAGTGAGTTCTTGAAGATAAATTTAACAGTTGGCATGTTGGGCTCTTGCTAGAAAGTATAAAAAATCAGGGCCAACTACTGAATACTATTTTAAGGTCATCATAGTGTTTTTCTCCTGGAAAATATGGATGTCAGTGGAGCTTACAATGGAGAAAATACCAAATTTTCATATGGTTCTCTAATTCTGCATTTATATGCATATTTCAGAAGCTTTAAAATTATCACATATATGCAATGTCAAATCATCTTCAAGAATGACAGATATCACGTTCGAGCCTCTCTGTACCAATTATTGCCACTATAGACAGGGTCTGTATATACATGGAGTGTTTGTTTTGAATAAATTACCTGTTCATTTACTTATCTTCTATTAACTTTAGTAGTATGTAAAATAGTGATAAATATGTAAATAGACACACGCATAGAGATGCTCCAGCACTCTTAACAAATACTTGCATTGAAGAAGTGTTTGTGAAACAATTGGATTTTTTTCATCCTGTATAAAAGCAAGCATTAACTCAAGCTGCCTAAGAGGAGGTCTGTCTGAATTTGTAAAAAGTCTAAATCTTATAAATATTTTAAAAATAAATTCTAGCGAGGCACAGTGGTTCACATTTGTAATCCCAGCACTTTGGGAGGCTGAGTCTGGAGGATCACTTGAGGCCAGGAATTTGAGACCAGCCTGGGCAACAAATGAGACTCTGTCTATAGAAAAATAAAAATAAAAAATTAGCTGGGTGTGGTGAGGAGGTGCACCTGTAGTGTCTGCTACTCTGGAAGCTGAGACAGGAGGATCACTTGAGCCCAAGAGTTTGAGGCTACAGTGAGCTATGACTGCGCCACTGAATTCCAGCCTGGACAACAGAGTGAGACTCAGTATCTATAAATGAATAAATGCTTGCATGCATACATACACGCATACATACATACATACATTCTGGAGTTTTAAGTTTCAAACAGACGTAATTCTATTTAGACCATCTTTTAATAGAAGCCTGACTAAACCTACTTCAATATAGTCGTAGTCAACATCTTAATTACATGCAGTCAAATAGATGTTCCCTTAAGGGCTGGAAAACAAACGACAAAGAACGTTCGTCCTACAAAGTTGTTCACATTAGGGATCTGGACTAATAAGGGTGGAGACGAGAAGAACAAATGCTTTGACCTTCAAACTCATCACATTAATTGCATAACTTTAGGTCCTTGATCTCGCTATGCCTTAGTTTTCCTGTTCTTGAATGGTGCTTACCTACTA
Organism: Homo sapiens; assembly: GCF_000001405.40. Classification (NCBI taxonomy): domain Eukaryota; kingdom Metazoa; phylum Chordata; class Mammalia; order Primates; family Hominidae; genus Homo; species Homo sapiens. The sequence goes on from NC_000006.12 coordinate 25,616,951, forward strand.
TACTAAGAACATGTCAGCCTGGTACTAGTCTCATTATCACATGCACATTCACAATTGGTAGAGTTTAATCAATGGAGGTGAATATATTTAGAATGAATTTCTAAATAAAGTCGCCACCATAGTGAAATTCTTTGACAGCCCTCTTGAAATAATATATTATTTTTCCTCCTACAACCCCTGAGTCCTGGAGAATTTGGAAGCCTGGTGTCAGTGACTCAAAAGAATCAACATTTAGGTGGAGACTGAAGGACAACCTACTTTTTGCAAGAAGATTTCTATGTTGGATTTCTTTGAATTTTAATCATGCCTGTTGTAATGACCCTGGTCTATAGGGTTATCTCAGTTTTTTATCTGTGACATAAACATTTTTGGTTTCTTGAATTTCTCCATTTTTAGAAAGTACTCTTATGTCGTATCATACAACATGAGTTAGACCCAAGATTGCCAGGAAACAAAAATATTGGGAAGAATGAAAAGCTTGATTATCCTTTAAATCTAAGAATTAGAACAAATATATTTGCTCTGAAGACAAATGAGCAGTGTATTATATTTGTTTCTTCCCTTGAACTTGTAGTGTATTTTTGAGTAATTTAATATAGAGGAACAACCTATTTTGGTTTTAAAACGATGAAAAATATTTTCTAGCAGATACCACAAGAAATGCTGTAGTTTGAGGTTGGGTTTATTGTAAAATGTTTTCAGGATGAAGATAATATAAGTCTTCCCTACTTTCTTTTGTTCTTAGTAATTAAAGGATTCTTTGTCTATTAGTATCAAATTGGTTTTGTGATAAAGAGCAAAATATTTATTGACATTTATTCACCTTTGTTCTCTAAACCTGGCTTACTGACAGTTGTGAAAGGACCAAACAAGTGCATTTAATTTTTTTACCCAACACAAACTTAAAAATAGAAATTGCACTTCAGTTTGGGTGACAGAGCAAGACCCTGTTTCTAAAAAGAAAAAATAATAGAAATCAATGATAATATTTGTTTGTTGCTTTCTTCCCCCAGTTTGAGAATTTGCCTGAATCTGTTGGACAAAAAGAAGTCACAATTTAAGAAATTACGTACTTTTATTATCAGATTTGAAAGGTTTTTTTCCTTTCAGAGTTTTGAGTTATTTCAATTTAATGTCATTAACTAAAGATTTAAATTTTTATTGTCTAAATACCAGCATCTGGCTCTAATACCAGTATTGGCAGGAGAAGTACTCTATTAGGTTTGCATTTTGACTGTTAGGTTTAATGAGCTTTCACTTCCTGAAACACTCTTCAGTGAGTTCAACATTTTAGTAGCCAGCAAGATAAGTTTTTTTTTTTTTTAGCAGAATGCAAAAATCAAGTGATTAGAAGCATCAAATGAATCCTATAGCTTTTAAAGGATTGATGTAGTGTGTTCCTGGTTAGATCATTGGAACTTCCGAGTGATGAGGTAGCTGTACTCTTCCTTCAGGCTGGCACAAAGTGTGTGGGTTTAGTATTCTTAGCTCAAGATCTGTCTATACAATAGACAAGATGAATAGTATTTAATAATCCTTAATAGCTATGCTGGAGTACAGCATCCGAACCTTTTCCCAAGGTATCATAGCAGTGAAGCCATGTTCTAGTTGGAAAGAACATAGGCTTTGGAGAGACAGATCTAGTTTAAATCCTGGTTTCAAGTTTTACAAAACCTGCCTTACAGAAGGTAATTGTGAGGAATAGCGATAATAAAACAGAGAGTGCCTAACACATGACAGAGGCTCTGTTCCAGTAATGATTCTCCTATCGCTGCTTTATAAAGCCTCAGTGGATTCTTCATATTTATGTGTAATCAGAGCAGGCAACAATAATGGTAATTCTTTTACCTGGAGGGTGATTCCAAAATGGTTGAATGTGTCATAGGCAGTATTTAATGCTTTTTCACTAGACTTTAAAGTATTTATTTCCTAGAGGGTGAAACTGAGGTTTTCTGAGTCACAGAAAGGTCTGACAAAGATTCCTGAGGCCTTTGCTGATATCCTGTCCCACAAGCAGGAATGACAAGCCCCAAATCATCTGCAGAAGGCATCGAATGGGACATTTGTCCACCCAGCATCTCCTCAAAGCTCTGTCTGCCCTGTTCTCTGTGCTGTGTGAGGGGGCAGCTATGACTGAGGAGGTCACCTGGAGCAGAACCGCTTCAAAGCCCTCCTCCCTCCTGGCATCTCCCTCCGCTTCCCCACCATCCTTTCCTCGGGGGTCCTAACCTCAGATTCTTGCCCACATCTATGAGAGGTTCACCCTGTCATAGACTGTTTTTGTGTGTGTTTTCTCATGTTGTTTCTGCTTTGTTGGTTTGTTTTACATTTCTGTCTAGAGTCTCTAAACATAATAGCAAGTTTGTTTCTGAGAAAGTTCACCCTGGCCCCCTCCCCTCCCCCAAACCTTCAAGGCTACTGCATCTCAGCCCATTATCAGTCAGGCCACTGGTATTACTTTGTCAGTAAACTGTGCGACTTCCCTTTTTATTTCAGTTTCAAGGAGAAGCTGGGGCCAGCAGGCCCAGGAGTATCAAGAACAAAAGCAACGGTCCTCCAGTAAAGATGGCCATCAAGGCAGCAAATCTAATGACTCCGGGGAAGAAGCAGAAAAAGAGTTTATTTTTGTGTAAAGGTCACCCACGCAGAAGTCTTCCTGTGCAGGGTGCTTTGGTAGCCATCAGAGAGGAACCAAGGGCAACATCTTTTCTTCCCAGGCGTTCTTCTCTGGGTGCTTTATTCTCTTCTTTTTCTTTATTTCGCCCCCACCCCCATCCCCTGCCTTTTTTTTTTTTTTTTTTTTTTTTTTTTGTATAGAAACAGATCCATTTCTTGGTAATCAAAGCACATTTGTTTGGTCTTCCTCCAACCCTTTGCATTTGATTTCTAAACATTCCTTCATATGCCTTTAATGAAAGCCAGCAATTATCCCATGGGCCCTACTTGAATTTATCTGAGGCAGCTACAGATTGCCCTGCAAGATGAGTTTTTGGAGATAAATGAAATAACTGGACACACACTCACACAAGTAACACCACAGCAGACCTCGGAGTACTGCTAAGTGTACCTGTGTCAAATCCGCACAGGACTCAATATAGCAATTTATTCTTGATGTATGCAATTGCACATTGTAATTATATTAACAGAGCACACTAATAATTTGTATAGATTATATATATTAGATCTTGGGTATGGTTTTTACCTTCTCCCATGGGGAACTTCTTCCTTCCTGATGTGGAATTGTACATTTAAAGCTTGGTCGGTGACCTTTGCATACCATCAACGAGCACAGCTAAGAACAGAGTGAGAGAGGCCCATGGCTGATTTTACCATGTGCCCAGATTAATGTATATAGTTGATTGGAATGAGGTTTTATGAATATTCATGTTTTTGAAGGCCTTTAATTTCTGTCTGCATATTAGCTTTTAATGTGTGATTTTAAGAGAGAATACTTTGACACCTGTAAAAATCAAAATACTACTCTTTATAAGACATTTCACAAATATTCACTTACATTACAGGCTGGAAGTATTTTATTCATATGTATATTTATACCAATAAAATGATTTTACAAGTGGAATTTGGGCCTTCTCCAGTTACATTTTTAGTTTGGACTGGCTCAGGGTGGTGAACTTTGGTTTTGTTTCCAAAATCCAAAATAATCAATGTTCTCAGATAAGCAATCTGGGAACTATTACCTTCGAAATAAAGATAACGTAGTAATGCCACTGCCTGTTTTCCCCCTTGGGAAAAATGATAAAATTTACCAGAAGAATATAGAATTAGGAGTTTGATCCACCTCCCATTACCATGCATAAGGGTCATATGAAGGATGCAAGTGTGAGCAAAGAAGTATGATTTGAAGCGTTGCAAGCAGTGGTTATCTATTGGAAAGAAGAATGATAGAAGGTGGGGTCGGCATGACATGACTATTTCCCTCATCATCTTCCACTAGCCCTGTCCCCAGCTCAGGTGTCTGGCATATGCGTAAGTGCCCATAATGTAGACCAGATGGTTTGCTGCCTTTGCGTGACTTCATGAGGGCAGAAAGACAGAAGATTGCTTCCTCCAGCTGTAGCTCTGCTGTCATAAATGCTGATGGGAATAAACACCTCTTATGGCTGTCAAACTGGGAGACGCATCAGAAGACAAAAGATGGGCATGGTACCTCCATGAGCTAACAGGCTATGAGGAAACAGACCCATAACCCAACCCAAAACAATACAGTGTGATGGAACCATACTCATGACAAACAGTGATGTGGAAAGGGGGTTAGGTCTACCTGTGCTGCTCAGGAACCTCAGAGGAGGCAATGTTTGTGCAAGGCCTTGAAGTCACACCTTCATAAGTACAGGAACAGTGTCTGATTCCTAGCTGTACCCCCTGTAAATGTGTGATGTGGCCCATATTCAACCATAGAGAATAGTGGGAAGATACAGAAAGTGCTCACAGAGCAATCAAGTTCACATTCACTTAGAATGCTATGTGGTAAAAGGCACACGTGCTGCTGGTTAGGACCTCTCTCTGGGTTTCAGCATAAGAACTATCCTCAAAGAGGCAGTCGAGAGAAGCCCAGATAGTGAATAGCCTTGGTGCTTTATTATGGAGTTGGATCCTGATGCTATGCAGTAGGAGCCATTGCATTTTTTAAAGCAATAATGTAATCAGAGCTAAGATTATAAAGATAAACCCTATAGACTAAAGGCAGGCATCCAGTGAAGTGGCTGAGCAAGGATTCGTCATCATTTTCCCTCTCCTTGTAGTGGTCAAGAGGTCCACTCAGATGCTCCTTCAAGAGAACTTCAAGAGAACTTGGCTATGGAGAGCGTGTGGGGGCCGACCATGGCTAACAGCTTCCAGCTGCCACACCTTGAGACCCTCTACAGTGGTCTTGCTGTGGCTAGGCCACCCCCACTTTCCCTGCCAACCACCGAGGACGGCTGGTACACTAGAGCTGCCCAACACAGGACTCTACTGAGCAACTTTTGCTCTAGGGCCCTCCTCTGGCCTGGCCAAGGCTTTCTGAGAGCTGCGCAAAAGCTCTTCCTACCCACATCTCCTTTCTTCCTTCCCAATCTTCTTTTACAGGTGATCAACCTGAATATGATCTGAAGGCACTCCCTGCTACTGCTCCCTCCACTTTTATGCTTCACAGCCATTTCCCCCAATAAATAAATATTCTGCGGTCTAATCCCATCTGGGCACATGCTTCTTGGAGAACCTGAACTGACACACTTCTCCATATTCTGTCACCATCAATCAAGAATACATGCACTTTTGGAGGCCAAGGTGGGTGGATGAACTTTGAGGTAGGGAGTTTGAGACCAGCCTGGCCAACATGGTGAAACCCCACCTCTACTAAAAATACAAAAATTAGCCAGGCTTGGTGGTGGGTGCCTATAATCCCAGCTACTGAGGAGGCTGAGGAAGGAGACTCACTTGAACCTGAGAGGCGGAGGTTGCAGTGAGCTGAGATCACACCACTGCACGCCAGCCTGGATGACAAAGACTCCGTCTTAAAACAAAAAAGCACACACATGGAAAGGCAGCTTTACCATGTACATCTGAGCTGGTGGCTGGCAGATCTTTTCTCAAAATGTGTGGGCTTTTGTGTTTGTTTTGTGAATATATTAGAATTTGTGATATGTCCCTAAAAGAAAGATGCCCTTAAGGCAGAGGGGACTAACTGACTTCTCGAGGTCCTTTGGGATTTTGACACAACAGACACCACCTTGATTCTTGTTACCCTTGTAAAGTGTCAGTAGAAGTGAAGAGAACCATGCTTGCATCCGGGAACCCAGTGAAGCTAAGTGCTGGAGCAGCAATGGAGCCCATCAGGAGTTGTGGGTCCCAGAGAGCCCACTCGGACCAGCCAGATGGCGGTCGGGGGTGCCGCTCATGGAGCAAGGGTTGAAGCCTCCCAGAAAACCCCTAGAATACTAAACCACACATATTCCTTTTTCTGTTTGTGCCATGCACAAGGCCTAAATTAAGAATGAGAAGGATATACTAAGCAGGGGCCAAATAATCTAGGAATTGTTTGGTCACTTATTTTGGGGATGCATTCATTGTGCAGCTTTGGAACAGGCTGACTTTCCAATTTTATTTTTCTTTAACATTGGTCAGTGTGGGTCTACTAGCACAGGCCATTGGCCAGCAATTGATCAGGCATGTGTCAAGTGTTGGAGAGAACTCAATTGCAATTAAAAATTGGCAACTAAAAATCCCAGAAGAGGATAATGGACAGGTGGTTCAATTAGGAAGGGGCAAACAGCTTGCAGTGGGTAAGACATTCTCATGACTTTGACCCTGCCCTGTGTTGGCTCATTTCCCCAGGTGATCCAGTTCCTTTTGTTGACTATTCACTTTAACACTCCATTTGCAAAACAGCATTCCCAGAGAAAACAGTTTTTCAACTGAAGGGAAAACAGAATACTTTTTTTTTGCAGAGAAGAAATAAACGGATTGCAACAGGAAATCTCAGTAGGCAGGACAGCCCTGATTTTCAACTGAGACGTTACACCTGTTCTCAGTCCCAAGCATGAAAATCCTAAATTGAGGTGGCCTTGAAAAGATATTTCTGTTTATCACTTTTTTACTTGCTAGATTGAAAGCACTGCCCCAATGTGGCCCTGCAGTAGAAACGATGTGGCCTTTATTCATTCTCAGTCTCTCTTTTACGTTTTCCCTCAGGGCAAGAACATGAACCAATGCCTTCAATAGCTGTAGTGATGCTGGCCTTCATTTCTACTCCTTTAAAAGGTGCTAAGAAAACAGTAGAGGTTTCCTAGATGCTCACTGTTGTCACTGCCATGTTTAGGGTCCTGCTTTTCCTAAATTATTCCAAATAGAACCCTACCTTCCTAAATTCTTTAGCCCAGTACCCCACCCATTGGCCAAACTGCTAAAAACCAGAGCAAGGAGGCAAAGTAGGGAACACAAAGCAATGGAAGGAGGATAATTTTTTCTCTCCCTCTTTCTTGTGTTTTGATTTTTTATTTGTCTCTCCTGAGGTTTGACTGAATGAGGCAAAACTGTAACTAAATGCCATGCTTTGAGGCAGCCTGATCTCTCTTTCCCTCTGATGGTATAGGCTGGGCAAACTGTCTGCTCAATGAGCCACATCAATTAAACATCTCAGCCTTCTGTGACTCTTGGCTCACACACACCACACATCACAAAGCTGAGAGTAGGAGAAGGCTCCGTTCACTGAAATGGGCCATAATTTAATCTGCTGGTGCTATAGTTAAGGTGAGTTAAGACATGCAGACATAGGAGAATGGGGGAATTCAGCTTCTGTGCAAATGGTTATCATTGGCCCAAAGCCAAGGTAGTCTGCCTGGGTTTTGAAATGTTGATCACTGTGTGCCACTGCCACCAAAGTCACTAAGTCTCAAAATGTAAGGCAAAGCTTTTGAGATGTATAGATTGCATCTCAGGATTTCTTAGTCTGAGGTCAGATTGTATGTTATTTCATAATCACAACTTAAATGTATAGCTTCTTTTCCTTTTTAGGGCAACTTAATAGAGATTAAGTCTCTTAGTCACACTTGAAAATCTATCTCATGAATTAGAAACTCTCCCTAGTCAGAGATTTCTTGAAATCAGTAGAAACAAAATGTGTTTTCTCCAAGGGGACTGTCCTTGCTGTTATTGGGTGGTGGCACATTTGAATAAGACCAGGGTAATCCATTTATACTTTCCAATTACAGTTTGTATTAGGTTTAACTCAAAGTGAAGCCATCACTTACACTGTGTACACACAGCTTACACTGGGGCCTGTTTCGTGCATCCACACCACTGCTTTGAGGATTAGGCACAATTTTGCACCTCCCGTGACATACAGTGATCATGAGGTCTCTTCTGACAGTAAGAGCAGACACTTAACCGTAGTTTCTGGAGGTGTGAAGAAAAGAATTATCTCAAAGACAGAAGCATTGTCAGGGTAGAGGCCACTTCAGGTTGCCTACAATGTGATCAGAGGGGCCTGGATGCAGAAAAACCACTGCTGGGAAGATGTGCTTGAGCTTCTAGACATTGAATCCCTGCAGAGAATTCAGACATGAACTGCACAGGGATTCTTCCATGCAGGAGTGTCCTTACCCATGGCAGTAAGGACATGGAAGAAGGGCCCTAGGTCTAGGTCCTGTGGAATGGGAGGTGTCAATGCAGGCAGAAGCTCATCTTGGGGACATTCCTAGACTGTTCCCAAAGCGTCAACAGGTCTCCCATGCTTTTCCCTCAGGTCCTCAGAGGAGGGGGAGAAAAGGCAGGCTGCTTCCCACATACTGAGAGCAAAGAATTCAAGTAGACATTTGACCCTTTGGCCTGACCAGCCCTCACTGAAGCCTGTCCTCTCTGTGATCAAGTCATTTCGGGTCTGGCTCATGATGCACCTTCTCATTTCCCCAGGTGAACTTATTCCCTTCTAAGGCTACAATTCCCACCTTTGCAGTGATGTCTCCCTCGTCTTTTGCTTTAGCTCTGTCTCTATGCAGTATCATTAGGGTGACCCATGGGTATCAGATAATTCATGAGTGTGGGGTGACCATACTCCATGCCTAGAAATGAGATAATTCAATTTTATGACACTTGGAGAGATCTCCAGGGCTCATAAGACTCAACTCTCACTGGAGATAGAGGACCAGAACCCCCATGCCTTTACATTTCTACAGAACAGAGACAGACTTTGCCCAAAGGTCACTGAGCTAGTTTGCTCTTACTCTATCCCAGGCACCCTGTTGGAGCCTTCATTGCCTACAATGACTAGGTGTGAGGGAAGGGAGGACCACTTGCAAATAAGAATATGATTTGCTGGCCTAAACCACTGGGCTCCAGATGGGCACTTCCCAGCTGAAGCCAGCACTACTGTGGCTCAGGTACACTCAGCAGAGGAGACCAGCTCCTCTACCTGCTACTAATTTTCAAAGCTCTAGACAGGGTGCGTATCCTGCATACCATGGGCTGGGGAGAATGCTGGGCATCTGTCTGTGAGCTTGAATTGTGAAAGAAAAAATGATTTCTTTATTTTCATTAGCCTCCTTTGCAATTTAGCATTTCTTTCAGTTATGAATATGTGCAGCAAACTATAATAGTATTAACAGTGCCTGGGAAAATGGAAATCATAAACATTTTTAGATCAGTTTCCAACCACTGCAGATATTGTGATACATTATCCCACTCACCACTACTTCAAAATTACAGTACTTATAAGACCCTCTGATACATTGTGTTATGTAAAGAATTAATAAAGCAGTGCATTAACTTCTAAATCAAAGTTTGTTTTAAAATATTCTAATAATTGTATTTTCAATATTATTAGTTTCCTGTGTAATACCCTGTATTCTACTTTATTAGTATAAAATATTTATGATGAGAAGGGATCCTGAGACTTCATCAGACTACCAAAAAGATGATGGTCCAAGCAAGGTTAGAAACCGATTCTAAGAGCTGCCACCCCAGGCCCAGCAGGGCAGAACAGGAGTACTTTTTTGCAAACGAACTGGAAAAGGCTCTTCTTGTGGATACATATTCCTTTCTGTTGTCTTCCAAGCTGTTTCCTATCCTCCTGTACCATATGTACCCCTGAGGATTATCTTCAATGGGTCTTGGAAATGTATAAAAATTGTCAATACCTATGAGGAGAAAATGATTCCAAAATTGGAACTGGATCTCAAACTTCATTGCCAGGCATCATCTTCATGGCTGGTGGGGAGGGAGTGTGAAGTGGGCTCAGCTATGTGTGCCTTCAGCCCCTGTTGAGACACAGGGAGAGAGATGGCTTTCCTTCACCACGGTGAATGGTTACAGGACTTTGTCTTCCAAGAGAGGGCCCAGGAGGCTGTTTTAAATGTAAGTTTTATTAGTATTCAGGTATAGTGAGGTCAACAGATCAAGAGACAACAACTATTGAAAAGATCTCCAGTTCCTCATAGTTCCCAGGAAAACAGGGCACACCATACCATGCAGGGCCACATGGAGAAGCAGCAGGTTTGGTCAGGAGGCAGTGGGAGCTAGAGGGAAATGTGAGCAAGTGCTTTTATTGTGTTTCCCTTGAGAAAGAATGGGCAAGGTCAGGTAACCAGGCTTAGGATTGGCTAGCTTGAATATTTCAGAAGGTTCAGGGTAGAGCAACTGTCCTGCATTGTCTAGTACCTGGCCTTGGTGTGATTACAGTGGGGAATAGTAGCCTGGAGTGTGAGAGCCTACTTCCACTTAGAGGAGGTTGTGGGATGGGGAGGTGCTGGATTGGTTAGTTTGCATATGAAAGGCATGCTTCCAGGTGATTCATTTACTATCTCTGAGAAGCAGCGGCTCCCTTTAGGCAGCCTATTCCCTTTAGGGTCAGCAAAGCCCCAAGATACAGAATTACAGAAAATTGGATAGGCACTTTGAGAGGCTGAGGCGGGCCAGATCGCTTGAGGCTGGGAGTTCAAGACCAGCCTGGCCAATATGGCAAAACCCCGTCTCTAATAAAAACACAAAAATTAGCTGGGCACAGTGGCGCACACCTGTAATCCCAGCTAATCGGGAGGCTGAGGCACAAGAATTTGCTTGAACCCAGGAGGCAGAGGTTGCCGTGAGCCGAGATCACACCACTGTACTACAGAGGCAACAGAGTGAGGCTCCATCTCAAAAAAGAAAAAAAGAATTACAGAAAATCAAAAGGAGTAAATAATAGAGGCCACCTAGCATTCCTGGCTGAAGTGATGGTGCATTCTGGGGAGAAGATGTGCCCTTGCAGTCTCTTAGGTGAGTAAATTAATATCCATTAGTAGAGACCTGAGCCATGACAAATGCAGGACCTGCAGAGCCTCATGTTCAGATGGAAATTGGTCTTTTGAGCATCTTCCCAGCACCCTGGCCTCTTCCTGCCCTCCACCATACCACTTACCTCCTGAGGGTGGAAAAGAAGCTCAGCTTTGCTGGCTTTTTGGGTCCCAGGTGCCTCTGAGGCCTGAGCAGAGGGTTAGAAACCAACACCCTTGAGTGCCTTTGGGTCTGAGGGCAACCTTATGGTCCAGAACTGGCTGGCCCAAAGAAGACTTTGGGGTTGACCATGTTTGGTCCGTTGAAGAAGGAAAAGCAATTGATCTAATCTTATGGCTACAGGAACACCCACTCTAGGGGTATCACTGTGCAAATGGCTTATTCCGAATAGGCCTTGCAAACCACTCCAACCTTCTAATAACTTAAAAAAGATGCTCCAACCTTCTAATAACTTAAAAAAGAAACCTGTGTCACTAATGAGTTTAATTGAAACAGGGGGGAGAGATTTTAAAAAGTTCTGGGGGCATGAACATGTTAATGAGATTGATTATTCTTAGAAAAGGCAAAAGGAAGAAACTTCCTCTCCCTAAATCTAATTTCATTTAATTGAATTATGGGAAGAAGTTGGCTCTCCAATCACTGCTGAAAGGCAAACAAAGCAAGACCCTGAAGTTAGTGAGGGGATGTCAGTGCAGCCCAGATGCCTGGGACTGCCCGTGTTATTAGCATTCACTCATAGGGAGCCCCAATGGCAGCAATTGACACAAGCTAAGCAGCAAAAATCCCATATGCCATGTGAGCTTCTTGCAAGTTTTACACTAGCATGCTGCTTTTGAAATTCCAGGTGTTCAGGCTACAAGGAACAAGGCTGAGTGTCCACCAGTGCTGAGATTTCCCCTTCGATGGTAGACAAGACTGGGGCCATTGTTACTATGACAAGATGCGCTGTGGATTAAAGGGGAGGAAAACAATGTGCCTTATTGTCTCATTCCCTTTCCTGGAGAAGCCCAAAGAACCACACAAGACATCTGAAGACTGAAGGGACAGCCATCATTCAATCACAGCATTAGACTTTGCATGTCTATGACCCAATCTGTTTCAATGATTCCCCCAGCCATAGTTCCACTGCATCTGGCTTTGAAGCATATTCCCTCTCCCTTTCCCTGACTCCTGAGAATACCTCAAATACAAATCAAGCTTTTTGCCAGTTACGGTTTCTCATTTTGTTAGCTTGTTCAATATTTGTTGAGCACCTATTATGTACCAGGAAATGGTCTGAGTGTTGGTCTCCTAAGACCAAATCCCCATCCTTTGGCTCATGGAGCTTTGACTCATGGAGATGAGAGAACATAAACAAATTAGTGAATGACATAATTTCACAAATGCTCTGCACAGCAAGGGACGAAGGCAATGGCTGGGACAACAATTTGGATATGAAAGGGCTTTTCTTTTCTACTCTAGTGTTTTCTATTAATTTATGCTCCCCAACTGTGGTGGACACTGGGATGCACCACTCAGATCTCCCTTTAGGAATAACGAATTTGTAAATTCAGCTGCCGCTGGCAGATGACTTCAGCTGTCAGCTCCCTGAGGGATTTGCCTTGGCTGAGAGCCAACTAGCTCAAGGTCACACCGCTTTCCCTGGCAGTTTATCTAATACCTAATCAATGCAGAAACATGAAAGTCCGGCCCCTCACCTCAACTCAGGATGGCTGTGAAAGGTCAACCCATCTTCAGAACTCAGGTAGGCTGAGGCCTCCATTGGGACAGCATCACAGCTCAACTTTCCCTTTGCCCAATCCTGCCTCCTTTCTTTCCTTCCCATCCACAGTTGTTGATTTCAAGATCACCCATAACAACCCTCTCGCACACCAGTCTCCATCTCAGAGCTAGCTTTCTGGTGAACCCAACCTGTGAAAACTTTGAAAAAATGAATTTAAAGAGGTTGAAATTTATGTTGAACTTATATAACAGGATATATTTGTAGTTAATATTCAACATTCATTGGATAGGCTTCAACAAGGCTTTGCGAACTCCTGGTACACCTGGGTTCCTCCCCTGCAAACACGGGCATCCAGTACCTTTTCCCAGGATGGCATTGGGGGACCTGAGGAGCCTGCTCTTCTTATTCAGACTCTTGGCGTTTCCTGGCCTGAGTCAGGGTGCACTTTTTGGAGAAGGTCTTCTTCTAAAGCCTCCTTGGTGAGCAAATGGATTTTCCATTAGCAGATGCTGCATAGGTTAGGTTTTGGAAACATCCAGGAGTTCCCTTTCACCTTCTCATCAGTGCTGCTGCCATCTCTTTGACACTCTCTAAGAGGTGGGCAGTGCTCTCTTCATTAAATGTTAGCAAATATTTACAGAGCATCTGCTATATGCCAAACACCAGCCTATGAACCTCCCTTCTCCCTGGAAACCACACCTGGTCCAGCATTACCAGAGACCTGTCCAACCAGGGAACCACCCCAAAGAACGTGATAAACCTGTCCAGAGCTGCTGGAGTTGGTTGAAGGTTCTTAACCCCTCAGCTCGAGTTTGCCATTTTGTTTCTTTCTATGTCATCATTTTTTTCTCTGTTGGCCACAGTAGCTTCCTGTTCTCAATGGGTCCTCCGTTAGCCTCTATCCCTCAGTTTTCCTGCTACTCTCTATGATATATGCCAATATGATGGTTTTAACAATTAAAAGTTTCTGGCTATTGTGAAATGTTTTCCAATGCACTATTATCCACAATTTTCAGGTGAAGAAACAGAAAGAGAATGGTTAGGGCCTTCTGAATGTCCTCCAGAAAGATGGAGAAGATGATAATAGGAATAGGAAACATCTGAACTTTGGTTATGTACCTGGCACCTTATATGCTTTCTCACTTATTTAATCCTCAGAGCAACCCTGGGAAGTAGGTAGTATTATCACCTCTATTTAAAAATCACGAATTTGAAGCTCAGAGAAGTTGAGTAACTTATCCAAGGTCACACAGCTCATGACCCATGCAGTCTATTGCCAAAACCACTCACTCTTAAGCACCATGTTATGCCAGTCCATCTCCTGATTGCCAGTCCAGAGTTGTGGGAAGCAAAGGATGAAGCAGTTGGGAGTGACAGAAAAGTGCACAGTCAGGTAAGTCCCAAGGTTTACCTCACTGCACTTATTTGTAAAGGGCATCCTGTCTCCTGCCAGAAAAAAAGCCCTTTCTCGCTGGTGTCCTGGCACTAAGTACACTCTAAATGATCACAGCCCAGCCTCCTCCAGCATTTCCTCTGTAATGAGAAATCCCACTGGGAGAGGTGGAGTGAGGAAGGGCTCAAGCAGAAGAGGGGTTATTTCCTTACAATCAGGAGCCCCATGGGCCCAGGGCAGCTAAGCTGGTAAAAGCACTGATTGTAGCTTTAGTATCGATCTCATGCAGAGAAGGGACATTGATTAGCTTACAACTTCTTCACAAAGAAAAGTAGAGAAGTGGCTGGTGCATTTAATGCGTGTAGGTGGCATCAAAGGAGTCCTATACTTTCTTCTACTCTACCCCCCAAGGCTTGGCCTCATCTCCCTTTGTGATTAAGTCCAGAGAGCTGGGGAATGTCAAGGCTGGTAAGCCTAGATTGTTTCATAAAGTGCTTTTTATGGAGACTTGGAGAAAATGTTTCAAATGTCTGTCCTCTCTTTAAAAAATAAAAGTTAAAAGCCCAGTGTAGAGAGTTTTGCTTGACTCTCCAGATACACACTCAGTGGGGATTAAGTGAGCAGGAAAGTAGGGGAAGGAAGGACTGGACCATGTTGCTGGAGCACCCTGGGTGCATGGCTCCTGTCCCTTTGCTGGTGCAGGGACTGTGCAGGCTAGCTTTTGGGAACTGGAAGAAGTAACTTGGCTTTTCTTCCACAACATGGAAGGTGTCCAGAGCAAAGCTGGGCATCAAGACAGGTGTATGTGTCCAGTGGCTCTGCCACCTGCCCTCAGCATGGGCTGTGTTCTGTGCTCCGGCAGCCGGTGGTGCAGAGTGGCTGATCTTTGCCTGGTGGAGCCATTGAATGTTGGCTTTTCTCCTTGCTGAGAGTGTGGCTGTCATAAGATGGGGAAAGAAGGGAGGAAGGACAAGGTGTGTGATGCACAGTCCTGAATTCAGAGGGTTTAAGGGGTAGGGATGCCAGAAGGGAACAGGGACATATGCAGAGACCATAGACTGCCCCTGTCCTGCAAGTGCAAAAGAGGGATGACTAGGGAAGCAGACTCCATACTAGGAGTGGCTAATGGACTTCTGCAAGTTATTTAAATCCACAGGTAAGTTCCTCCATCTGGAAACCGGGAATAATGACTGCTTGTCTCTTAAGGTTGCAGTGAAAATTGAATATAAATTTATGAAAAGTGCCTGGCACATTGTAAGTGTTCAAAAAATAATAACTACTACTTAGAAAAGAGAGAAAGCTGCGTACTCACCCAAGCAAATTGTTTGCCTACCCAAGGATCGTTCATCATTTTGGAAAATCACTTCATGAATGGCAATATTGTTCATGATAGTTGAGTGACCAACATAAAACACCAATTCAGTCTGTATTTTGTAAATGTCACATTTATGGGGATTCTACACAGGCTGAAGCCCCTGACTACTTGATCATGTCTTCTTGTGTAGCTGTGCATGTAGTTACATGTTATGGTTTATATTATTATGAATTAGTTTCATTTACATTACAGCCAAGACATTATTTTATTGCTTTTTAAAAAGTACTTTATTGAGATATAATTCACACACCATACAATTTACCCACTTAAAGTATACAACTCAATGGTTTTTAGTATAGTCACAATTGTGCATCCATTACCACAATCAGTTTTAGAATCCTTTCATTACACCCTTCAAAAAAATCCTGCTCGGTCAGCCGGGCGCGGTGGCTCACACCTGTATCACAGCACTATGGGGGACCGAGGTAGGCAGATCACCTGAGGTCAGGAGTTCAAGACTAGCCTGGCCAACGTGGTGAAACCCTGTCTCTACTAAAAATACAAAAATTAGCTGGGCTTGGTGGCAGGTGCCTGTAATCCCAGCTACTTGGGAGGCTGACGCAGGAGAATCGCTTGAACCCAGGAGGCAGAGGTTCCAGTGAGCCGAGATCGTGCCATTGCACTCCAGCCTGGGGGACAAAAGTGAGACTTCGTCTCAAAAAAAAAAAAAAAAAATCCTGCTTTCCTTAGATTTCACCCTCAGTCCCTCCATCCCCCAGCTCTAGGCAACCACTAATCTACTTTCCATCTCTATGGATCTGCCTATTCTGGATATTTCATATAAATTGAACCACATGGTATATTGTTCTTTGTGACTGGTTTCATTCACTCAACATAATGTTTTCAAGAGTCTTCTATGTTGTAGCATGTATCAATATTTCATTCATTTTTTATTGCTGAATAATATTCCACTGTATGAATAGACTATATGTATCCATCATCCAGTTGATAATGTTTGGGCGTTTCCACTTTTTAGCTATTATGAGTAATGCCACTATAAACATTTGTGTACAAGTTTTTATGTAGATATTATTGCTTTTTTAAGAAAAGCAAGTACTAGGCCAGGTGCAGTGGCTCATGCCTGTAATCCCAGTACTTTGGGAGACCGAGGTGGGAGGATCGCTTGAGCTCAGAAGTTTGAGACCAGCCTGGACAACATGGCAAAATCCCATTTCCACAAAAAATAAAAATTAGCCAGGCATGGTGGTATGCACCTGTAGCCCCAGCTACTTGGGAGGCTGAGGTGGGAGGATTTCTTGAGCCCAGGAAGTTGAGGCTACAGTGAGCCATGATCCTGCCACTACACTCCGGTCTGGGCAACAGAGTGAGACCCTGTCTCAAAAAACAAAAACAAAACAAACGAACAAACAAAACCCAAGTACTATACATAAGATTAGTTTTCAGGCCCGGTGTGATGGCTTATGCCTGTAATCCAAGCACTTTGGGAGGCCAAGGAAGGCGGATCATGAGGTCAGGAGGTTGAGACCAGCCTGGCCAACATAGTGAAACCCTGTATCTA
The DNA here is from genome assembly GCF_000001405.40 of Homo sapiens. Classification (NCBI taxonomy): domain Eukaryota; kingdom Metazoa; phylum Chordata; class Mammalia; order Primates; family Hominidae; genus Homo; species Homo sapiens. The sequence goes on from NC_000006.12 coordinate 25,633,731, forward strand.
CTAAAAAAACAAAAACTAGCTGGGTGTGGTGGCACGCACCTGTAGTCCCAGCTACTTGGGAGGCTGAGGCTGAAAAATCGCTTGAACCTGGGAGACAGAGGTTGCAGTGAGCCGAGATCACGCCACTGCAGTCCAGCCTGGGTGACAGAGCGAGACTCCATCTCAAAAAAAAAAAAAAAAAGAAAAAAAAAGAAAAGAAACTAGTTTTCAATGATTTTTTTTCAGGGTAGTAAAGAAGACGTTACAAGATATTTATTATAAAAAGGGGCCTTGGGTCTGATGGGACTGAAAACTGCTACTTTAGCAAAAAGAAAACAAGCTTTGACTTCAGAAAGACCCAAGACTGAGCTCTAACTCTGCTACATACTGACAGGAATTTTGAGGAAGTTACTTAAATGCTCTGAGTCCCAGTTGGCTCATCTCTAAAAACAGGAAAATTAATATCTACATCGCAAGACCATTTGGAGGATTCACAAGATAATGTGGGGAACATCTAGCACACTGTAGGTACTCAGCAAATGTGGTTCTGTTTCTCCAGCCACTTGACTTTGCATCTTCTCAACATGCAAGGGAGCATAGTCACTTCAATTGCTGGCCAGTGCAGCTCTTCCAGGTAAAAGACCTCTGCTAACTTCTTCCCATTGTGTAGAGAGAAGATTTTAATCTTCTCTAAAATTCATCTATATCCTCTCAGCTTCCAAAGACCTCCTCTGATCATCCTTTGTGAGATACCTGATTTGGTGACAGCATCATGATTCCCATATCCCTTCCTGTGATACAAACCAGGCTCTGTCCACCCAGAAGATGATGAGTAGGTTTTCGCTATATATTTAGGAGTGGAAGTCCTTCCTTCTCAGACTATACTTGTTTTTCCCTTCTCTGACTCTACACAGGTCCTGCTGTGTCTTTCTTAACCTGCAGCAATGTACAAAAAAGAACATTTTGATGTGCCAATATGTAAATGTGCTACTTTTGATTACCAACGAAGTAACACACCAAGCACATTCTGAACCTCAGCTCCTTCCATTCCCCATCCTGTACAGATGACATAGGATGCAAGGGTCAGAGCTGTGGCAAACATACTCCTTGTACTCAATACCTGGATATGTTATTAAAGTGGAACATATAAAATGTTTTATAGGTTACATCTAAGTGTGTGATGCATGAAAAAACTCTATTCTTGCACCAGACTCCATTCTCGCACCAGAGTCTCCATTCTTGCACCAGAGACTCCATTCTTTGACCTATGCAGCCAGCTGAAGGTCCCTGTAGTTCTGTTGACCATCTGCAAACATGGAAAAGCTTGGGTTTAGGCCACAACTATAGGGATCTGAGTGTTCTGAATTGGGACTGCTTAGATTTTTTTTTTTTATATATATAAAGCTTAATGTAGACCCAGCATGCCCCAGCATTTAGGACATTTTTCTCACCCACACTCATACTGAAGCCTGGAAATGAGCCATGCACACTCCCTCTGCTCCCATTCAGACAACAAAATTGAGCCACTCTGCTGGAAAAGCCCATCTTTCTTCCCAGCCCATAGGTTAAAGGGGCAACTCTAAACCTTCTCCCCTAAATGACTGGCATGAACATCTGACCCACAGGGGATCAGTCAGGTTCTTTCTCCAAATAATTTGGAAAAGTTTAAGAAGAGCTAGTTCAGGGGCTGGCAAACTATTGCCTATAGGCAAAATCTGGCAATGCTTGCTAGTTTAATAATGTCTGCGACTGTCAATAGTTGCAGGAGATATTTTATGGATCTCGGTAGCATAAAATATTGACTATCTGACTCTTTACAGACAAAGCTTTCCAACCCCAGAGCAAGAAGTTTACAGAGACTTGGAGGCTGAGACCACCATTTGGAGGCAGGAGGGCCGTGTGCACTCAGAATAGAAGAAACTGTGCTCAGAGACATGGAAGTGAGAGAGAGAGCATGAAGCAGCGAGTGCCAGGAGAAGCAGAAAAGAACCAGGCAGTTCAAAGAAAGGGCAGAAAGGGCCAGACAACCTTCCAGTGTCTGTGAGACACATCAACCTTGCTTGTGCTCTGCATCTGTGACTGTCCCATGTATACAATAAACCGTTTTTACCTAAACTAGTTTAAACGTGTTCCTGTTTTTTTCAACAAATGATTCCTGAAAAAATCAGCCATAGGGGCCATTATGTGGCTGCAATAAGCCTGAACCAATTAAGATCTTTGAGTCCACTGCTGATTCCCTTGATAAGTCCCAGAGGGAGTTAAGCTTAGAGAACAATGGTAGGCAATAAAAGGTGCTTGTTTCTAGGGACCTTTGGCTCTTAATCCATGGGTCCCCTGATCCTGGTGAGTCATGCTCATCCACATTTGAGTGAAAAGGGCCACTGCTGACCTTTAGCCTGAGGTCTGGACAAAGCAGACTGCACCCTCTTCCTCTGGGGCAGCAGCAAGCATCCAAGAGAGGTTTTCAGCAGAGGCTGCCTCTGGCCTCCCCAGCTGTCTGTCTGATGAGGAGTGTGCAGAAAATGGAGACCGAAGAATAAATCAAAAGGAACATGGGAAGATGAGCGTATTATTAGTTGGTTGAAGTTCTATGATAGTGGTATTTCTGTTTTCATGCTCTGGTTCTTTTTTAGAGAAAACAGTATGTTCTTATGGTGCCCATGCTTGGAAATGCATCATAACCCTCACTTATATCACATAATATAGAAAAAAACATGACAACAATTTCACAAAGTAATAAGATCACAGTGCTATATAGTGAGTAAATGGGAAGCTGGTCCAATAGCTAAGACACTGATGAGAATAATTAAAATGATCAAAACCTTCTTTTCTCACAAAACTAGAAGCCAGAAAAGAACATTTTAGCAATTCCAACTCTTAATACATAAAAATTTAAAAATATGATCATAAAGATAGTTAAAAGATAGATGACAAACTGGGAAAAATATTTGCAACTTATGTTACAGAAACTGGCCACTTCATTGTTTGTTTAAGTGCATAGTGTTACTATTTTCCTCGTCCTAGTGGAGTGACTTTCTTCCTACCTGTGAACAAATCACTATTAACTTTTCAAATTAATCACTACAGTGTTTAGGTATGATTTTAAATCTGGGAAGAAACTGCAAATACTGGCAGAGGCAAGCTAGTAAAAGAGAGACTTAAATTTGATTTGTCATTGAAAAGAGATTATCATGGGAACTTCAAATTAAGATGATGAACTGAGCAGATGTGGGAAGCCCTCCCTCCCATCCTAACACCTAACACCAAAAATCCAGGAGTCAGAAAGAGCTTGTTCTATCTATGTATGTGCACAATAAAAAAACTTTCTCCTTGGGCTGGAGATTTATCCACAATATGGGACTGCCTCCATGAACAAGGGGGCAGGCAAAAGATTCTCATGAAGATGAGGTCACAAACAAAGATTATAAAGCAACAAGGAAACCCTTCTGCCAGTGACAATAAAGCATTCTGAAGGGTAATAAAAATGAATATGTTAAAAATATGTAAATATTTAAAAAGAAAAAAGAATCCACAAGACAAGAAAAGAAATCTATTTTAAAAGAACAGGCATTTTTTTAGAGTCAGAAATATTGCAGTGGAGGAGAGGTAGCTGAAAATTCTTTACAATGCCTTGCTTTGAAAGGCAGTCTGGGCTGGCCTTGCAACCTGTTTTGGTCAATGGAATGTGGCAATAGTGATGTTGTGCAATTTATGAGGCTGGGCCTTAAGATATCTACAACCTCCGTATTTGTCTCTTAGAATGTTTCTGCCTGGAAATATTAAATATTAAAACAATATCCAATGACACTTGTTAAGGCATGGTAGGAAAGACTTTATGGACTTTATGGAGGGGGTGTGCTCTGTCTATAGGTATAGGAAGCACTGTAATGGAATTTTGCTGTGGGGAAGAGTTTGGGCTCAACTCTGAATTCCAAGGAGCAAGATGGGGTCAGTGAACAAAAAATTACTAAACCAAGACATAAGGGGGTAAGGAAGATTCTGACTAACTTGATCTAACAGGATTCCTTGCTGAAGACAGGCCAGGATGATCAGACATTATCTCAGGGATGGTGAAGGCTGAAGAACCAGTCAGATATTGAGAGTGATCAGATATCCAGAAAGGAGTAAGGGATGGTCTTGCTAAAGTGACTTAGCAAGGCTCTTGCTAAAAGTGGATTTTACAAAAAGGGTACAGATAAGCCTAGGAGAAGTTTCAGGAGCCTGTCAAAAGTTTGGTCAAGCAAAGAATCTGTCAGAATCCAGCTACGATGCTATGAGAATCCCAGGTGAGCCACATGGAGGGGAACTGGGCCATTTTGCTGGACAGCTCCAGCTGAGCTCCTGGCTGACAGACAGCACCACCTGCCAGCCAGGTGAGGGAGGCCATTCTCCCAAGGCCATTTAGGCACAATCAAAGTGATGCCACAAGCAGCAGCAATAAGCCTCCCCTGCTGAGTCTGGGCCAAATTACAGCCTTGTGAGCAAGTAAATGACTGCTGTTCTCTATGCTGTGTTATCCAGCAATCAATAACGGAAGAGACCATTGTGTAAAAGCTGCAGTTCAGATGAAGAGATGGGACATACCTCGATGCCAAGTTTCTTTTGGGCGAACTCTGAGGCAGATACCAGGCAGGCTTTGTTGGAAGGGAGCCACAGATGGAACAGAGAGCAAGACACACATGGTGTGGCAGAGAGAAATGTCTGGCAATAAGGAGCCAGACCTGAAAATGAGTTTTAAGTCATCCTGTAAGCAAGAAAAAATTTCAGTGTTTACTGTTTCAAAACAGGAAGCTTTATCATTTTAAGTAACTAACTTGGATCTGGTTCTTTTTTATTTGAAACTTCACTTGTATTACATGCTGTTTATTGTCAAAAAAATCATTGAAAACATATTATGTTAAATAAAAAGAATGTCTCTGCAGATAATTCGCTAATTAGTAAGTCATATGCTTTATATTTGCTTCTCTTGGTTATTCCTTGAAACTTTGGCTTCCAGGCCGCAAACCTCAAGTCCTCTATTTTCAGTTTAGTACCAACTATCTGCTGCCAGCAACTGTCCCAGACTGCCCTTGAAAGGTGCCTGTCACTGGGTGGGCTATCAGTAAATATTTAGACAATTGAAACTCATTGACTTCTTGAATGAATATAATGTGGGTTACCACTGTCCTAAGGGATTTCAGAGGGACAGTTATTTTCTTATGGACCAGCTAGAAATAAACTGGCCGTTTAAAATGGCTCTATAAACTGAGATCATTTGTGAGAAAGAGTTAACACCAACCCTGAAGTGCCTAACTTCTGTGCTTAGAGAACTGTGAAACAATATGTACTAATAGAATGGAGTAGAATTCATGTTGGCAAATGCTTTCTTTCTTCTTTAATTTTTAAAAGTTTGTTTATTTATTTATTTACTTATTTATTTATTTGACATGGAGTCTCGCTCTGTCGCCCAGGCTGGAGTGCAGTGGCACGATCTCGGCTCACTGCAACCTCTGCCTTCTGGGTTCAAGCAATTCTCCTGCCTCAGCCTCCCTAGTAGCTGGGATTACAGGCGCCCACCACCACGCCCAGCTAATTTTTGTATTTTGGTAGAGACAGGGTTTCACCACGTTGGCCAGGCTGGTCTTGAACTCCTGACCTTAAGCAATCCACCCGCCTCGGCTTCCCAAAGTGCTGGGATTATAGGTGTGAGCCACTGTGCCAGGCCTCCTTTTTAAAAAAATCCTTGTCAACAGCTTTACTGAGGTAGAGTTTATATAACATTACATTCACCCACTTTAAATATAGTTTGATGAATTTTAGTAAATTCATCTGATTGTGCAAGCACCACCATCCAGTTTTTTTTTAACACTTCCGTCACCCAAAAAGTTCCATCCTGCCTGTTTTTAGTCAAAAAAGTAGATATCCCCGACATCTTATGACCACAGATCTCCTTTCTGTCTGCAGGGTTTTGCCTTTTTTAGAAATTTCATATACATTGTAATCACATAGTAGGTGTCTTTGTGTCTGGCTTCTGGGAAAAATATTTTTGCTCATTTTCTGTTACTTCTCTTATACTTCATCTTGTCTGGTCATATTCACTGGCAAATCATGGGAACTTGACCACAGGCAGGAGCGTGAAAGCTGGAGATCAGAGTTAAGATTCTGAGTCCGCCACTCTCTGCCTGTCGACCATGAGCAAGTCACAGTTCTGAACTCCATTTCCCTGCCAGGAGCATTAGGGTCATCATGCTTCCTCAGTCTAGGAAGAACTCAGATTTAAAAGATCCATCAGCTGTTCCCACAACAGTTGATACAATACCGATGTAGTTCCTTACCAACTGGTAATAGCCACTGTCCAGAACACCTGCAGGCCGCCTCCCCTACCAGCTTAGCAAACTCAGCCTCTCCATTAGGACCCGTTAGATCTTTCTGTAATCTAGCCCCCACCCCCAACCCCCAAAAAGGAATACAACCTGATACAGCAGGGGGCCCAGGCCTCTCCCTTAGCCCCCTGCACTGTGGTTAGTGTCCTTTCTGATTGTTTAGTGCCCACATCATACCCAATGTGAAATATTAGGAATAGATCCTCTGTTGACAGGAGGCAGGAGGATGGAATAAGAAAGTGGAGGTGAGGGGATTTGGAGCTGGGGCTTTGAAAGAAAGGGCTATAATCAGACTGGAACCAAAACGCTAAAATGTATCCAGGATAAAACAAACAAACAAAGTCTTACATTTAGGTTTAAAAAAGAAGGGCACAATAATAGAGTAGGGTGACTTGGTGGTCAGAGACCTGGAGATTATGGCCAATGACAACTCTCTGTGAGCTTTCAATAGTATGTCAGAACATTCACTAAGAGGTGAATAACAGACCAAATATTTACTTACCTGAGACGCTTGTCCAGGGGCCTATGAGCCCTCAGCTGGGCACCAGTGCATACAGGGCTCTATGTTCAGAGCATGGAAGGAAGCTACTCAGCCTGTCCGGGGCTGCAAGTACACCTGAGTCTCGCCTCAGTGGTTGTGTAGTAACTAAGTAGCACAAAGAACTTGCTCCATCCCTGTCCAATCAGACTGAGCTAGAGTACTGAGTTAAGGTCCCCCGCAGAAGGACCCAATGGCTAGAGACCCACTAGAGTGTCCTGGGGACCACTCGGTGCTATTAAGAGACCCATGTGTGTTTAACTCAAGAAAGGGAAGAATAAGGAGGCAAGAGACAGGTATCCTTAAATGTCTGTAAATCTGTGAAATGAGAGAAGCTTCAGCCTAGATTTCTGTGGCTTACGTTGGAGCACTGCAGGGCGTAGATTTTGTTGAAGGCAATTTTCCCTGAGCTCTCCAAAGGTGGAGTGGGATGCCTAAGGAGGAGGAGACTTTGTTCCTTGGTATTTGGGTCAGAGGCTGGACACGCCACCTGTCAGAAATAATTAGAGGCAGCATTCCCATGGGGAGCATGTTAAGGAGGAATTCTTGTTCTCCTCTCCTCAAATTTCCACAAAAGGGAGGCTGTTTCCATTCCATACCCCAAAAGGGGAAATGTGAACTAAATAATTGCCATTTTTCTTCAGATGCACGTGTATATCCTCTCTCCTTCCCACTGGTGAACTTAGTGATTTTATAAATTGGTGAATTTAGAAAAAGGAGCTATATTAGTCTGCTTGGGCTGCCACAGCAAAATACCACAGACTGGGTGGCTTAGTCAACAGAAATTGATTTTCTCACATTTCTGGGGGCTAAAATGATCAAGGTGCCATCACGGTTGGTTTCTGGTGAGACCTCGCTTCCTGACTTGAAGACAGTCACATTCCCACTGTGAACTTACATAAACTTTCATCTATGCACACAGGGAGAGAATCTATCTCTGTTCTTGTTTCCTCTTCTTATAAGGACACCAATTCCATCAGATTAGGGCCCCATCCTTATGACACTACTTAATCTTAATTACCTTCCTCAAGGCCCTATCTCCAACTACAGCCATATTGGGGGTTAGAACTTCAATATATGAATCGCGGGGGGGGGCACAATTCAGTCCATAACAGGGGCTGAGTATGCTGACTCTATAGCTCTGTCTACCCCGAGGTGCACTCTGGCCTCTTCTGTACCACATGATAAGCTTAGCCTCTTCCTATGATGGAGATGTCTGTGGCTGCTCAGCTCTTCCTGAGGCTTGTGGGTACATTTCTTTCAGAAATCAGAAAATATTAGGAAGCCTATGATGCTCACATATTAGCCATATCCTCCTTTCTAGATTTTACTAGCGATAAAGCTAGTATTTTGATTTTTCACCTAGCTCTGTGTTGTATTTCTCAATTGGGGAAAAGGGGGTGTTATTTAATGGATTCCCTAAAACAAACAAGGGAAGAAGCTGGAAACATGAGCTCCTTCTAAGATTGCACCCTCTTTCAGTCCTGTGCTGTATTTCCTTCTGTCTGTGTCTGAATAGAAGCCCCAAAGAGCTTGGGTTTTAGATACAAGATAAGTTCATGTTTGGAATCAAACTGTTACCCATGGGTAACTCTGCCATTCCTTTTAAATTTAGCATAGAGGTATTCGGCAACCGGATTTGCCAAATTTCTATCAAGGAAATATTAATCCACATAATGTCAGCAAAACAACTTGAAATCTCTCCAGGTAAATATTGATGAATCTCTGAGCTTTCTGAAGATGCAAACATCTCAGCAGTTGCTTATAGCCTCATGAAATGCATTCTGTTCAACACAGAGGCAGCTCTCCCCAGGAAACAAGTGAACCTTTGTTTGTTCTGTTTATTTGAGGAATTTATTAAGTTGGACTCTCCCATGAAAGTTTGGGTAGGCACCTAGAAAAATATTAACCTTTCTCTGAAAAGAGGCTCAACTCTTGGAATGCTTCACACAAATGCATTCATTCTTGGGAAAATACCAGTTTAAATCAGGCACAAAAGGTCAGAATGCTAGAACCCTCCTGTGCATGCCCCAACTTTTTTCTTTCCTTGGAAGTGTCCCCTTCAGTTCCAAGCAGAAAACTTGAACCCCTCCTGTGCACTTACTCCTGGCTCTAGACATTAATAGGCATACATACAATACCATGCCCTAAAGCCACTCACCTTTCTCTACGTAGAAAACTCCAGTTACCAAGCATAAGCCTTGGCTGGTGTTTAAATGTGCACCAGGAGATATCACACTAGGCAAGGCTTTGTGTGAAAAGGACTTCCAGTTTGAATGAGGTAGAAACTGGAAGAAAACAAGCAACGCAGTGAAATCCTGTTGACCTTCACTGTAACCACTAGGATTTGAAGAATGAAGTAGTTTGTTCTGTTTAATCCTTAAAAAGATCCTTCATAGGATTGTTCATAAGGATCCTTAAAATATCCTTCATGATTAGGGAAAGTACAATCCCTAACTCATATGTCTTTGGTGCTCTCTTAACTTGTCCAAGTGCTCACATGTGCCCACTGCCATGACTGGGCAGTTGGAGGCAGATGATACAGGTCAGTTTTATCCTTCCCCACAACCTTCCATAGAGGTAAAGAAAAGGATACAAGACAGCTAGTCAGGAAACCTGGGTGACCTTAGGCATCCCATCTCTCTGGGTCTTGTTTTTCTCAACAATGCTAGATCAGTGTTTCCCAAATTTTATCGATGATTAAAATCTCCTAGATGGCTTTTTAAAATACAGATTCCAGGCCCTTGCTCTAGGAATATTAATCCATCAGATCTTGGCTAGCAACCAGGAATCTTTATACTGTATGAGCACTCCTAACCCAAATTAGACTATGAGCAGGGAAGGTTTGGAAAACACTGAATTAGATGCTGTAAAAACTCCTTTCCAGATCTAGTGATGGAAGTTTTAGGTGGATCATCTGAATTTAGCATGGCAGTTGCTATCAGTCCAACTTTCTCCATCTTTACCCATTCAGAGGACTTAACTGTGTGGAGCACATTGAGAGCAGCTCTTTCCAAGGGGATTGCGGGGGAGGTTTGTAATCAGCAGCAGTCAAGCAGCTAATTAAATATCCAGATTATCTGGTAAATTTGTGCTTATTCCGTCCTGCATTGTAATTCACCAGCTGGCTTTATTCAAGTCTTCAAAGGTTTGCAGAAAATGTTTCAGCCTATAATAATAATATCTCTGAAATTCCAAGACTGACAAAGATAAGACATTATAATTATGCACACACGATTATACATACTTTAATAAGCATGTGTGATAAGCAAATTTTATAAATCACTTTCTTCTCCTTTGTTGTGTCTTTAGCCTCAGGCTTCTACTTTATTCTCAAAAAGAATACCATGGGTAGAAGAACTTTACGGTGTTGAAAAAAGAAACGAAAGAAGGACAGAAAGACAAAAAAAAGACAGAAGGATGAAAGAAAGACAGAAAGACGAAAGAAAAGGAAAGAAAAAGAAAGAAGGAAAGAAAGGACAAAGAAAGAAAGAAAGAGAGAAGGAAAGAAACCACACCAAACCTGTTCATCACTGTAATGATTGAGATTTACAAAAAATAAAGTTTCACACTTTTTAATTTAGCATCTACACAGAAAAATTGAAATTTTTAAAAGGAGTCTTGACATTAAGAACTCAATGATCTCTAACGATGTGGTGGATGAAGTATGCTGCTCACCCACTGTATTAGTCTAGGTTCTCTAAAGGGACAGAACCAATAAGATACACACACACACACACACACACACACACACACACACACACATATATATATAAAGGGGAGTTTATTAAGTAGTATTAACTCACGAGATCATGATGTCCCACAATAGGCTGTCTGCAAGCTGAGGAGCAATGAAGCCAGTCTGAGTCCCAAAGCTGAAGAACTTGGAGTCCAGTGTTCGAGGGCAGTAACCATCCAGCACAGGAGAAAGATGTAAACTGGGAGGCTAAGCCAATCTAGCCTTTTCACATTTTTCTACCTGTTTTTATATTCTGGCCACACTGGCAGCTGATTAGACGGTGCTCACCCAGATTAATGGTGGGTCTGCCTTTCCCAGCCCACTGACTCAAATGTTAATCTCCTTTGGCAACACCCTCAGAGACACATCCAGGATCAATACTTTGCATCCTTCGATCCAATCAAGTTGACACTCCGTATTAACCATCGCACCCAGCCACTGAAGAAAAACTGAAAATGTTGGATAGACTATTTTCAAACTCTTAAAAGTGCTCTGATGCATGGACCATTTAGTAAAAGATACTAAGGGTCTCAGCTAAGTGAAAACAGAAATGCAGAGAGGTAAGTGTAGGCTGGATCTAGTTTCTGCTTTGAAAATATTTAGCAAATAAGGTGAATTTTCCTTCAAATTTCACAGCATTAAGAGAGAAAGCCTAAGGAGGAGTCCCGTCAATGTTAGTGGAATCTAGAAATAATAAAGCCCAAGTGACTTCATTAAAAAGTATCTATTTCAAACTGAGGTGCAGATGGAAGAGAAAAATCATCTAACTTAAGAATTCCTAACCACAAATTGGCCCTCATACATGTTTGCTGTCTGAATTCATTCTAACTGGCTGTTAAACAAAGCAAAACAAAAAAACCTCAGTCTATGAATTTAGTTTAAAGTTACCTTGGGCAGATAATGCCATAGACATCTGGTATAAGCAAATGCAAATCCTCTCTGGAGAAATTCACCTTCAGCCTAGGCTTTAAAGTATTTCCATAGAAAAAGTTCCAAGACTTATGAATGTATACAGTCAAAATTATAAAAATAACATAAGAAAATAAGTCACTATTAGTGAGATCTAGCAGGAATAACACACAGTAGAATCAGACTTCAGAGATGGGAAAAATAAAAAATAGAATGTTCAATAGTTATTTTTAATCAGTTTAAATCAATAAAAGATGGAAAATAGGAGAGAACAAGAAACTACGAGACGTAATCAAACATATTTTAAAAAGAACAAAATATATAATGTTAAAAACTTAAATGATGACTTTAACAATTGATTAAATATAGCTGCACTGAGCATCAGTGAATTAAAAGATGGATCTGAAAAAATTATGCAATATGCAGCACAAAGAAACAAAGTGGCAGAAAATATGAATAGTAATGATGAGGAGGAGACTTAGAGTGAGAAGGATTAATATATTTCTAATTAGAATCACAGGAGAAAAGCGGAGAGAGATGGTTAGGGGGAGGGAAGGAGTGGAGAGAGAGAGAAATTAAAGAATAAATGGCTGAGACTTTTCTAGAGCTAATGAGAGATATCAAATCACAGATTCAAGTAGCCCCATGAATTTTAAGCAGGATAAAAAAAATCTCTAGACATATTGTACTAAAACCACAGAACTCCAAAGACAGAGAAAAATCCTTAAAGCAGCCAGAGCAAAACAACGGAGACCTGCAAGGGAATTACATACAGACAAACAGCTGACTTCTCAACAGCAGCGAAGGCATTCAGAAGGTCCTGAGGGAAAGATAATCTCAGCATTCTAAGAGAAAGTAGCTGTCAACACAAAAATCAATATCTGGCAACGTTTTTTGTCAAGAGCAAAGGTGAAATAAAGACATTTTCAGACAGATGATGACTTTTCCTCCAACAGGCCTCGAATAAAGAGGATTTTAAAGGATGCACTTTCAGAAGAATAAGAGTAATCCCAGATGGAATTTCTGAAATGCAAGAAGAATTAGATGAGCAAAAACAATGACAAATATATGGGAAAATCTAAACAAATATTACTAGATGAAAAAATAATGGCAATATTTTGTGGATTTAAAATACACTTAAAATACATAATAACAATAGTATGTAAGATGGGATGGGGTGGACAGTTCTAAAATATCCTAAGGTTTTAACGTTATGTGCAAGGGCTGTAAATGTATTAATTTTTACTTTAAAAGTCATGTATGCATGTTGATATCTCTAGGATTAAAAAAACTGAAACAGAAGATGAATACATAATTTCCAAGTTAATAAATAGGAAAAATGAGAATGAAAAATCTTTATCAAGCAAAAAGCAGAGAGGACAGAAGGGAAAAATAAGCATACAGAAGGCAGGAAAAATAACATGAAATAAATCCAAATATATCAGTAATTATGATAAGTAAAAATAGCTAAATATTCTATGGATACCATCTAAAACATGCAAGATGATGAATGTAAATGGATAAAAATAGCTAGATGAAGCAAATACTACAAAAGAAAGTGGATGCACCTATAATAATATTAGGTAAAATAAACTTTAATAGAGCAAAAAAATGTACAAGAGATAAAAGGTCACTAAACAATAATAAAAGGAATTTGTTCACCAAGAACAGATAACTTTTAATCAATATTCACCCAGTCACATAGTCTCAAAATACATAAAACAAAGAATGCAAATAATGACAAGAAGAACCAGAGAGATCCACCATCAGAATAGAAGACTTAAACATATTTCTCCATAATTTTTAAATCAAGCAGGCAAAAAATCAGTAAGGATATAGAAGTTTAAACAATGTAACTAACATACCTGATGTGATGAACATACCTAGAACCTACATCCCCAAATGGAGAAATTCATATTTTTTCAAGCACACACTAAAAATTTATGAATATTTACTTCATAAAAGGCCATAAATCAATCCTCAACAAAGTTCAAAAGATGGCTACTATAGATCACATTCTCCACCTACAATGCAATTAGATTTAAAAATCAGTAACAAAGAAGTTACATAAATCATGTGTATTTAGGATTTAGGAACACTTTAACTCATGGTCCAAGGGAAATCACAGTGGGAATCAGAAGAAAATTATAATTAAGCAAAACTCATAGGATGTCTCTTAAGCCTTACTTGGAGGGAAATTTATAGCTTTGAAATGATTATATTTTAAAAAGCTGCAAATTAACAAGTTAAGTACATATATATTTAAGTTAAAAAAGAAATGGTTATTAATGTATCAATATTTTGTGAACAAAATTTACAAACTATTTGGGAAATAAATATAATAATGTCCTTATTCTGTGTAGACACCTAGATTTAGCTATGCCTACCATTTGTTTAGTAAGTACTATGTATCAGACTTGGTGCTGAGATAAAACTTCTATATAATTTAGGAATGTAGACCCAGAAGGGGAAAAATAGGAAGAAAATAAATTTTAAAAGCTACACTATGCATTTGTATTATTAAGTTTGTAAGAAGATGGCTGTATAAGTGGCTGGAAAAATATTTACAGTTTCAACTTACTTTAACAGACCTAGAGCTTTTAAAGCACTGGTTTTGTGCTTTAGTACAGGTTACAAAAATCTTCTTTCATAATTTAGTGATATCAACTCCTTAAGAAAAGATGGTATCATTGGGGTAATATAGAATACTAAATAGTCACTGTTTGCAAGACACAGTGCCAGATGCTATGTTCTGTGGGGTAGGAAGGGGAGAGAGGACAAGAAATTTTGAAGAGCCACTTGAGTGTGATAGGCTTTTAACTTTAACACTTAGCCCACCTCTTAAAAAATCCCAAATTACCCCAAACAACCACCTATAAAATCACTATTAACTACTACTTTAAACTATTCAAAGATTTTTATTTTTATTGTTAGTAATGGTGTAAAAAGGTATCTCTTCCACTGCTAATAGCAGTATAAATCAGTAAAATTCAGCTGGAGACCACTTTTAACCTTATGTTATAAAGACTTACGATGTTATACATTGTTTAGCCCAGCACTTGTGCATTTAGAACTTTATCCCGAAGAAATAATTACTAGAGTGTGCAAACATTTAGCTGTAACAGCAGAGGTTTATGATAGTGAAAACCTAGGGACAATTGAAAAGTCTAAAAAGAGGATATTAAATAAATTATGATAATACTGACATTAAAATAATATCATAGAAGAATATTTAATGACATGCTTCATAATATTAAGTGAAATGAGCAAGTTACAGAGCAGTATAATCTACTTTTTCTGCATATAAAAAATTACTGTAAGGACATAAACCCATATGTTATTATTGCTAGTTATCTCTAGATGTCAAAATTATGGAAGAAAGTTTTCTTTCTTGTTTTGTAGTTTTTCTAATCTATATTGTTTAAATTATCTGTACTATTCATGTGATTGCAAAGGAAACAGTAAAATGTATATATTTTAAAAATAACTCTATTTCTAGTGTTTTCTTATTATCTTATGAAAACCACTGTCCAATTTCTTTTGTTCTGCTTGCATGGCCCTTTGGAACTGGTGTGGCTTTAAACCAAGGCTGTCTCTTTGAATTCTAAGGTCTACTATACAGTCTGTGAGATGTCTACAGAGCTTGAATGTTCAACAACATATGAAGATGAGTATTGTTTATATTTCCAGTTAGAAATATCATTCTGAGTTTGTAAAAAGATGCAGATATTTTAGCTTAAAATTGAATGGATGCATCAGAGTTAATTAGCAATGCTTCAAATTACAGACCACTGCCTCTTCTTGTGCAACTAACCATCAATTAGCTATGCTAATGAGAAAAGCAGGAAATGATTGCAGGAGAAAATGAAATCAGTAGGGAAAAAAGAAAAACAACTGATTTTAGTCTCTAGTTTCAGCCATCAATTGTCAAAACTTACCAGGATTACATATAAGTATAAATTCTAACCTCTCTTTGAAAGAGGCAGTGTATTAATAAGAAAGTAATGTTAATTCTTTAGAAGTTTTTTCTTTTCTCGATTATCCTTCAGAGATGCCATACCTAAATAATAAAATGACCAGAATATGAGCAGCAGGAAACTTATAGACAAAAGGTTCGTCAGTGGTTCTAGTGTAATCCCTAGGGGAACACTTAAAAAAATATCAGCATAGAGGTCTTTCTCCAAACCATTTAAATCAGAATCTCTGTGGAAGGTGCTAATTAATCCATAAGATGCAAAATGTATTTCAACTTGATTCCAGCTGCTGAATATTTGCTTTACTCTGAGTTCTCTTTTTGGACAGGAAGGGACTCTGATAAACCACCTCTGGTTCTTTCATCCCCACCTCCATCACTCCATTTTTAGGCAGGAGAACTTTCCCAATGAGACAGTCTTACAGGTGTCTCCTGTAGGATCTTTAAATACCTTCCTACTGGCTCTCTTCTCTGTTAAGGGCTTGGATGATTTTCTCAAAGAGAAACTTTTATGAGGGAATGCAGGATTCCTAAGCAGTATCTCCCTACCCAGTGCCATGATAAATATTTGGATGCAAAGAAAACAGGAAATAAGTCATTGAATGGAGATTGCAGCTCCCCAGAGAGCTCCAGATGACAGGCTCCTGGAAAGTGTTCCAAGTTCTGTTTGTTCTCCAGTCCTGAGAACAGTAATCTTTGCGGCTGTACTTTTCCTCTTCTTTCCCTAGATTTCACTTTTACAACTTTAAAAAAGTATAATAGCTTGCATTATATGCTTACTGCACAAAGTTTTAAGACAAAAGAATTACAAATAGCAAAATTGAAATCATCTGTGAGCCTCCCTCTTCCCCACTCCAGAGAAACATATCATTAATGTCATTAATGTATATCTTCCATGTTTTCTATGTGTAGAAACATGTATTTTATTTTACAGAATTGAGTCATCATATATGTACACTTTTGTAACTTGCTTTTTAATCTTAACCTTATGTTTTGAGTTTTCTGGATCATCAAGCTTCAAAATCAAGATTTCTGTGTATGCAGCAAAGCCCATCATAGATATTTACTATCATTTATTTAACCATCCCTCCACATTAGATCTTGATTATTACTTCTGAAATCTGCCTTGTTTTATCTTTTTCCACTATTTATCAGAAAACAAGATCAGCCCTGGTGGGTTCATACCAATTACTTTTCCTAACTGGTGCTTGACATTGTATCCACTAATTTCCTAAAGTCACAGATGATAATTACAGATACTGAACCCTTACACCCTCCTATGCTACATATGCTTTTCTCCAATTTTTGTAACCAGCACTTGCTTAATCGGTGATAATACTGCTTTTCTTCCTTTAGGCTAAGCCACACTCCTCAAAAATCCTGAAGTTTACTTCACCGTCTTCCAAATATGTATGTATGTATGGAAGATTCATCATTTTAGTAGCTAACTTACACTGAATGTTACTGTATATACTGTGACAATAGGTTTATATGATTTTTTAATTTGACCTTTATGATAATAACACGGGGTAAATACTACTATTATTCCCATTTTACAAAGAAAGTGAGGCTTCTTTTGAGTAACTTGCCCAATATCACACACAACTAGTAAGAGGCAAAGCTGGGCCCTGAACCCAGAACTGTTTTCTTCTGAACCATTTTTTTCATTATTATTAACTAAAGTCCGTGTTTATTAAAATTTTCTTAATTTTTACCTAATGGCCTTTTTCTGTTCCGGCATCACACCCAGGATAAAACATTACATTTCTTTGTCATTTTTCATTAGGTTCCTCTTGGCTATGACAATCTCTTAGACTTTACTTGTTTTCTCTAACAGAGTCATCCCTCATCAGCTACAACACCATAGCAGATATAATTCATTGTGCATTACTATGTATGGTTCTGATCCTCACAGCAACCCTCCAAAACAGATGTTTTAATCCTCATTTTATAGATAAGAAAATTGAGGCTTAGGGAGATGAGAACTAATGGTGCAGTTCACAAAGCTGGTAAATAATGGAACTCAGATCCTGACCCAGGACTATCTGACCTTGAGTGTCATGTTCTTTTCACTACTCTGGTTTAGATGACTTATACATGCATGCTTTTTATAAATAAATCTGAATGCTAAAACCAGAGTCAGGGTGCCATAAAGAAAAGTTACATCTGGTTCAACTTTCTTATCTAATATCCAAGCACTTTCTATAGATTATCCAACGAAAATTTCTAAATATATAGTCAAAAGGTATCAGTGTAGTTTGTACACGTTTCCACAAAGCCTTGCCCAATTTTGAACAGTCCTGATTGTTAGAAAGCTCTGTGTTCCTCCAACTGATTTTTATCCTTTGGTCTTAATGTGGCTCTTAGGAGCCAAACACAATCATCTAAGCCTTCTACCTAAGTACCCTGCAGGCAGACACATCTCCCCCAGACTCTCTTTTCCTGGCAGAGTACGGCTTAGTTTATATTTTCCTCAGCATCCTAATGATGCTACTTTAAATCACAGTGACTTGCAGTATCCCTGTTTAGTTGCAAGTCCTTATAGTGCATTTTGGTACAGCAATGTGTATGTCCTATACAATCAGGACTCAATAATTGCTGTTGACTTCTTCCTTAAAGGGAACCACTTACCACCATCACCATCCCTTCTCGCCTCCCCTCTCCACACACTACATTTCTAAATCCTCAAGTCCAAAGGACCCTAACACTGACACTTCTTGCAACCCTTTAAATGAGGCAGCTCTCCCTAGAAAACCCCTTGAGACACAAGTTTGGAAAGTGAGTCAAACGTAAGAGGGATGTCTTCTCCGAGTCTGAGAAGCAAGTTAAAGGGCAAAAGCAGTGAGCCGTGGACGCCTGGAGACAGTTTCTTTCTTCCTGAATTCCCCAAAGCGCAGAGACAGACAGGATCTGCCAGGACAGCGCGCAGGGCGGGGCGGGGACAGGCGCGCCAGGAGCGGGGCGGGCTTCCAGCCGCTGGTTTTGCTGAGGGCTGAGGGACGGCTCAGCGACGCCACGGCCAGCAGCGCTCGCGTCCTCCCCAGCAACAGTTACTCAAAGCTAATCAGATAGCGAAAGAAGCAGGAGAGCAAGTCAAGAAATACGGTGAAGGAGTCCTTCCCAAAGTTGTCTAGGTCCTTCCGCGCCGGTGCCTGGTCTTCGTCGTCAACACCATGGACAGCTCCCGGGAACCGACTCTGGGGCGCTTGGACGCCGCTGGCTTCTGGCAGGTCTGGCAGCGCTTTGATGCGGATGGTGAGTAGAACAAGCCACTTGCACACTCAGGTGTAGACGTGGCTCCAAGCTCAGCCCGCTGAAAGGACCTGGAGTTTCCCCTTTACTGTAGGAAAAGTTATCGACCTGGGTTGTTAATGCAGTGTACCTAATACAGTATCATTAACAGACGTTTGGCATACTGGTGATACACATCTATATACCTTGTTAAAATTCTGGGTGGTGAATTTCCACTTTCCCCTTTCCAATCTCTCTTTGTGTGCGAGCGCGCCATATATATGGTAGACATACATATATATTGTATATACAATGACTAATATCATTGTATATGTTCAAGGCTTGTGGGCTGAGACTCAGCTATTTGAAGTCATCCTTCCCTAAATGGGCTCACTTTTACGCAGTGACTTTGCTGTACACCCCTCACTCTCTCAAAATGAGAATAAATTTTATCAGCTTTCAAAACGACTCCTCCACCAAAAAACTACTTGAAAATAAAATGGAACTACTTAATATTTGTTTTTATTAATAAAGAAATAAAATATCTAAAAGGTGTGTTTTAACTCTGCAAACTGGGATTCAATACTTACACCTGTTAAGTTTCTCCAAGCTTCAGAAATTTTGGGGTTAAATTTTATTGGAAAGTTCACGTTTATTCATTGATTAAAATTCATGTACTTAATAGCCTTCCTTTTCCAAGCACTAATATAAACCCTAGCATAAAGCACGTATTCTGGAACAGTGTTTACTGTTCAAACCCATGTATTCTAGAGGTAGGTGTTGGCACTTTGTTATTGGAATAACAAAAAATAGTGTTGAGGGAAGCTTTATGAATTGTGAGATTAAAAACATATTTAGATAAATACTGTCATGTGTTTTTTATATGTTAGTATTATTTATGTTTATTTTCTCACATTTAGAAAAAGGTTACATAGAAGAGAAGGAACTCGATGCTTTCTTTCTCCACATGTTGATGAAACTGGGTACTGATGTAAGTACTTGCACACTAAGCCTTAATTTATGCCTCTTAGTAAGATACGCACATCCAAGTCTTATATTGATTGGTACCTATTAATTCCAACTCACCTCCTTTCTTCCTTGCATGTATGTAATTTCTCCCCCTCTCCTAGCAACATAGAGGGATTTAGGCAGTTTTTATAAAAGGTGCAACTGTAGCATTAGACATGCTGGTTACTGACTTTCAGTGTAACATCTGTCATCCACTCAGAGATCCTAACTGTAGACTCAGTTAACTTGGTCTTGAACGTCTCCTTGGTTATGTCTCTGCTAATTGATTTATACCTGGGGGTAAAGTAGCCCACTTTGTTCAAAAAGCTGGAAAAGATGTTAAGCACATTAAGATTTTGGGTGTTTAATATGTATGATACTCCTCTGATAGCAAACCACAAACCATTTAAAATCATTTATCCATTATTCATTTTATTAGAAGAGGTTACAGATTTTTCAGGGAATGACAAACCAGAAAACAACCAGCATACTCAGAGCCCAGATACAAATGGAAGCCAATCTATCTAGTGTCCATCTGATGGTAAATATGTCCTTGGGAGATGTAAATGAACTCTTGAAAGTCTCTCTATCAAAGCAGAGAAAAATTTTACACAGAAACACATGAGCGGAGGACAGCCTGGGGATGGGCTCGATCTGATGAAAGCTCCAGTAGGGCATTCATAGTAGAAGGAGACGCTCTAGGGACAATTGAATTTAAATGAATGATGGAGATAGTTTGTCCTTATCATTCAGCTGTTTATCTGAAGAATAGAAGTGCATCACATTCTCATGTGAGAGCTCAGTGAGGGAACAAGGAGCTCTTCACCACTGTTGAGAACATGGGGAGGGTATGTGGGGGGCAGGGGAAGCTGGTTCAGAAACAAAAGGGCTGGCTTCCGCCTTCTTCAGCCACACAGATCTCTTGGTCCCCCTCTACTTCTGTCTGCCTCTCATATTCTGTCTGTCTCTCTTTTTTATGTCTATCTCTGTCATTTTTCTGCTCACTTCTGTTTCTTATCTCTGTGTTTCATGGCTCTCATCTCCTACTGTTTCTTGCCTTTCTCTCTGACCTCTCTGTTGCCCATCTTTCTTGTCTCTGTTTCTCATTTGTTTCTCCATCTCTCTGTCTCTGTGTTTTCCCATTCTTTTTCCAGTCTCTCTGCTTCTCAAAGCTCTTTTGGTCTTTCCTCTCCCCATGTCTTTTATTTCTCCTTTCTTCTTTCTTTCCCATCTCTCTTTTTGACCTTCATTTCTTTTCTCCACATTTTCTCCTTCACCCTTTTCTTTGTCTCTTATCTCCCTTTTTCTGTACCTTTTATTGCTCTTTGTCTGCCTGCACTCCACCCCTTACCCTGTGCAGCCTGTGAAGTGAAAGGATCAGCAGACGAGAAGGATAGAGACACAAGTCCCTTCTTTCCTCTGGTCAGACCACTTGCGCACACTCCTCTTTATCCTTCATTCTTGTACCTACACAAGCTACAGGTAGAGCTGAGGAAGCCTCCCCCAAGTGAGGCTTCTGCTTCAATCTAGCCAGCCACTTTCACGTGCTAGCAGCCCATGGTGAAGCCCACCAGCCTTGCCCACAGGGCTTCTACTTATATCTGTAAATGTAAGGTTCATCGTGTTCCAGAAACCCATCTTATCTATCATGGACATGGGTATTTGAGGAAAGCAAAAAGACAAAGTTAAAACCATTCAAAATCTTGGAATAAATGGGATGGCCAGCTCCTAAAAATCTGTCCTCAGGGACCTGGAACTTCTCACCTTTTCAGAGGGCTCCTTGTTCTAGTCATTTATAAAAGGGAGGAGAAAAATTGCTGTCACTGTTGAAGCTGGAGTATCTAATATTCATTCATCGAGTTGGGGTCTGCACTAAGATGAGGATGCTGTGAGATATCTTCATCTGAGATTTTGGCTAACCTTAGAAGCATTGTTGCCATTGTGAGAGAAAAGAGGGATGTCATCTCTTGCAGCTTGGCTGTTTTTATCATTGCCCCTATCTCAGACCTGGTCCATGGACTAATGCTCTTACACAGGGGCAAGCATAATCCTCGAGGAAAGAGGACAGCAAAGGACTCACTGGTGTCCTGCGCAACTGCATTCAGTGCAAATATCTCTGAGGCTGGAACGGGGGTTGGAAGTTCTCATAATCCTTAACCTAGTGCAAATCAAATTTCAGTATGCCTGAGAATTATATTTTTTTGTTAAAATGCAGACCCCTAGGTCTCATCCTGTAGGTATTTAAATACATTTGGGGTCTGCCAAAGATCTTTCATTTTAAAAGCACTCAAAGTCAGTTAGCATGTTTTTTTACCCTTTTTTCCTCTAGGAACAGTGACTTTTGGAGAGGGGATTCTGATATAATTAGGCCAATCCCACTGAGCTGTGGCAATAGCCTCAGGCACATCTCATGAGCACTTGGCTGGGAAGAAAGCTTTTGGAGCCAGGATGATAAGTTTGAACTCTTAACTAGAAATGATATCATCTGCCATTGGATGCCTTTCAAAACGCTGAGGCATTACTCTGGGGAGTGTGTTTGCAGGGACTTTCACTGGGCACTCCATGCTACCTGGACAACCATGATTAAGGAAGCTATTCCTAATTTTGGGTTTTGTCTCTGATGAGTAATAAGTAGGCCTTAAGCAAGTTCTTAACAATAGGGCAGGACTTCCAAAATGGAAGGCCCTTCAGTTGAGGAACAGTCACCATTTGATTGTGACACCTGCTTTTGATTGGTAATGCCCAGTGAGTACAGAATCCAGCAGCAGGGAGGCCTCCACAATCAGGCAGCCCCTTGCTCTGGTGTTCAGCAGTGGTAAGCCAACCTTCAGAGGCATGAATAGCTCTACTTTCCTCTGATGATTAGCGGATCACAGAGATCTCAGAAGAAGGTATTTTGAGGTTTCTAACAGCAAGCTGCCTGCTAGTCTATCCAGGAGAGCAACCAGCCTGCTTGTAATTACCTATTCCTCAGAGCCTCGGAGGGGATTGACTTAATGGAACCATCAGCTGCAATTGCTGCTGTTTCTGTTACTCCCTGCAAACCTTTTCTTTCCAAATGCTGAGATTTTAGCCAGTTCATGGATAAACATCAGATTCTATGTGTACATACCCCTCACATACAGACTGTACCACATCCTGGGCCTCTTTCAATACTTCAGGGATTATAGTACCCTGCTGTAGCCTAGCGTCTCAGATAAGGACTGATGGGAAATTACAACAGAGGAAGCCCCAGTTTCTTTTGCTTTAGGTCAAAGGGATAGTCATGAGCTTTGGGGTTAGGGGTCTGAGAAGACAGAAGCCAAGATTCTGTGTCCTCAAACTAAAGGTAATGTAGAATCTGGCCACTGTTACTTTGACTTCACATTTATTTACTTTAAAATCTAATTTTTCACCAACATGACCTATGTTAGTTAACTTCCTTTGGGAATTCCCAGCCCATCATAAAGAATCATTTATTCATCCAATGGATCCTGTGTTCCAGAGATAAAGAAATGAATGTTATACTTGTGGAGTTCTTAATCTAAAAGATCAAGCTGAATTTCAAAGTGAAGTTCGACCCTGTTGAGTGATTTCCATTGTGCTTTTCCTGTATGGTACATGAACCCTCAAATGTAAGCACACACAAAATCTTTAGTGCTGAAACTAGACAGGTTAATCCCACCACGATTAGTGGGGTATCACATGAGGTAACCTGGTTGACAGAAGAACCTGGAGTCTCAAAGAACCTGTTCACCTTCCACAGAGAATAAAAAAAATGTACCTATTGTCTCTGAAGACCCACTCCAAAGAAGACTCATGGTCGGTGGGGAAAGGACAACTATGTGTGGAGGCAGAAATCCAATGCTCATTCCCTGTCTCTCCATCTAGAGCTGTGTGATAGCAACATGCCATTTAAACCTCCTGGGTCTCAATTTTCCTATCCATAAAATAATAATTATTAGAATAATGTTTTGGCCTGCCTGTTTCACAGTGAAGACCCATAAGATAACACAAGTGAAAGGTGCTTTTAGTTGCAAAAGCACCCAACATATATGTTCTTATGCTGACGCAATATCTTCTTGGGTCCTTAGTTTTCCCAGTGTTTATTCTATGCCCCACTTTGCCTCAGATCCACCAAGGGGTTATCCCACACAGGATCATTGAAGCTTACTCTCTTAAACACTGAAATGCTTTTAAGATTTTATATATATATATAATATATATATTACGTGTATATATATATGTGTATGTGTGTGTGTGCATATATATATGATTTCCAGTTTATGAGAGCAAGTTTTCCAAGCTAGGGTAGCCTTTGGAGGATGCCTTAAGTCATACTCACCACCACTCTTTGGTCCTTCATGAGTAAAGGAGGCTACTCAAAGGAAGACAGAAGACAGACTGTCACCTCAGGGACCTGTTAGACTTGCTCTGTCTTAGACAAATGATACAGGCATTATCTCTCATTTCTTCACTTGATGCTTTGGTTCCAAATCACTAATGTATTTTTTCACATTTTTAGTCTGGTGTGTGTTCATTTAGAAAGGTATCCTTTTTTTTTTTTTTTTTTTTTTTTTTTTTTTTTTTTTTTTTTTTTTTTTTTTTTGAGAGGGAGTGTCGCTTTGTTGCCCAGGCTGGAGTGCAGTGGTGCGATCTTGGCTCATTGCAACCTCCGCCTCACGGGTTCAAGCTATTCTCCTGCCTCAGCCTCCCGAGTAGCTGGGACTACAGGCACGTGCCACCACGGATGGCTAATTTTTTGTATTTTTAATGGAGACGGGGTTTCACCATGTTAGCCAGCATGGTCTCAATCTCCTGCCCTCGTGATCCACCCACCTGAGCCTCCCAAAGTGCTGGGATTACAGGCATGAGACACCATGCCCATCTGGTATTCATTTTTTTTTTTAACTAGACCCTTCACTGTTCCCCATTTATAATCACCATATGAGTATGTTTGGTTGATGTTGACAGAGTCAGACTGTCTAAGTCCTCTTATTTTAATCATTTTGGGTTTCTAAATACAGGACCAAAGCCAGAGGTATAGCAGATGACCTTGATATGGCTAGGATGCACAGATCCATTTGACTGATACATCATCTCAATCACAAATGCTACTGGTTTGGGTTTATAATTTTAAAGAATAGCTATACATATAGATGCTATTTTTTAGTTCTTGTTCATATAACTTTAATTTTTTCACAAAGAGACTCACCTTCACTGCAATTTATTTCAAATAAAGTTTATTCCTCATTATTTATTATCCATTTGGGAACTATACAAACCATTAATTCATTAACCTCTTTCTGTTGCATGCATTTCATCTATTTATCATCATTTGCAGCAAAAAAGCAACAAGTGAAAAAAAAGGAAGTACAATTCTATCTTTATACTTGCTGACAAAAGTTTGTGTATGATTGAACAGGGAAGAGGCAAACTACTGACTGACATGAAACTTGGCAGTTCCCTATATATCCAGTATCCACACCAATCCTGGAAGTTTAGAGAATCAGATATTAGAGGATCCAATAGCTTAAATCCTGTCAGCTCACAGCATCTTTTCTACCTCACTATTATAACCCGACATCAAACATTTGCTATGCACCCACCTCCTGCAATGAGTTGGTACGATGGATGACAATTATCAGGGGCTGAGGTCTAGCATAATGCCCAGGAACTTCCCTAGCATTAAAATTGTTTTTGCTGACCAAAGTGTTCCCTGGTTTTCTAAGAATATGCTTTCAAACCTTCAGGGTCTTATAATATCTAAAGCTTGTGGTTATCTAACTAGTTGCCAGAACCCATCCTGAAAAATCCCCAAAGCAAGTCATCAAGCTGTCCTTGCATTTTGTTTGAACCATCTAATTTATTAACGACTTAATGTTGGAATGCAATGACTCCATTAGGTGTTCTCTGCCTCATCTCAACCAACAACAAGGTGCGGTGGAAAGTGCACTAGACCAGATATCAAATATGCTGGTTTCAAGATTGTTCTGCCAGTATTCAGCTGCATCACCCTTCTGGCCTGTTTTCTCCATCAGTAAAATGAAAGGGTAGTGTCTCAGATTCTTAGAAAGGGTGCCAAACATCCTCTGATTTTTTTTCTTCTTTATTCTTTTGCTTCTAAATCACAAAGACTAATCTGAAGGAATCATACGTTTTGATTTATAGTTGCAGCAATGGATAAAATTATCATGAATTTGAGTATTAGTCTTCATATGTTAAGATCTGGAAGGTAGAGAGTTTGTACTACTTTTCTACTAGATTTTCTACTCACTGGAAAACATTTGCCATATGCTGTCTTCCCTGGGTTTTATGCCTGAGAGCAACATGTTGTGCCAGGCTAAAGTGTTTTAGGACGTTTTGTTCTAGGAAGGACTAAAACAGAGCATGGGTTGTTCTGGCAAGTTCTTTGCCATATGCAAGAGGTCAACTGAAAAGATGACAGCCTGATGGGAAGAGGTGAGGACTGACAGCCCCTCCGAGTCAAGACTACAAAAAAAACAGAAACATTTTCTCAGCCAGTGATGGGAAAATGATAAAGGAGAATTTCCATGTAAGAAGCTGGAGCACAAAAGAAAAAAACAAGGTCCCCAAAGAGGAAGAAGCTAGCAGGCCAGCAAGGAAGCCAGGGGCTAAAGGTTATAGTACATTTTTTTCTGCCTCCCAGGGCCGTTGTGAAGATCCAGGGAGATAATATTTGTTAAAGAGCATGGCTTAGTGCCCATCCTCTGGCTGGCAGTCCAAAAATGTTTATTCACCTGCTCTTCTTTCCTATTCTTAGCAACTGGATGTGGCAGCTGTTAATTCCCCACCACAATTCTCTTTCCACCGTCTCCTCTTTTCTTTGTAACCCATTAGGGAGAGGTCTCAGTGGAAAGGAAGGCTGGACAAAGATGCCTTCCACCAGCCTGTGATGGAGGGCAAAGACCAGGTCTCTTTTGCTGACTATAATATCACCAGGGGCCAGAATTGTGTTTGGCACATGGTAGGTGCTTGACAGAAAGCAGTCTTTTCTGGGTTTTATACCTGAAAGCAACATGTTGTGGTGGGCTAAAGTGTTTTAGGACATCTTGCACCTGGGTTGTTCTGGCAAGTTCTTCCTTATCTCAGGATGTTGCATTACCAGCACATGCTGGGGTTATTCTTGAGAAATACAAGTGAGAAAGGCAGAAGAACTGAGTTAGCCCAAGGCCACCCAGAGAACTGTCCTGTACACATGTGCATGGATGATGCATCCAGAGAGTGTGCTGAAGGCTGAGTCACCTCCACCCCCAACACCAACAGGGAGGATAATGAGTCAACAGGATTACCTCTTCTCAGCCCTTCTAACTTACAGCTGGAGGGCTTGGGACAAGAGACAGCATGATAGTATTAGGGAGAATGAGTTTAGCATAAATTTCAGCAAGTCTAGAATCTTACAATTGGGCACTGTTTGGGATTATCTATGCTTCTCAACCCTTGCATCAGAATTCATTCTTTATTGTTGGTTACATATGTCACTTTTACTGTAGTAACCATAAAATCCACCAAAGAAGACAATTAAGGTTCTACATAGAAGGGAGTTGTAACATCTTTGGTTAACTCGGCAATTACCTTATTACTTTGGTCTCCTCTTTAATTATTTCTCCCTTCTCATTATGTTTTTTTCCTCAGAGAATACAAAAGAAGATTAAAAATGAGTTACAGACACCTGGGGGCCCAGAAGAACTGGACTTTTCAGTTAAAAAATGTAAAATCTCTGAGTTATTGGGAAGAAAATCTGTAATTACAATACAGTCTTTTGTCACAACCAAATACAACACTGTTCAAATTTGTTCTTTCAGCACCCTAGTCTCTAAGCTTCTTTTCATCAATATTTTAGTAACTCATTAACTGTAAATTGTACCTAGTCAAGATTCTGATTAGTGCTTGGTTGCTCAAGAAATCTCCAGCATTGCTCTCTCTTCTACAAAAGGGTAAAATCACTTTAAATGGTCAAGGAACCTGCTTTCCATGTTTGAAAAACATAATTTTCACGCTGTATATTTTGAATATTTGCCATCCTAACTATATCTTTGAGATTCCAGTGGCTTTAATGTGGCTCTGTTTGGTCAATTGCAGGACACGGTCATGAAAGCAAATTTGCACAAGGTGAAACAGCAGTTTATGACTACCCAAGATGCCTCTAAAGATGGTCGCATTCGGATGAAAGAGGTAACTTTACTGACAGTATTTTTCATGGCTCTACTCTTCTTGACTGTTTTTTTCTTTACTTTATCGTCTTGGGCTGTAATATTCTTTGAAAGACAATGGAAACTTTACATTTGATCAGGAAATTAGAGATTTCTGAAAGGCAGTTGGCCTAGATAGCATTTTAAAAGTAATCACCTCTCCTTTTTCATCTACTTAGTAACAAAGAGTGTGCAATTCTTTTATCATTTTATTTAGGTCAATCAATATTTGTACCTGTTTTATAATTTGGGAATTGAAATGATAGAGGCCTTTCAATTACTTGATCTACTATTTGTCTCTTTATACAGTGTCCTGTTCAAATTGAACATTGATATAAGGAAAAACTTACTGATAATAAATAAGGTTAAACTTCAGCATCAGCTCCCAGTGCAGGTGGGAAAGATCTATCCCTAAGATTATTAAAAGCACGACAGACAATAGGTGTCTTTACTTCAACTCAACCCACTTTTATGGAGCACATACTAAAGCATGTAACTATACTACATGTGTAGGGCTGTGGGGATGGTCTACAACTTACCTGATCATTTCTCCTTCCAGTTACAAAAATGTTTACAGTTTAGAAAGGACTTCCACATATATTTTGTTATTGTATTCCCATAGTAGTTAAGATGATGATAGGCATGAAACATTATCCCTATTTTGCTGATAAGGACTTGAGTTACTTTCCTAGAATAACATGACCAAATAAGTGGTAATGGTTTTAATGGAACCCTGCTTATAGATATGAATCTATACAGGTTCATACTATGTAGCTATAAATCTGTATGTGAAAATGAGTCAATCTGAAACTAAGATATTTTTTCATAGTCAAAATTGCCTGTTAGACATATTACCTAACACTGGGAGAGCTAGTCTCTTGATGCTGTGACACTGCCATATTTGAGCAGTCAATATTATTGAAGAAAATAATAGGATAATTTCTTCAGGAAGTTATGTTAATAGGGCAGGATAATGTCCCTTTATAAAAAGTGGGCGTGTTCACCAGGAGACTGCCTTTTCAGAAAACTAATAAACTAAACTCTAGATTTATGAGTGTAGCTGTTTCCAAACTTTTAATCAAAGGCAAAATTGTATATGTAACCAAAAATTCTCATTATACTGGATGTAAAAGTATCAATGTATGTATCAACAGAACAGTAAATGCAAACAGCAAGTTAGGTGCACTAAACAAAATATTCATAACTACATGTTCACTGTTGTAATTTTCCAGAACCTGGAACAGAGCATAGCACATAGTAGTGCTCAGTATTTCTTGACCTAATTAACGAATGAGAAAAACATAGCAAATAACTGAAAACTATGTCATTATCTTACTAACAACAGATAGACATTCCCAAGTAATTGGCCAACCATTTTGTCTTGTAATCCTGCACGTGAGTGTCATTGAGGTTGTTGTTTGTACAAAAACTGATGGTGCAAGACTGCATCGTTCCCAAGGCGCCTTAAAACGCAATGAGTCTGTGAGTCTAAGGAGCAGCAAGGCCTTTTGTTTCCCCTACATTCCCTTGCTGTACCATTGACCATTTCACTTACTCCAATTACAGGTAGTCGTGACATAAAAATCAGCCCACTTTGACTCATGTTGGATTTTCTAGCAAAAAACAAGATGGGAAAAAGGCCACCCTTAGTCTCAAAGGGCAGTTCCCAGTTCCAGTTGACCCTGTGTAGGTTGATGGGAAAAGCATGAAGTCAATATGGTGGAATATGAAACCTTAGGCAAGTTACTTAATTTCTCTGAGCTCAATTTTATCATCTTTACCAACATGGCAGTTATCATTTGTTGACTAATTGATATGTATGAGGTATGTTCCTAAACAATTTATAAATACTGGCTCATCTTACTTTTAGTCTTCCCATCAGGACCAGGATATCAATATTATTATCTCCATTTTCCAAATGAGGAAACTGAGGCACAGATATATTAACTAAATTACCTAAGATCAAATACTTAGTAAGTAATGGAGAAGAAATTTAATTTCACTCTAAAGCCTATAACACATTGAACTGCACTGCCTCCCATTGATAAAAAGGGGATATTTATACTCATCCTGAAAAACTGGTGTGAGGACTTAATGAGATGATAAATCAAAAGCACCTTGCTGGTACCTGCCATGTAGCAGGCACTCAACATCTGATAGTTATTGTTAACATGGTGTGTCCTTGAGCTGACCCATATCCAATTAGAAAATATGAATGAGAATGTGAGCTAATTACACCTAAATCCCTTCTGGAGCATTTGCTGTGGACTCACTCTGTGGTATTGTACAAGACACTGAGCAAACTACTCAGTTATAGAAGAAATGACAATTGTTTATGGGAACAGCTCAGAAAGAAGACAACATACACTACAATACTCTAGGTTTGGCAATGAACACAGCCAAACCTGAAAAAAAGTATTATAACTACATAGGGGAATAAGGTATTATTATAACTTTGTTCAAGGGAGTGCATGAAGTAAATCAGTCAAACTGGTGCTCATGTAAAAAAGCTGATTGGTTGAATTCATCATACTTGAGTCAACTGTTGTAGTATCTTATAGACACTAATAATGTAAAAGAATATAAACCATAGCTAACACTCAAGTATCAAGCCAGGCAGCAGTCATTCCTGCTTTTGCACTGAAATATTGTATGTATACAACATCTTACCAGCAAACCACAGTGATTAAAAGTGTGGGCTTGAGATCGCCAAGCTGAAATATTGACTTCATCACACACTAATTACAAAACTTTGGCAAGTTCCTTATCTCTGTATAGACCAGTTTCCTCAACTAGAAAATAACAGTAATGGTATGTGTGTACCCTATAGATTGTCATTAGGATTAAATGAATTAGCATACACAAGCATTTAGAATAATGCATGGCAAACATAAGCATTATTTGCTATTTTTATTTTCTGTTATTATGGAATTAAATTAATTTAGTATTGGAAGTTCTTAGAATAGTGCCTGGAACATATCAAGCACTTAACAAATTTATTGTTGATATTAATGTTATAGTCATCATTATTTTAGATTTTAAGCTCATTGAAGGCAGATATCCATAGTGATTTATACTTAGTAGGAGTGTGTTACTTTCTGAAAGAATCAATGAATCAAAGAATGTCAATCAAGAGCACAGAACTGCAAACCGAGCTGTTCATCCTGGAAGATCTGAGCCCTTCTGCCCTGGAATATGCACCACCATGCCTTTTACCAGGGAGCACTCTTGAAATGGACACTGGCCAGTGTCCCTGACTGTTATTCTTTCTGTTCCTTCAGCTTGCTGGTATGTTCTTATCTGAGGATGAAAACTTTCTTCTGCTCTTTCGCCGGGAAAACCCACTGGACAGCAGCGTGGAGTTTATGCAGGTGAGTGCTTGGTTGTGTCTCTGTGAAGAAAGAGGACTGAGACAAGGCTACGATCTTAGCCACCTGCTGTGGCTGCCACCACTCCTGCCCAGTGCTCAAGGGAGAGCTGAGCACAGAGGATAAGACCAAGCAAAAAATGCCTTAGTGATGAGGACTTTGGTCCCAAACCCCAGTGTTCGCTCAGTATTGTCCTGGGGTGCTCCTGAGCTGACAGGCTCCTTTAATTTGGGCTGGAGGAAACTTTAGACAAGAGGCCAGGCAGGTACACTGAAGAATGGAGAGGGAGGGGAGGTGGGGGACTATGGAAATTGGAGAGCATGTGCCCCATCTGAAGCCAATATCCCTATGTAGCTTCAGCCTTTTGAGAATGCTATCTAGGAATCTAGACTCTAGAAAATAGCAGCAACTAATTTTAGTTTTGAAGGCATGATGATACAGTCAAAACAATTCATTAGAGTGCTGGTCCAGCTAGTGGGCCTTCTGTTTATAACCATGGGAGAGTAAAAGTTAAAGGCGGTATCAATGGCCTCTCTTACCGCTTTCCCTCTGGGCTACCCCCTCGCTCAGCCTCTCAGTGTTACTGCTCTGTTGGTGAAAAACAACCAGGGAAGGGCAGATAAGGGTTTCCCCAAGGCCAGAGCAGCAGATTCAAGACAGCCACTGTATCCGGGACCCCACACTGGAAATAGTTACCATGTCCCCATTTAGGAGATAAAAAGTTTTGCATAGGCAATTCACAGAAGAAATTCTGAATGGACCATGAATTTATGCCAGTAACTCAGGAAATGCACATTAAGAAAATGATTTTTTTTTAAGCAAAATGGCAAAGATTTTAAGAAAATCCACAAAAATATGCAATACTTTCAAGGAAGCCCAGAGATTGTCACTGACGTTCTGTTGGTAGGCATACATTGTAGAATAATTTTATGGAAAGTAATTTTGGAAAAATTCAGTCAGGATCCTTTAAAATTTCATTATCCACAGTTATTTATTTATTTATTTATTTATTTAAAAAACTTTGTCCTGGCTGGGTGTGGTGGCTCACGCCTATAATTCCAGCACTCTGGGAGTCTGAGGTGGGCGAGTCACCTGAGGTCAGGAGTTCAAAGGCAGCCTGGCCAACACTGTGAAACCCCATCTCTACTAAAAAAAAAAAAAAAAAAAAATACAAAAACTAGCCGGGCATGGTGGTGGGCACCTGTAATCCCAGCTACTCGGGAGGCGTAGGGTGGAGAATCACTTGAACCCAGGAGGCGGAGTTGTAGTGAGCATAGATCGCACCATTGCACTCCAGCCTCAGTGACAAGAGGGAAACTCGGTCTCAAAAAAAAACAAAAATTCTACTTTTTCAGGCATCTATTTTATGGTTAAAATCAGATGTAGACAAAAGTTTTCTGTACAATGATGTTCATATAATGTTGCATCGTCACTTATAGTTCAAACTGAAAATAACATAAATGTCTAACAATAATGGAAAAGTTAGTTATGATATATTCATATAATTCATTCATTCTACAAATTCTTAAGAGCACCCTAATATGCAAGGCACTGTTCTAGGTGCTGCAGATTCATTAGAGAAAAACTCCGGTATTGAACATTATTAATCACTGAAGATCAAGTTTTCAAAAAATATTTAATGACATGAAGGAAATGCTATACAATGTTAAGAAACAAAATTGTATATGGAATTTGATCTTAACTTTGTTTAAAAGTTGTTTACCCTAAAGCCTGAATAAATAAAATATAGGTAAGAATACACAAAAAATATTGGTTGTTTGTAAGTGGTAGGATTTCAGGTGATTTTATTCTTTGTACTTTTGTATTTTCCAATTCTGTATAAAGTCATAATTATTTAAAATTTATTTTAAATGACATTTTCAAAACGATTCTAATTGTGTTTAAAAACACTCAGATAACATTTTTAATAAAAATAACAAATAGACTGCCCAAGTGTATAGACAATATGACCCCCAATTCTGTTTTTTAGTGTATGTTGTAGAAACATGATAGAAATGAAACACACAGAAACAATAAGTAATTATCTCAGGATAGGAGTTTCTGGAGATTATACATTTTTTCTTTTTGTATTTCATTAATTTTGTACAGTGAACATGATATCAGAAAAAAAATCATGAATATAGAAAAATAGTATTAAAATGTTAGGCCTAGTGTAGTCTTGAAAGACCTTGAGAAGTGGGAAAATCACATGGCCCTATGGAGGCTTCTTATCTTATCTTTTTTTTAAATTCCACTTTTCCTGCCTTTGTAGTTTGTCAATTTTATCTGTAAAGAAGAGCTTTCCCTTTCTGTACCCAACTTTTAAAACTATCATTGTGAATTCTTGAATTTGTTTTTTAAAATTAACTGTCTTATATCCCATTACAGTCTACATATTTGAAGAAATTCTAAGTTAATGTCTTTACTTTTCCCCTGAACCACAGGGTCTTAACACACTATAACTCTTACCCACCAGCTCATGTGCCATTATTGTCCAGAATATTAGTTCTATCTTGTTTTCTTTAACCCCACAAATTTTATGCAGTCAAGATTTGTTTCAATTTGCCCATGTGTCACCACATGTCATATTGCTACCATTGTCTTTGTTCGCCATTCCTTTTTGTATGTCTTAGATTTCCTTCATCCTGTTCCTTCTTCTTCCTAGAGTATATCCTTTACCGGGAGTCTGCTGGTAATAAACTCTGCTTCTGTTTGTCTGGAAATGTCTTTACTTTGTCTTTATTCTTTAAAGATAGGCTTATTGAATAGTCACATAAAAATCTTTGGCTCTCCAATGGCTCAGCTGTAGTAAAACTACACAATAATTTAAATGGAAATTGATTGGAGAATGGCACTTAAAAAGCATGCAAAAAATTTTTAAAATTATTTGAAATTCTCATAGTTTTGGCATATTCATACGATAAAAGATATAAATCACATGTAACTCACTGATTTTGTAACTGGACTAAATTCAGACATAAATGACAGGTTCTGGAAGGAGTGATGTTTCTGAATTGTTGTTACTAAATATCAGCATCAGTGTCAACACAGCATCAGTATCAACACCTCCTACTATTCCTGCAGAGTCTGAGCTCAGGACGCTGATTGTGGTTAATAATTAAGGTCCTTGCAATTGGTAACACAGAACACAGTCATCCCATTTAGGATCTAAGAAAAATCTGTCAGTGAAAAAAAAAAAAAACTTACTGTAACCTTTCATTTTGTACAAGAGTTAATGAGCTTGCCAATTGATGTGAGGCTTGTCCATGGAATAATCAGAGGTGGGGAGAGTAAGAGCATTTATTAAATAAAACAGTTCAGTGCTTTCTTCAAAGAGTGTCAGCTGTTCTGTGTTCTGGTTCGTAACTGCTTCTTCAGCTGGATGAATGCTGGCCTCACACTAATAAGAGGAGTAGCTTATAACTGGGAATTAGAGTTATTTTATCCCCTCCATCAGAGACAAGACCACACAGGCAAGATTTCTTAGAGGACTTTTCTGCAGTGTAATTTTTTAAAGTTCATCTTTCATTCAGATTTTAGTTTTGAAGTTTTAGTTTAAAGCAGGCACCTCAATCTAATTTTCCACCTGTGTGGGTCCCATGATTTATTCCCTGTCTACCACATGTGCAGTTTTCTCATAAAACTGCAGGCTTTGTTGCCAGGGACAGGCAGACATACTTGGGACAGGCTTTGGTTTCAGTCCTACATTACCACTCTGAGTTTATGCTTTCCCATCATGTCGGGTCTCTTAGAAGTCCTTTCACTTTCTTGCGATCTATGCTATGTAATTAAAAGTTATTGGCCGGGCGCAGTGGCTCACGCCTGTAATCCCAGCACTTTGGGAGGCCGAGGCGGGCGGATCACAAGGTCAGCAGATCGAGACCATCCTGGCTAACACGGTGAAACCCCATCTCTACTAAAAATACCAAAAATTAGCCAGGCGTGGTGGTGGGTGCCTGTAGTCCCAGCTATTAGGGAGGCTGAGGCAGGAGAATGGCGTGAACCCGGGAGGCGGAGCTTGCAGTGAGCCGAGATCGCGCCACTGCAGTCCAGCCTGGGCGACAGAGCGAGACTCCGTCTCAAAAAAAAAAAAAAAATCTGTTTTCATAGGATGCTGCATTTTTAGGTATTTAGTACTGAGGAGGCTTCTTAGTTTGTCATATTGCCCCAAATTGAAGTTCATCCCTTTTTATATTTCCATTCTGAGCTTTCCAAAAGGACACTTTTGATGAAAGCCCACTCAATGGGCTTTCACTGAAACCATTGTGGCCCTCCTTAAGTGGCTCCAAGTGAATGCAGTGATCCATTTCTGGTGGATTGTGCCCAAAATTGCTCTCACCAAAGAAAGCCTAAAGTTTCCATCAAAAGTGGAATTTCCATTCAGTTAAGTACTGTTTTCAGATGCTGAACTGTAGTAGATACCACATAATTATTCCAAGTTATCTGAGGATAAATTAATTAGTGACTTTTGTGTATTTCAGATTTGGCGCAAATATGACGCTGACAGCAGTGGCTTTATATCAGCTGCTGAGCTCCGCGTGAGTGTCACTGGGTGAAGGGTGGGTTTGTTTATCATTGGGAATTTGATATGTGTGTATCATGAGTTTGATTTCTGTGGGCCCAAGAAAGATGTATTTGAATATGTGACTCAAAAAATACATACATATGTACATATATGTATATATTTTCATTTTTAAAAGGTTTAGAAAGTGCAAGTCACATTGCTCTCTCTGGAAAAGAAGCATAATTGAGCATTTATGATAACTTTTTCACGCTGGAGCTATTCCCTGGGTCCCGTGAGCTCCCTATAAACAGTGACAGCCCTCCATTCTTGGATTTATTGCTTGCTAAAAGCATTTTATTTCCTCCTGGAAACAAGCAACTCACAATTCTTGAAATAAGGCCTTTTAAGACCTTTGCAGTTTATTTGCTCACTATATAAAGTATGATTCTTCTCTTGGCGCCACAGAACTTCCTCCGAGACCTCTTTCTTCACCACAAAAAGGCCATTTCTGAGGCTAAACTGGAAGAATACACTGGCACCATGGTAAGTAATGAGTAATGTAATCTCCATGAGGGCAGCTCCCCCACTCCCTCCCCAGACCCCAGAAACAGTGTCTGCTAGAGAGTTCGTCCTTGAGAAATTGAAGACTAAATGAATGCAAGAGGAAACCTCAACTCTGAAAAATACTGGCTAAAACTGAACTGTTTTAGCCTCTCTCTTGTGACCAGGTTGCATCTATTTGAGAGAGAAAGCTGTTCACCAGTCTGTGGGGAAACCTGAAAAGTTCAGTCAACATTAGGTTTCTAAGCATCAGGCCAATAACCTCAATGTTAATTGAAGTCACATGGAAACAAGTAAACATGGACTTAGACAATCAGGACCAAACAGATGGAAGCTGCCTCTCACCACAGTGGATGATTCTCCTCATTTAGCATGTTGATTTAGTGCAGTTGGAGAGTCAGATAGATGAAGGATGCATGTCCTACCTCTGCCACTTACTAGCTATGATGTAAGAAAACTGTCAAGCCTCTCAACTTTATTTACTTCTCCTATAAAATGGGGACGAATAACACCTAATTCCTGTGAGGGAAAATGTGTTAATGCATATGAAGCACTTGCATACTGTCCAGAATATAATGAGTTAGCTCTTATTGCAGTAGTTGTCATTATTTCCTGTTCCCCTCATGTCATCCTTGTTCCAAGTGACCTTGAGACTATTTTTGTGTCAAGCTCCATGGAGAGTAGTAAAGTAGGGAGCTGCCTTTGGCGAACTCATCCTCATGTTCTGTTTCAACACCTAACTCGATGCATTTCTCCCAGTACTTATCAATGATTTGTATTGAACTGCATCTGGCTCCTCTGTCTTTTCTCCTCCCCTATTCCTTTCTCATCCCTACGTGAGTGCTTCATTCCTATCAAAATCTTCAGGTTTCTTAATTAGTAAGCAAGGAAATTTGCTGACAAAGCCTTAATTACTTGTAGGATTGTTATATTTATTATATAAAGAGTTATTGAGCAGAATCACCTCATTGAGCCTTATGGTGAAGTCAGGGATACATATTACTGAGAAGAGTTTGTTAAAATGTGTACCACCAGGTTGACATATTTAGGCTTTTAATTGGTGTTTCCAAATACTATATTATGTCTAACAACTTCTCTACAGTGTTGCTATTGTTCACGCAATTTTATGTATCTGATGACTAAGGCTTAGAAAGGGTAAGTGACTAAGTCACCACCAGGTTGCGTTCTTAAGCTCATTTTAAAGATCAGATAACTAAGAAAAAGCGTTCCATAGCTAAAAGCATCTGTTAAGCTGGAAGCTAAGCTCCCCTGGTTTTCAGCCCTGGAGACTTCTCTGCTTTCCCTCTGTACTCTGCTCTGAATGTGCCCCCAGTCAAGTGAGTCTCCGCTGGGAAGAAGGCAAGTGCTCTTGACCCTGGTAACTTGTAATTGGCCTAGACAGGAGAAAACAAATGCCAAGGAGAGAATCAAATCTCAGGACAGGATCTCAATTAAGGAAATTATTCAGCTTCTTACGGTGTTGATTTGTTTTAATAGCATGCAAAATGGTGTTGGAAATCCTGAGTAAATATGTGCTCAGCACCAAAGGTCGAAGTGGGAAATCCCCCAGCAGTGGGAAGCAGTTTCCCAGCTACAGGAGGGTCTCTAGGTTCCTTTTGACCTAAGCTCCAGTGAAGCCCTCTAATAGAATGAGTACTATGAAAAAGAAAATTAGACAGAAACTGCCTGGGGTACAGAACAATAAGGAGGTGGTTTTTCTAGTTCAGCATATTTTTAACATTGATTTAACAGAATGTTAGCACTGGCTGTTGTTATCTCGATTTTATTGACTTATAAAACATGACCTACTTAATGAATATATTTTCATGTAGAATCTCCAGCATGTTGCCAGTATTTGTTTGACTATCTTTGACTCTGAGGGGCTTGCCCCCACCTCCAGCTAACCATACTAAACCACTAAGGTTTTACTTCTTAATATAGCTCAGCTTCCCCCCTCACCAACTTTTTTCACCTGGTTCTTGCTCATCCTTCGATATTCAGTTAGATATCAACTTGCCCTAAAAAAAATCTTCTGTAGCCTTCCCTCCACGGTGAGCCCAGTACCCCTTCTCTGTGCCTGTGTAGTGCCTAGTGCATATCATTATCTTAGCCTCTTAATAATTTAATTTATTCCGCAAATATTCATTACATATCTACTATGCCCCAAGCATTATTCTAGTCACCAGGGATTCAACAGTGAGCAAAATAGACAAAGGGGAGACTGACAACAAATAATAAATGTAATTAATAATGCATTATATTGCATAACAGAGGGTGATGAGTGTTATGGAAAAAATTAAAAAGTGGAGTTGGGCCAGGAATGGCAGTACTAGCAGGAGCATTTGGGGTAGGGGACTGGGAAGAAGGGGTACTTTTCAATAAGATGGTCAGGGTGGCCCCTCTGAGAAGGTGAGATGTGAGGAGGGACTGAGGGTACAGGAGGCACAAGGCCCCTAGTGCAAGAGCGCACTTGGGATTTTTAAGAACAGGGAGAAACCAGCATGGCTGGAGCAGAGCAAGAAAGGATGAGACTAAACAGCAGCCAGACCATCACAGGATTTTTAGGCCATCGTGAGGACTTGGGGTTTTAGTGAGATGGAAAACGGCTAGAGGGCTATGATGCAGAGGATGTCAAGATTTGCCCCCTGGGTTGAGAAGAGTCCTCAATGGGCAAGTATGGAATCAGGAAGATCTGCTGAGAGGCCATTGTTGCCATCCAGGTGATGGAAGATGGCAACTTGGACTCAGGTGAGGTGGCAGAAGAGGTGAGAACTAAATATATTTTGAAGATAGACTTGAGAAGATTTCCTGATGAATCAGGTGGGAGTCAAGGATGAGACTGATGTTATCTGTTTATGGGTCTTGTACCCCACTAGCCTGTGACTCCTCAAGGGTGAGGAGAGCGTCTCACCTTCTTGTCTCAGCCTTCACATGGGACCTGACAAGTAGTAGCCTACTTAATGCAAGTTAAACTGAAATTTCAGTTGTTACCTAATAGCCAGCTATGATGAAACCATGACAAAATAAGGAACATTTGTCTTTGGGACCCTGCTATCTCCCCTGTCAGTGTTTCTTATGACCCTGTGCCCCTATTATGGCTCTTGCTCCCTCTTGGGGTGCTTGGAGGGTTGCATATTGCACATTTCAGCATTTTGTACAGACCTAATCTTCCCCAAGCAGAGCTTTATGCTCTGAAATTCTCCTTTTCCCCTCCCCCTTAAACCAGACCCTCCAGGGCAGAATCAGAAAGGGTGCAGTATGTGGCTGGAAAAAGATGATGCACATCACACATCAGGCCAGCAGCCCTAGTTGCCCAGAGTTCTTCCCTTCACAGCCTTCAGGCTTGAATTAAAGAAGCTTCAGGCTGGCATCATCTTACAATGGGATGTCCTGAGCTCAAGAAATTTCGATAGTATGCAATATTTTTAGCCTAGATTCGTAAGTCTAGAGTCCTGGGAAGTAGCTGAGGGAAATCAGAGTGATCTCACCCAATGTTTAAGTATCTAGGTTGAGAACTGTCCATTGGCCAAGATGGTCCTGTTATTCTATGTCTGTTTAATTGCCCACACCTCATAGCTCTTCTGCTCATGTGTGCTGCAGTTAAGTACTCATTTTGGTTCTAAATTGTCCCATGGAGACAGGTCCATAATCAAGCAAACTCCAGATGGCCCCTGTGTTAGGCCATTCTTGTGTTACTATAAAGAAATACCTGTG
Source organism: Homo sapiens (assembly GCF_000001405.40). Taxonomy (NCBI): domain Eukaryota; kingdom Metazoa; phylum Chordata; class Mammalia; order Primates; family Hominidae; genus Homo; species Homo sapiens. The sequence goes on from NC_000006.12 coordinate 25,673,809, forward strand.
ACTGGGTTTATAATTTATAAAAGAAGGTTTCATTGGCTCATGGTTCTGCAGGCTGTACAAGCATGGTGCTGGCATCTGCTTTGCTTCTGAGGAGGTCTCAGGGAGCTTTTACTTATGGTAGACAGTGAAGCAGGAGCAAGCACATCACATGGCAAAAGCAGGAACAAGAGAGAGAGAGAGCCGAGGAGGATGCCACACACTTTTAAACAACCAGATGTTGGGAGAAATCATTCACTATAGCAAGGACAGCACCAAGGGGATGGTGCTAAACCATTCATCAGAAATCTGCCCCCATGATTCATCACCTCCCATCAGGCCCCACCTCCAACACTGGGCATTACATTTCAACATGAGATTTAGAGGAGACAACATCCAAGCTATATCAGCTTCTCATTGGCTTTTTATGCACTGAGGTGAGAGCCAAGTGTGGAGAAAGCTGGTGAAAGAGTTTCCACCCAAAGATTTGAGTTTGATCAGAAGACAAAATGAGTTCAATGAAATTTTGACCAATCTATTTCATTTTTCTTCCCTAAGTTATAGAGGTGACTTATACTTTTCAACAAACAGATTTTGGAACTTGACAGTTGGTTTTTTAAAAGACTTTTTACATTTCCCTAGAAATTTTTGGGTGTACTAACTTCTAGGAACTTAACTTTTTAGAAAATGACTTCTGCATCCTGAGCTCTCATACACCAAGCGTGAAATCACGTTATTGCTGCTTTAATGGATTTTTATTGAGCAATGGACATAGTCATGGCAATACTGTATTAAAGATTTTGTTCTCAGGTTTAGCATCAAATGCTTTACTTAAGAGATGTAACTTATTAAATGAATTCAAACTGATCTGAATAAGGATTGGCACATTTAAAAACTGGCTGAAGCATGACTAATGAGTGAGTTAAGGCAGAATGACCAAACAGAAGAGAAAAGCTGAGGTCTGCACACCTTGCCTTATCCTGATTCCTAATTAATGTTCTGGACAAGAAAGGAGACAGCCTATTATTAAAATCAAATTATGATACTGAATTTAGAGGTGCTGCCAACACCAGGCAGGAGGAAAGATTTAACTGTCTGGATAGAATATTTTTAGATAATATTTACTTTTGTTAAATTTAAGCTAATAATTCTGGCTGATGTTAAATCACATACCTAGAGCAGGAAACTTGAACTTTTATAAAACAACAAATTTAAATCTGAGACTATGGTGAGGTGGTAAATTAAAGAAAAATAAAAAGAAAGAGAAATAAGTTTTCCTGTATTAGGCTGACTTGTCCCAGAGGCAGCAACAGGCACAGTCCAGACCCAGGAAAAGTCTTGATAATATTATCTAACGTTCTCTGGAGACTTTCCCAGCACTCCCTCAACAAAGGGAGAAGAAAAACAAATTTTCCTTTATTTTATGAAATGAGTTTATAGATCCCTGTTCTCTATAACTAGTGACTTCAAGAATTCTGTTTTATCTAAGAAGTACAACAAAGGTCATAAGAAGCCTGAGTAGGCCTGAACTACAGCTGCCTGGGCACCATAGTGAAGGTTAGGAGATAAGCCCGTGCCCAGGCAAACCTAGATAATGGACACCTGGGTTGCTTGGCAACGGTTATGTGCAATCCTAAGTTTGTTCTGCCTCTGTATCCCTGCTTTCACGCCACTGTAAGCTTGCTTCAAGCTAGCCCACTCCCTTTTGTAAAGTGTATATAAAAGTCAAGTGCTGTCTTTATTCCAAGCCCTGTCTTTTGGACGTGAGTCGGCTGGCCTGAGTGCACTCAAGATTCTCCTGTTTCAACCCGAGGTCACTCTCGTCCTCCTAAATCCTGCAACAATGGCAGACAAAGAGGATGATATGAGTTTAAGCTTGTCCCCATCCATGATCCTGGTCTTGGCTCTCATATTTTATGCCTGGATCAAAGCAGCTCATATCTGCTTCCTTCTCTGGGTCTAGGTATTCATAACTGTGATCCAGGCCAATCTGATGCTCGTCTGGGCTCAGTCCTCATATCCCTTCTCTTCTATGTCCACTCTCACTCTTGGTGATCTCAACTAGTCTCACGGTTTTGAAGACCAACTAAAGGCTGACCACTCTTGATTTATATGTCTGATTCAGACCACTTCTCTAAACCTCTTGGATACACTTAGTTGTGTATCTCCACTTGAATTGCATGCCTAATATACACCTTCAACATGTCTCAAATTGAAATTCTGACCTTTCCCCAAAGATCTGCTCCACTACTGGGTCTTCCTCAAGCTTTCAAGTTGCTCAAGGCATGACACTTGAAACCATCTTTGATGCCTCTTTCTCTATCACTCCACATCTAACTGGCAAATCTTATTGAACACATTTAAATTACATTCTAAATCTGACCGTTTCTCACCCTGTTCCAAGGCACAATTATTTCTCAACTGAATTGCAAGATGCTTCCCAGCAGATCCCCCTATTTCCATTCCTGTCTCTTACCATCTCTATGAAACACAGCAGCCAGAGTGATCCTGTTATACTGAGTCGGATTATATAATTTTTCATATTGAAAACCTCCAATGGCTCTGTCTCTGAGAAAAAGCCAAAGTTCTCACACCAACTGCTCACACACCAAGTCATCACCTTTCCCACCTTATCTCCTTTTATCTCCTCCCCAGTCCTAGTCTTGCCACACTATTACCTGACATACTTTTGGTTACTCTGACATGCATGTATGTGCTGCCACAGGTTCTTTGCACTTGCCATATCCCTGCCAATCTATTTTTAACCCTGGTATGCATTTGATTTACTTCCATCTCTTTCAGGTCTTTATGAAAAAGTCACCTTTTACTTGAGGCTTTCCATTTCCATCCTATTTAAAATTGTACCTCCCAATTTGCTATTCTATATGCTACTTAATTTTTCCTCCAGAGCATTTAACATAGGTAACATGTATATTTCATGTTACGTATGTAAAACAGTCAGTATTTTACTTATCTGTCTTATTTTCCATCCCCTCTTCCATCCCCTCTTTCCAAATCAGCTCCATGAGAGCATGAATCTTTGTTTGTTCAGTAAATAGAACAGTGCCTGCCACATAGTAGGCACTCTATACATATTTGTTAAATGAATGAACGCACGAATAAATGAATGAATGATGCCAGTCACCTGTGCATGGATCTACAAAAGCTTAAACTCCTATTTATGGCTTTCAAACTCTTGCGTCATCTGGTCCCATTCTCTCTCCCTGTCTATCTTCTCTCCTCCACTCCCAGAACACCTCTTGTCCTCCCTGGTCACTCTCTATGGCTAAACTATTGCTAGCGTGTGAATTTCTATCTCGGTGCCTTTGTTCTTACATTTGCTAGTCTACAATGTCTTCCTCTCTTCTCTCTACCTCATGTCCAAATCCTATCCCTCTTTCAGAACTTACCTGAATTCTTATCTCCTTCCTCAGTCTCTTCCAATATCCTGTCACATTGCTCTGTCTCTTTTTCTCAGGGTTAAAGAGATAATGCTGAATCTTATTTGTTTACCTATAATTCAGATATTTGTTTCTGGCTCTTCAATTACAATTGTATGCCCTAAAATCATGTACCACCTTAATAATTGTTTGGGATATCTCATAGTGTGCAGAATGTTATTAGACACAGAGTAATTACCTGACAAATAATTGTCAATTGATAATATGGGAGGGGGGTTCTAAATCTTTTTTGGAATAGCATATGGCAATAATTTCCAGGCAGGAATGAGGATCTCCTTTAAAGTTTTTTTAAAAAAATAACTGCTAAAGAATGATTTCCAATAATTTATTAAATAAAAAAGGAAGTTGCAAGATAGTCTATTGCATATAGTCCTATTTGTCAAAAAATTAGATAGTTGTGATATATGTGTGTGTACATATATACATATGCTTGTATGTTTAAAAAGTTTCTGGAAGGATACATAAGACTCTGTGAATGGTAGTTACCACTAGAACAGGCAAGGGAGGGACTCACACTCTTGACTCTGCTGAATTATTTGCATGTTTTTCACCTTGGGCAGGCATTATACTAAAATTCTTCACTAAGAATTGTTTTAAAAAGTCACAGACTTCCTCTCCCACCACATGACAGTAGTTGTACTTCGAATCTATTGTTTAAGAAAATATCTATTGACAGGAAGTTACCCAGTAATGATTTTAAGTGATTTTGCATTTTACAATCACTATTGCACCTACAAAGATTTGAAAAACTAAAATATTATTCAATCTAAGGAGAATTCTGAAAAACTCCAAAGTCCCTGAGGAGTCTCTTGCCAGAGAATGGGAACTACCACACTTAGAATTTTAAGGCATTTGTTAATAAGACATTGTGTTCCATTTCTGGGAGCCTTTATAGCACCTTTCAGGTAGTTAATTCTCAAAAATGTGTGGATGGAGTATGGAGTATGAGTGCGAGTCTTGGAAAAGCAGTGGTAGAGGTGGGAAGAGTGATGAAGGGCTCTTCACCACCTTTCAGCAATTGCCCTTCACAATGGAAGGCATGCCCCCTACCACCGCCATCTTCAACTGCCACAGCCCTCCTGAAGTGAATTAGTGTAAAGAGGGAGGAAAAATTCAGGCCTATATTTATTTTCTTTTTTTTAAATTCAATAAATAATTATTGAATGTCTATATGTACTAGATATGTGCCAAGTACTTGGGGGCACATCACAAAACAAAACAAAGATCCCTGCCCTCATGGAGTTTGCAGTCTAGCATTTATTACCAATTTATCTGCAGCCTGTCTGTGATCCTGTGCAAGTCACCACACCTCTCTGTGCTTCTGACCTCAGCTGCCCAATGGGGAAATAAGCAGGACTGGCTCAGATATGGGTATGCCTGGTGTTCTGTAGATGCCAACAGGACACCCAACCTCAACCCACCACCCAGGAAGTAGGTAGGCTGGAAGTAAATTGGAAAAGGGCAGAGGGATTTGAACCAGGTCATCCGGAGTGCTGTGGCAGTGGTGGGCAGGGCCCAGGCTGGCTACATGCACTGTTGCTGCTATTGTGTCTCAGTGGTTGCCTTGCTCACTAGGTCCTTGGCCTTCTCCGCAGCTGTCAGTGCTGTCTTCTTTGCCTTCCCCTTGTCTTCCTTGGCTGTCCCAGCAGGTGTTTTGGAAGGTGCATCATCTGGCAGCTTGGCCAAGATATATTGAAAACTCTTCACAGTTACAATCATGTTGTTTTTGAAAAGAGCATGACCAAGTTCCTGGACAGTTCTGGAGATACTAGATAAGCTAGAGAACACCCAGGCTTCCCTGAGGATTTCGGACTAGTGCAGTTCTCAGAGTTCACACAGTAAATACATCGTCCCTCCACCACCATCAGCTGGGCATGGTTGATGCTACAGGTGAAGGTGGTCACTTCTGATTGTGTGGGTGCCCAGTAGAGTCCTCCAGGATGGACACTGGGTGAGCATCATTGGCAAGAAATAGCCACTCAGCCCAGCAGGACATCCCACTGGTCTTGGTCAGGAGTCACTGGGACAGGAGCTTCTGGGCAGGGGTCACCTCCTCATATTCTGTGTTTTTGGTCAGAGCATGTTTGCTATAGGGATTTGAGTACCAATGTCACAAGGCAGTGAACATTTGGTTTCAGAAATTCTGGAGCCTGTTCTGGCCTAGGAATACTTCATCATCATTCCAGCCAGGGTAAATGAGCACCCTTGCAGCTTCAGGGCACGGAGCCCCGTGGGCAGGTGTGTGTGTGTGCAGGGGATTGAAGGGGAGCTGGGTTGTGGGCTGAGGGCTGGCAGGGGCACTTGCTCATGGAGCTCAGGCTGTGACCAACCTGCCACCACTGCCTGGAGCAGTTGTCAGGACTAGGCTTATATCTCTTGGTTTATAGTCAAGGGTAGGGAAAATAGATAGAAATGAACTATATAAGCATGAATCCAGTGAAGTGAAAACTGGCAGTCTTAGAGTTGACTCAACTATCATGAAGTTTATATTTCTTTAGGGGAAATTCAGGCCACTGAATTGGAGGGAAATCCACGTAGAGTCTTTTCTTGCTTTCCCAGGGAAAAAGAGGCAATTAGAAAAGGTAAATATCACATCTCTGGCATAGTCTATGGCACCAGATGTTTTACTTCATAACCAAACATGAAGCAAACCAAATTCATGATGAGATATCCAGACTTTATAGAGCTAAGAGCCTGGTTTTATGGAAAGAGCTCTGGTGACAGATATACTTAGATTAAAATCTTGCTTCTTAAACAACCTACTTCAATCTTTCTAAATATCAGTTTCCTTATTTATTACAAACGCAGATTTTTTTTACATTATAAGGATGTTGTGATAATTAAATGTAATAACATAAAAACTATTGAGCCCTCATAAATGGTCTTTATTATAGTTTAAAAATTAAGAAGCCATTATGTCTCAAACAAATATGCCAAGCATTCAAAATTCACTAAAGGTTATACTTGCAAAGAAGCATAATGTCTTAATGTCACACAAGATCTGATTTCTAGTCTGGTGCTACAGGCATGCTGCAAGCTTCCCTCATTATTAATATTTGAACTTAGAGCTACAGAGGCCCCAGGAAAGTAGAAGAGCAGACACAGCCGAATATGTGTGCCATTCATCCCTGCTGGTATACACTCAGAGATGGAAAAATTAGGCAAATGATTTTTTTCCTGATTCTTATTCTTACGTGAGCCATAGCCAATTTTCTGATAGGTAGAAGCATAATTTACCACACTGGTGTTTAGTTCAACCCAGGCCAATTTCGAGCACAGGATTGTTTTCTCTTGGAGTAAGTTTGCACAGCAATGGAGTTAGGCCCACGTCTTTCAAGGTGAGTTGTTACTTGCTTAGAGCTCAAGCTGACCTAGCTTTCTATTAAGATAGAACCTCTCATAATGAAGGTGTCACAGAAAATAACTCATGGCTCATCTTCTGGCAAAGTTTATCCCCATCAGACTTTTTACTGGATACTGTATAGTGTTTATGTTTAAGGGACGTAATTGGACATGTAACATGTCCAAATGTATAAAAATGTAACCTGTGTTTTAATTCTGTAATACACATTTTTGGTGCCAAAGTGGTGAGAATAGGTTTTCAAATTCATTTGAAATATTAAAAATAAACTGGATTTGGAGACAGAGGAAGGATGGGGGACTAATGCATTTTTTAAAGCAAAAATCTGTTGGATGTATTTTCAGATTATCTCGCTCCCTCTTTTTCCCTGTGCAGCCTCCTTATATGGATATGCTTAGAGATATTCTGTAGCATTAAAATGTTGTAAAGTCACAAAATTCACTCACATTTCAACTCAGATCTGCAAAGAAATCTCTCTCTTCTATTTTGCCCAAACCAATCTGGTCTTTCTAATTTGTGGTTAGTGCAGAAACTTTTAACTTTTAGTCCTATCTTGTTTAAAGTTTAGTCTCATCTAATAATGTAAACAACTTCTTTGGACAATGCTAAGTCTCTCTATGAAAGGAAAGACTCAGTGTCAACACCTTTTGCCTTCACGGAAACATGAGGTTTCTCCTATACCCTATGAGAGTACCCTATGATATGAGCCCTCCAAGCCCTCCTTGGTGGTTGATATGCTAAATGAGGGCTAGAATAAAATAGTTTCAGAAAACCTTGACTCAAACCAAGTACCCATATTTCAAGCTTGTAATCTTTATAAAAATCCTGTTTTGCCTGTCAGAGACTGTGGTAGTCGTTGCTGCTATCCTCCAAATAATTAGTTTTCCTCTTAAGCACATGGCAGGATTGTATTATTCTGTCCCTTTGAAGGTAGCTGTGGCCAGGGATCTGCTTTGGACAATAAAATTTTAATCAGTAAATTATTTATTATTCTTTCTTTCTGCCATGGCAATCAGGAATGTGCCAGATGGTCACTACTTTGTCACTCCATGTCGCCAGAGTATAGACAACATGAAGTAGAGCTGCCAGCTAACCCTGTGAAAAATAAACCTGTGTTGTGTTAAGCCACTGAGATTTAGGAGATTTGGTTACTACGACTCATCCTAACAGAGAGGCTGACATGCAATTCCTTCTGTGACAAATACTAATTTTCCCCCAGGCAAGTGGGCTCCTCAGCCAATTTAGGCAAATATGTAATCAGAAGAGCAAAATAGAAAAGTGCTTTAATAACGTTCAGAATTAGTTCCTGTTACAAGTACAACCATTTTCCCTTCTGCATTTCAGATGAAGATTTTTGACAGAAATAAAGATGGTCGGTTGGATCTAAATGACTTAGCAAGGTGAGTTACATGGAAATGATATCATACATTCAGAAATACCTTACTAGGGGTCTGATGACATCATATATTTCCTTTTGAGACTGGAGATCAAGCCTCACCTGGAGTCTAAAAGAATAGGCACATCTTACCAATAAGCTGAGTGATTCTAAATCTTTTAGGGTAACAGATCCCTTTGTGAAGATAATGAAAATTCTTCTCTCCAAAACGCACAACACACAACATTTTCACAAATGTTATGGATGGGTCATGGGAAGACCCTACCCTTAAAGGCAAGACATTTATAGTCCCACATTGTGACTTCATGACAAAAATGTCCCAAATCCCATTTACTGGCTCTGGGAACGTCGAGCAGTTATTTCAGGACACAGGACTACTCAGCCGACTCCAGGTGCACTCTGTGTTCTTGAAGTGTTGGTGTATCCTCAGGGAGGCACCAAGTGTCTGAAGGCTAGAAGTGGAGGAGGACAGGATAAAAGCAGAAGTGGCTCAGTGTCCATGAAAATGTTGTCTGTGAGTCTGGTGTTGTGACACGTGATTGGTGTGTCAGCATGTTTTGTCAAGTCTGGCTGATCCCAAACAGCATGGAGTTGTCTACAAAAAAGAGAAAGACATTCTGAGCAAATAGTCAGAGTTGAAATTATTGGATCTGGAATACACAGATATACCTGTTATTGGGGAGCATCCATAATACCAGCTGCTTCAGGGCAGGGCTCAATGGTAATTGTAAGCAGGGCAGCAGTTACAGGCTGCAGCGCAGCAGCAGGTATAGCTGAGAGAGAGGAATTCCAAGGACTGGAGGCAAGTTTTTAATGATGAGGAGGTAACTCGACAAAGTCACAAGAAGATGTTGGTTTCGTCTCTTAGTGGACATTAACCTGAGTTCAGAATCACCAAATCCCACACCAGCTATCTCCTTTCTTGGCAGCTACCTCAGCCAGGTTTTGATATCTGTGAAAGGGGACTCACTGGGAAGAATATCTCCTCAGTAACAGCCAGAATATTGACCCCAGTACACTAAATGGCCTTCTATCTGTGCCTCATAGGAATTGTGAGGCAGCCTGTGTGTCCTCCTTGGCTACTTTTTTTAGGACCTTCGTTCTAACTTTGTCCACATTGATATAGAAGAGCCACTGAGGGACCAGCCAAAGAGGGACAAAAGTGTTTCTCCATCAGGCCTGCGGCAGAAGGCATCTCGCCTCTGCTCCCTGGATCCCACCTGGTTCTCTTGGTCAATGGAGGCAGGGTTCCTCTCAAGTAGAGGTCAGAGAGCTATGTGAAAGAGCCAATCCCAAAGCCACCAAAGGATTCATTCAATAGATGACAATCTAGATGAAAACAAAAGCTTGCAATCTCATGGTTCCCTTCACCAAAAGCATCTATCCACCTGTGCCCTGACTCAGTTGTGCACGTCTCAGAGGTAGTGAGAGTTGAGGAGCCCTGTGTGCCCTGGGAGGCTGGGGTAATAAAGGGCTCAGAGCAGCTGCTCTCTGCCCTCTTAGTCCATACACAATATGACCTACCTATGTATACAATGCTAAAATAACTAACATCATGCACAGACTGTAACATATAAAGGAGAAATAAAAGGAAAGCAGTTAATGATAAAATAATGCACATTTCAGTGTATAAGTGCTTGCATACAATCATAGTGAAGATATAGTGAAGTGGTCAGATGCTTTCACCTGGGTAGAATTATCATAAATGGGGCAGCTCAGATGCCGACTGATACAATTGTGACATTTTGGTAACTCAGGTGCTGTTGATATGATTTTATGAAATAATAAGTCTTGACAGAGTTCCAAATGAGACAAAGTATGTTAATCTCTTAACACAATTCATATACCATGTGGAAAATTTATGTAAGTAGTAAATTATGCAAACCTTGAGTTTTATGCAAATAAGAATTCAGTTCCAAGCACAAATAATTAAAAGCAGGGTTTTTACAGTCACGATTGCCCCCTGGACATTTGAAATTCAAGTGAGACATGGGGCAATTCTTCATTCTGCAGAAATTTCCATGCAATGCCAGAAACCTAATATCCCTAGCCCTATGTACAAAATGCTAGTTGTGCCCCCTTTATCACTGTGATAACTAATAGGGCCTTCTGCATGAGTCTAAACACTCTGTAGAGGCGGGTTTGCTATGGTCCTGCTGGTAGGGCAGGGACTATGCTCTAATCCCTTGAATAACTTCTCACTTGGTGGAGTGTTGTGTACTTGGGGGGATTCAATGAGTAGTTGTGAATTGATGGAGTTACAGTAGCACTGAACAGAGATGAAAGGCAGCAAAATCAGTTAGTATAGTACAGTCTTCCCTAAGTATCCTCTGGGGATTGGTTCCAGAACCTCCGCGGATACCAGATACCCAAATCCTCGGATGTTCAAGTCCCACAATTGGCCCTGAAGAACCCACAGATAGGGGGTGCCAAGTGTATTTCAAAACCAGTTTGATACGGAATTTGAAAATGTGAACTGTGGTAAGCAGAATAAAGATGTCCACGTCTTAGGCTGGGTGCAGTGGCTCACACTTGTAATCCCAGCACTGTGGGAGGCCGAGGCAGGTGCATCACTTGAGGTCAGAGTTTGAGGCCAGCCTGGCCAGCATAGTGAAACCCTGTGTCTACTAAAAATACAAAAAATAAAATAAAATAAAATTAGCTGGGTGTGGTGGTGCATGCCTGTAGTTCCAGCTCTTCAAGAGGCTCAGGCAGGAGAATCGCTTGAACTCAGGAGGCAGAGTTTGCAGTGAGCCAAGATTGCGTCACAGTACTCTAGTTAGGTGACTGAGCAAGATTCTATCTCAAAAAAAGAAAGGAAAAAAAAGATATCCACATCCTAATATCCAGAACTGGTGACTATTTTATGTTACATGGCAAGAATGAATTAAAGTTGCAGATCTAATTAAGTTTGCTAATCAATAGACTTTAAAATAGAGATTATTCTGGATTATCCACATTGGGCCCAATATAATAACAAAGATCCTTTAAATATGGAAGAGGGAGGCAGAAGGTCAGAGTCACGGAGAGATTTGAAAATGCTAGTTGCTGGCTTTAAAGTGGAAGAAGAGGCTAAAGAATGTAGGCAGCCTCTAGAACCTGAAAAAGGCAAGGGAAAGGATTCTCCCCGAGAACCTCCAGAAGGAATGAGGCCGTGTCGACAGCTTGAATTTTGCCCAGTGAGATCGATTTCAGACTTCAGCTTCTAGTGCTGTAAATGATTATGGTTATTTGAAGCCACTATGTTTGTGGCAGTGTGTCGCAGCAGCACTAGGAAACTAATACAACAACAAAGAGGCCTTAAAACATTTCCAGATAGGATTTTTCTCTCTCTACTTTCAGCTGTGAAATGCAGTTCAATTCCTCTACATAAAAGCACCTCCCAAGTAATATGTGCTGTGACTGGCAACATGATTTAGGCTGCCTGGTGCCTGCAAATACTAAGAACAATATTCCTGGCAGACCTCCAGGATATTCTGTCTTCTAATTGGCTCAAATTAATTCCCTCTACTCTGAGCATTTGGAGGAGCAAAGATTTTCCACATAGTTGTATTACATTTTTTCTACTTTTTCTATATATCCTCATGACTATGAATACAACATAAATCTAATGTTGAATTTACTGAAACTGACTGTATTCTATTAAAGTATAATTATAATTATAATTATACAGAAAAGAGGCAGACATATTTGCTTTCTAAAACAAAAACAAGATTATTTTAAAATTGAGACATAATTTATGTACCTTAAAGTTTACCCTTTTAAAGTCAGATCTACCAATCTACAATTTGGTAGATTTTAAGATATTCATAAGGTTGTCCAACCATCACCAATATCTAATTTTAGAACATTTCATTATGCCAGAAGGATACCCAGTACACATCAGCAGTCACTCCTCTCTTCCTCCTCCCACAAGGCCCTGGCAACCACCAATCTACTTTCTATTTCTATCGACTTTCCTATTTTGGGCATTTTATATAAATGGAATCACACAATATGTGCCTTTCCTATCTGGCTATTTCACTTGGAGTAATGTTTTCAAGGTTCATTCATGTTGTAACTTTATCCCTTTTTATGGCTGAATAATAGTCCCTTGTATGTACATACCACATTTTGTCCATTCATCAGCTGATGTTCATTTGAGTTGTTTTCACTTTTTAGAGATTATGAATAACGTTGCTACATGTTTTGGGACAAATATACGTTTGTGATTCTCTTGGTTATATATTAAGGAGCAGAATTTTTGGTTCGTGTCGTAATTTTACATTTAATTTTCTGAGGTACTGCCAAAGTGTTTTCTAAAGTGGCTGCACCATTTTACATTCCCACCAACAATGTATCAGGATTTTAATTTCTCCATATTCTAATCAGCACTTGTTATTGTTTGCATCTTTCTTTTAATTATAATCATCCTAGTGGGTGTGAAGTAGTATGTCATTGTGATTTGCATTTCGAACATTTTTTATGTTTTATTGGCAATTTGTATGTCTTCTTTGGAGAAATGTCTGTTCAGATTCTTTGCCCAGTTGAAAAATTGGGCGATTTGTCCTTTTGTTGTTGAACTATAAGAGTCCTGTATATATTCTGTGCACTAGACACTTATCAGATGTATAATCAGCAAAAACTTTTTTCCATTATGAGAGTCGTGTTTTCATTTTCTTGATGATGTCCTTTGAAGCACAAATGTTTTTAATTCTCATGAAGTCCAATTTGTCTAATTTTTTTGGTTGTTTGTGTTTTAGATGTCATATCTAGGAAGCCATTGCCAAAATCCAAGCTCATGAAGATTTACCCGTTTGTTTCCTTCTAAGAGTTATATAAACTATAAAGTTTCTGTTTTATGTAAATCCTTTTCATGTTAATTGTTTAATACAGTGTAAGGTGGGGGCACAATTTCATTATTTTGCATGTAGATATCTACTTGTCCCAACACCATTTCTTGAATATTTTTCCTTACTGAATGGTCTTGGCACCCTTTCTGAAAATAAACTGGCCATATGTATGGGTTTATTTCTGTACTCTCAATTCTATTCCATTTATCTACATATCTGTCCTTATGCCAATATCACACTATCTTGATTCTGTAGATTTGCAGGCAAATTTTGAAATAAAAAATGTGAGTCCTCAAACTTTGTTCCTCTTTTTCAAGATTGTTTTGGCTATCCTGGTTCATTTGCATATTCACATTAATTTTAGGACCAGATTGTCAATTTCTGCAAAAAAACCAATTCAGATTTTGATGGGGATTGTTTTGAATCTGCAGATCAATTTGGGAAGTGTTGTCTCCTTAAAAATATTAAGTCTCCCAGTGTATGAACATGGGATGTCTTTTCATTTACTTAGCTCTTTAATTTCTTTCAACAATGTTTTGTAGTTTTCGGTCTACAAACTAAACCACTTTTGTTAAATTTATTAAATATTTTATTCTTTTTGATGCTATCATGAAACGATTAGTATTCTGAATTCCACTTTTGGACTGCCCATTGTTAATGTATAGAAATGTCATTGAATTTTTTATATTAATCTGGTATTCTGCCAACATGCTGGATTTGTGTATTAGCTCTAGTAGTTTTTTGTTGGATTCCTTAGGATTTTCTATATACAATATTGTATCATCTATAAAGAGATAGTTTTACTTCTTTCTATTCTGCCAATCTCTGCTTTTAATGGAGTATTTAATATGTGTATATTTAACGTGATTACTGAGAAGGTAGGATTTATATTTGCTATTTGTTTCTCTTTGTCTTAAGCTTTTTTAAAATTCTTCTGTCCTTCCATTACTGCCTCCTGCACGTTCAACAGACATTTTCCAGTGTACTATTTTAATTCCCTTATTATTTGTTTTGCATTTTTTTTGAGTTATTTTCTTAGTGGTTGTCTGCTAGATTACAATTAACATCTTAATTTATATCAAATCTAATTGTGGATTAATAACAATTTAATTTCAATATTATACCCCAAATTTTACTTCTGTATAGTTCAAATGCCTTTCTCCTCCTTTCTGTTGTTAAAATTTTATCTTTATATATTGTGTGCTCCACAACATAGATTTTTAGTTATTGTTTTATGAAATTGTCATTTAAATCAGAAAGCAAAAAAGTTACACACAAAAAATACATTTATGCTGTGTTTTATATTTGGTTATATATTTACCGCTCCTGGTGCTCTTTATTGTTTCATGTGGATTTAAGTTAATGTCTAGTGTCCTTTAATTTCAGCCTGAAGGACTCCCTTTAGTATTTCTTATAGGTCATGTTTCTGGTGTATTGATGACTTTTGTTGTTTATTTGGTGACTTTTCTGAACTAATTCTATGAAGTCTATATTCTTTGTCAGGTGTGTCCACTGAAGTCTCTGCTAGGTTAGTTCAATGGTCAGTTCATAATTGGACAGAGATTTTCTAAAATGTCTTGAACCAGTAAGTCTCCCAGTCTCTTGCTAACGGGCTCTGTGTATGTGTTAGGGCAAGTTAAATGCTACGACAGTCATTGTTCTAACCAAGATTCAGCTGTTTTGGAGGCCCGGTGCCGTGGCTCACGCCTGTAATCCCCGCACTTTGGGAGGCCGAGCCCGGCGGATCACGAGGTCAGGAGATCGAGACCATCCTGGCTAACACGGTGAAACCCCGTCTCTACTAAAAATACAAAAAAATTAGCCGGGACTGGTGGCGGGCGCCTGTAGTCCCAGCTACTTGGGAGGCTGAGGCAGGAGAATGGTGTGAACCTGGGAGGCGGAGCTTGCAGAGAGGCGAGATCGCACCACTGCACTCCAGCCTGGGCGACAGAGAGAGATTCTGTCTCAAAAAAAAAAAAAAGATTTTTTTCAGAATAAACACTCCCCAGATTGCTGCAAGACTTTAATTATTTTCCAGAGCTCTGGGAAAGTTATTTTGACTATTTTTTCCAGTTTTATGGAGGAGCGAATTTCCAGAAGCCCATACTGTGCCATTTTCCACTAAGATGAACTTTTAAAAGTCTATGGTGACTACTAATCTCTACGAGTTTTTCCCAATTAATTTCTTTGTTTCTGTGATGTAGGAAGTTCTGTCTTTCAAGTACCTATTCTGTTCTGCAGGAAATTGCCTGTACTTTCCACACACCAGGGCTATAAGTTTTCGTATAACTGAGAGCTGAACGATCCTTACGTGGATTTTTTTTTTTTTCTATTTAGGATTCTGGCTCTTCAGGAAAACTTCCTTCTCCAATTTAAAATGGATGTAAGTAGTGACATTTCTCTAGATGGGTTTATGTCATTGCTGTTTCTCTACGGATTTGAGCAGGAAAGAAGAAAGGAAGGCATCTATTTGCCCTACTTTTTAACTTATTTAGAAAACAGACAAGGATCAGCATGGAATCAAGGGATCTTAAAGGTCATTGACTCAAAGTTTACAAAATTTGCCCAGGACTCTGGAAGAATTGTACAGCTGAATTGTCACATTGCTGGACTGACATAATGTTTTTTCCTTACACAGGCTTGTTCTACTGAAGAAAGGAAAAGGGACTTTGAGAAAATCTTTGCCTACTATGATGTTGTAAGTGTGCGTCTTTATACTGTGCTGGCCATCTCTGAGTAGGAAACTTATTTAACCCCTATGTGGAGCCATCTTACCCAACAGACCCTAAACTTACATGATGAATACCAATCCCATCTGTGTGTTCTAGGTCAAGGTACTCTCAACTCCTCTAGACCTTCTGAGAATAAAGTAAAAGTAGCCAAAGGAGTACACATGGTTGAGAAGAGAAAAAAATGACTTTTTTTTTTGACTCCTTGGGCCTAAACTATAAGTTTTCTCCCTCTTGTAGGACTAAGAGTTCATTTATAATATCATACACAAAAACATACAACCCTCCCACCCAATATTCAACCCAAAGAAATAGAGGAAAAGTCATACCTATTTATCATAAAAACTATTTTTTCTTGTAGAACCAATTATTTGATGAAAAGGGGAGAATATAAAAATTATAAGTACAAAGTATGGCAAAGAGATTGAATTTCCTAAGGACATGATAGTATGATGTAAGAAGGAAGAAAAGTAGAAAAGCAGAAAAAATGTTGGGAAAGGTTATAAGGATGTTTCCCTGAAACTAATCAGACTAGATAATTATGTGTCATGTTCTGAGCAGAAAACAGTATCACCTGGGAGAGGCAGTCTAGCATAGAGGTGGTTAAACACGTGGCTTCTGTGACCAATTACCTAGGTTTGAATCATGGCTTATTACCTATGTGGCCTTGGGCAGGTTCCTTAGCCTCCCTGTGCTTTGTTTTTCTTATTTGTAAAATTAGGGTGATAAGGATAATAATATCTACCTTCTGGGGATGTTATGAGAATTAAATGAATTCAGGTTTATAAAGCTTTTATGAGAGTGCCTGACAAGTACTATATAAGTGTTTGGTAAATACACTAAGGGAATGGAATTTTTAAAATGATATGTTAAAGGCTCAGGATTAAGAAATCACAAAGAGAGTAGATGAATTATTATAGTGGAACTTTAGAGAAGAAACAAATATTTTAATATGTATTGTATTTTATAGATGTTCATATTTGCATGTGTTATAAAATGGTTAGAAAAAAATAAAGGGTCTCATGTACAGACCAAATGATAATTCTAACATGTTCATTCAATGTAGTCTCCCTGGATTTAAAATAAATATTTTAATAATCAACATATCATTGCCAAATTATAGGGCAAAATAAAAAATTTCAATCTATACCTCAAAGGATTAATATTAGGTACAATTAACACTTATCTGAACTGAAGCCTGGGACCTGGGAAGCAAATGAAGGCAATATATGTCATACGACTGCAATCTGCAAAAGCCGAGGAACTCAAAAGTATGACTTCTCATTTGGTTACATGGAGCTGTTTTCAATGAGTTATTTTAATTCATGTGGAACATTCATGTCCTGCATGGAGAACATAAATTGGAACATGCCACTTCTAAATCTATTTGCGGCCACACAAGAATACTGATACGGTTTATTTACCTAAGTTATTGCCTTGCTTTTTGGCTTAAGAAACTGATATTTGGGCAATTGGATCTTTTCTTTTTCAGAGTAAAACAGGAGCCCTGGAAGGCCCAGAAGTGGATGGGTTTGTCAAAGACATGATGGAGCTTGTCCAGGTGAGTGCACGTTCTTCTTATTATGAAGTGGGGTTGTTGTTTTGATTTATTCCATTGTTTATTTGTGGGAATCAGTGAGACTGAAGGTTAATGTCAAAGATAAAATCTAGGGATGTAGTTTATTTAATAACCTTTGAATTGCTATGAAACCCAACAAACCTCCCTCGCTTTCTTAAGATTGTAGTTTAAATTACATGAAGCTATCATACAAGTATGTTTTTACCATCATTTAAAGGCCATCTATTTTACCAAAGGAGCACAGTGCCACTGAATATCTTTCTGTTCTATTTTTTGGTTACAGAAAGTCCCTCTTCCCCTCAGACTTGGTTATTAGAATAACTAAAACATTTAATTGAATTTCACGTAATAAAACTTATCTTCAGAATTCTATTTTTTTTTTAACTAAGAGGCTTCTCTAATACCTAGCCTAAGATGGTTATTTATCGGTTAAGACATTGCTGAGGTTGGGGCGGATGAAATTTAGATTATATTTACATCACACAGCTGTTTTATGTAGGATAGACAAGGTTTAAAAAACCTTCTTCGAGGTCCTGTTGAACTGTATTGACCAGCTACATGATCCAGTTAAGCAGATCATTTCCTATTCTTCCTTTTCCATGGGATTGTGTCGACAATGAATTTAGTAGTCTTGTATCCCTAGGGATTTTTTGAGGTTTGTTCAGAACACAATGATTGTGTTCTGGTTGGGCCAGATGGCAAAAAATTAGAGTAGCAATTATGAACTGTGTGTGGAGTTCCAGACTTCTTTGAAAATCAGATTAACACTATGGAACCTTGCAGCTGAAAAATGTGCAAATATCAATTTTTGCATGAATCTCCAGGAAGTTTGTGTACTGCAATAGAGCAGGCATGGATAAAACCCTTTCTGACATCTAATCAGCCTGATGAGACATCGTCCGTGATTCCTTTCTTTTGTTATTCTCATCCCAGTGGGTCCCTTGTCTCCTCTTTTCCTCATTCACTTGTTGCTCCTGTTGGAGATTTCACGGGCATTTGCACAGCCAGAATAACTGATGAGTATTGGTGTGGTATTGCTTTTTCTATTGATTGCTAGAGGAAAATCCCATTTCACTCATTATCTATTTAATGTCAGAATGGCTTCTGTAATAGAAACTGAGCAATTATCTATGGGATATTAAAGTTGCATGGCAGCATTTGCTAAATTAGAGTTTTAATTTGCTTTTGAGAGAATGAATGGGACAGTCAGTCTGTTTTTGAGAGCTGCCTGGCCTCTTATGCATTGGAGCCAGGGGCAGTGACTGCCTGAGTGTAGAGCCTGGGGGCTTTGGAACCTTACAGCACTCTACCCCACCACCCCCCAGAGAGGTTTTGGCCTTCTTCTCTTCCATGTCCCACACATACAGCCCAGCTGTGAGTGTGGATGCAGAGTCACAGTGAGCAGTCAGTCATTAACCAAATCAACCTCCCTTCTTCTTTGCTCCCCCTTTTCTTTACTCTCAAACTTGTGGGAAACAATTTTTTCTCAGGTCAGAGGTGTCATTTGTTGCTGACAACAGTCTTGTGGCATCCCACGTCTTCGCCAGGCTGTGGGAGGCAGCTGGGCTGGGCTGAGGGATTAAGCTCTGCTTGAATCAGAATACATCCGATTTACAGAATTTGAAGGGGTGGTTTCCAGAGGGGCTGCCTTGGTTGGGGGTGGCTGCTGCTCCTCCTCTTTGGTAACCTCATTTTGATTCTCTTCCCTTCTTTCTCTTTTCCCTCACTATGAAAAGAACTGATTGGAATTTTTTTTTGTAGATGAGGCCGTGTAAAATGGGAGACAGTGCTTTGGCCTGTGACAGATCTGAGCTTTAATTCCAGATCAGCCATTTATGAACTGTATGTGTGTGGGCAAGTTACTCAATCTCTCTGATACTTGTCTTCTCATCCATTATATGGGCACAACAATATTTACTTCCCAGGGTTTTGTGCTGACTAGAAATAACATAAACATTGATCATAGTCCCTGGGATATCAAATGATTTCCAAAAATAATAGTCTTTATTATTTTATTAGAACAAAGCGGCCGGGCGCGGTGGCTCATGCCTGTAATCCTAGCACTTTGGGAGGCAGAGGCAGGTGGATCACGAGGTCAGGAGATCGAGACCATCCTGGCTAACGCGGTGAAACCCCATCTCTACTAAAAATACAAAAAAATTAGCTGGGCGTGGTGGTGGGCGCCTGTAGTCCCAGCTACTCAGGAGGCTTAGGCAGGAGAATGGTGTGAACCTGGGAGGCAGAGCTTGCAGTGAGCTGAGATTGGGCCACTGCACTCCAGCCTGGGCAACAGAGCGAGACTCCGTCTCAAAAAAAAAAAAAAAAAAAAAAAAAGGAACAAAGCTGCTGTAATCTTTGGAGTACATTTCTGAGAATAGTTAGCATTTGAAAGAGAATTTCATAAAAGGAATCATCTGCTCAATGCATGGCTATGCCATTCTATTGGATAATCCTGTCTAAAACAATAATGTAAAAAAAGCCAGTGCAAAAGAAAACATCTAAAAGATAGGTATGATTATGTCAGATGGCAATTAACTAACATATTTTAGAATGCATAGCTTGAAAATTTTTGCTTCCTTTCTGATTATAAAATTCTCTCTGCATACTATAGAAAAATGTTGAAAATAAAGGCAAGTAAAAGTTAAGAAGCTGATGAGAATTCGAGCTAAGAATTCGGATTCTAGGCTGACCCCCTGGGGTTCCAGGTCTGATTTTACCACTCCCTGCCAATGAGACCTTGGGCAAGTCATTTTGCATCTCCAAACCTCAGTTTCCTCATCTGGAAGATGGAAATTGTCATAGATCCTACTTCCATAAAGTTGTCATGAAGATTACAGGAGGAAAATCTGTATAAGGCAATTAATATTGTGCTACTTCACTAATTAATACCATGGTAATAAATTATTACTAAAAACTCAAAAAATACTAGCTATATCACATATTGATCTGGAAAGTGATATAGCTCTCATAACTTTAGTGACTATGATCATTGCTATTTCCATATGATTTTTGTAAGAGAAAGCCCAGATATCTATAACCAGTAATTTTGCTGGATCCCTTCTTAAAAAGTCATGATTTTTGAATCTGGATAATCTTAATAATCTTCAATAACTCTGCCTTTCAATTGTCATTGAGTTTGGCAATGGTTTCCAAAGGCCAGTAGGAGAGATAGAAGTAAAATCCAAACCAACAACATAGCAGACAAGACATTTTTTCCAGAGAAAATGAAAGAGATGGGAAAAATACTAGACCATGCAAAAAATTAGTTGGAAGCAGAGATCAGCCTCGTTCTTCAATGGATTTATATCACTTCTATGGGAAGGTGAAGATCCTCGCCCCTTTTAGCCTCTCTGTTTCTGTGGAGCTGCTGGGGCAGCACAAAGGCACCTCTCAGTGTAAGCACCAGCCAATTTGAGACAGAGCTAGTTCCTAGAGACCAAGTCAGACTGTGGTCAGTAATTCAAAAGGAATTTATTGGGATTCTCCAGATGATTTGTTGAGCTAAAACATATGTACACAGTAGTTCATTATTAATGTTCTCCTCCGAAAATTGAAGGTGCATACGTTTACTGTGCCTTTCCTAGTCTTTAATGGATCTTCCTTAGTCTTCTAGGTTTCTTTAAAAATACTCGCCATATAATTTGTATGCTGTAGTCAAAGGATGGCCAGTAGTTGAATTTCATATTTCTTGGCTTTATAAACAGAGTCTTTCCTGTGACTTTTCTCTTTATTTTCATTTTATAAAAAAGGGCCATGGGAGAAGTAAACAAATCAGTATTTGGAATTTATTTTAAAAGAAACTGTCAGAGAGCATATACCATGGGATCAGCAGGAAGCTGGCCCAGTTACAAAGTCTGGGTCAGGGTTTTTGGTGTTTGCAGTAATAACTCTGAAGTAAGCTTATCTTATAGTTTTTTAATTCTTGGACAATCATATGATGTATATGTTGACTTTACATGGACAAGATTATTTGGTTATCAAAACACCCCATTCCCCAAGCTCTGAAAAATGACACCCAAGTCTTTCCTCTGTCAATCTGATAAGATTACAGGTCTTTGAGGAATAAACATGATTTCTTTTTTTCCAACAAATGTATTGAGATATGATTGACACTTAAAAAAGCACTGTATATACTTAACATATACAATTTGATGCATTTGGAGGTAAGTATACATCCATGAAACCATCATCATGATCAATGACATAAACTTATCCATCACCTGCAAACATTTCTCTAGCCACCCCCCTCCACCTTTTTTTGTCTTTTTATTTTGTTTTGTTTTCTTTTATGTCAAGGGCACTTAACATAACATTTACCGTCATAGCAAATGTCCAAGTATACCATACAATATTGTTAATCATATGCACAATAATTTCTGTACAAGATTTTTGTTTGTTTGTTTTTGAGACAGAATCTCACTCTGTTGCCCAGGCTGGAGTGCAATGGCGTGATATTGGCTCACTGCAACCTCCGCCTCCTGGGTTCATGTGATTCTCCTGCCTCAGCCTCCTGAGTAGCTGGGATTCACAGGTGCATGCCACCACACCCAGCTAATTTTTGTATTTTTAGTAGAGATGGTGTTTCACCATGTTGGCCAGACTTGTCTCAAATTCCTGACCTCAAGTGATCTGCCCACCTTGGCCTCCCAAAATGCTGGTATTGCAGGCATGAGCCACTCTGCCTGGCCTACAAAACTTTTTAACAGCCCGTAGCTCACTCAGAGCAGCATAAAAATCAACACAAGAATCTACAGCTTAAATGAGAAAGTAGAATGGCAAGAAATTCCAGATCTCCCAAGAGAAGGTAGAAATATGAACACTAACATCGGAAGCCAAATACATTGGCTGTCTGGAAGTGATGGGAGTTCCTGCCCACAGTCCTCCCTAAAGTTCTTTCTTTTCCTTGATGGACAACCCATTTGCTTTTTCTCTGCTATTGTCAGGAAGATGATTGGCAAGAGGGGACAATACCTCTTGTTATTGATAGATTCAGTAAAGAATTGAATCTAACATGTGCCTCTCTAAAGAGCTAGCCCTTAGCAAAAATGTCTCTTTTCACTTTTAAATTGTAAAAATGATACATGCATCATAGAGAAATCAGAAACCAGAAACCAGAAAAAACAGAAGCATAACCTCTATGTTCTAACAGACTGACTGTGAACTGACTTTTCTCCTATGTATGTTTTTATATGGTTGAGGTTATAGTGAATAATAGACATTACAATATCATAGTATATTATTTATAATATAGAGTATACTATATATAGCCTATTACAGAATAATATTAACAGTCATTCAGTAACCACATAATATTTCACCTGTGGTTAGATCATAATTTACTTAAACATTCCCCTATTACTAATAATTTAGATGGGTTCCCATGTCTGCGATTCAAAACAGTAATGCAATAATATCCTTGTGCAAAGATCTTTCTCTATATTTGGCCTTGTCCCGGGAATAAAATTACTAAATCAAGTGGTTTGTGTGCTTTAAAATTCCTGGGATCCATTGTCAAGTTTTAGCAAACATCTGAAGAAAGAGCAGGTGTGCTTTCCCATTTCCTTCTTCAACGTCCTTTCCTCAAACCTGACTTTTCTTCCCCTCACTACCCAGAAAGTTGCTGATGACTTCATTTTGACCTAGCTTTGTCTATCACGGAAGATAGCATTCTGGTATATATACTATATGTTTTCGCATTATTATGTTAGGGACTTAACGTGCTGCCATCTCTTGGGTGATGAAAAACTTTGAAAAGAGAGGATAGGTGGCAAGGAGAAGAAAATGTAATCCCAAAGAGTGAATATCTAACAAAAGAATGTTTTTTGTTAGATATAAAAGAATGTGGTGGAAACTAGCGATGGGAAGAAAGTTGAAAGACTGAAGAGGTTCTTCCTGGAGCTTCTCAAATTAAAGCACTGCTGGGTACACCACTCTCTAGGAGACTTCCCAGTATCTGAGCAGACGTTTCCATTTGCCTAGTAAAGTGATCCTAAAGGAACACCAATGTAATTTCTTATTTTCATTTTAAAAAGCAATGGCAGGTGATAATTTGTAAACAAGCAGAGGCTTGTTGGTAGAGACCTGGACAGATATCTTAAGCAATAATGTCTTAACTTCTGCCTGTCGCCTCAATGTTTTCAAACACCAGTGTGGCCAATAAATAGCAAACTGGAGACAGAAAACATGTTGTAATTTTGCATGGTTACAGAATAAGGTTCTGGTTAATTAAATATTTTGATTGGTAGAGAATTATTTTAAGTGGGTTACAATAAAATGCACTTACCATCAGTGAAACTCTAATTCAGTTCCTCTAGTGGTCAGAATATGGTCCAGTGTTGGAGTCATGATGACTCTAGGATAGAGATTTGTGAAGTGCTGGTTAACAGAAGGCTTGGATATGAACTTTAATTATTTTAAGAGAATTGGAATGTACAGGAAAGGGTAGGTGTATGACAAAAACAGGAAGGCTGCATTTGAGGATAGTCATTCACTAATTTCATAGATATAATTGAGCACCTACTATGGGCAAGAATTGGGAAGAGAAGGCCAGCCCCAAAGGTCCCCCTATTGCCAAGATTAAAGGGAGACAGGTCAGCATTTTTCAATCAATTTTATTTCAGATCCACTCTCACACTGTCCTATGAGATGAAAGAGGAAAAAGTTACATTTTTACATGAAAGATTATGATACAGTGTAGTGATAAAAAATATACACTTTGGGACCTGACTGCCTGGATTTGTATCTTGGTTCTGACATGTGTCAGCTGTGTGACAGTGGGCAAGTTAATTAACCTCTCTGTGCTTTAGTTTACTCATCTATAAATTAATGATGAAAGTAGATACAACCTCCTAGGGTTGTTCTGAAGATTAGAGTTAATATATTTAGAGCTCTTACCTCAGGAACCTATCTGCACTTATATTAGTCACTTGTTATAAAAACTGTTGTTAAGACTGAGGCTCTAAAGGTTTCTGGTGATTTGTCTTCAGTGACACGTGCATTTTTGAGCTGTGGCATTTAGGTCTCCTGACTCATATTGAGTTGCCCAATATTAAAAACATAACTCAAAAGGTCCAAAGGAACTTCCTTTACATACATCCACATTCATTCCCACATCCCCTAATACACATGCATTCATACACCAAAAATATTTTCTACTCACTTGAAGGAAATAATTACTATGGTGGGAAACAAAGTCCATTATTCTTCAATTAGAAAACAAAACAAAACAAAACAAAAACAAACTTAGAATAGTTTGAATGAGGTAAATACATTGGCAAATTAATTCACACTAATGTGTAAATGACTACCACTTGAGTATTTTCTAATAATGGGATTTGCCAAAAGGATCCTGGGGCCGTTTAGTGGAGAAAAGTTTTACCAACAAGTCACTGAAGATGCTGAAAAGCAAACATCCCCACATTGCACTGTACAACAAATGAACTCCCACCAGGGGGTCTCAGAATGCAGCCTGCTGTTTTCAGGACCTCTGAGCCACATTTCCTTGGGCCACATCTATACTTGCCTGGTACTGGCAGAGAACTACAAGAGAACCTATTGACAAGGTCGAGTTACATTGTGGCCTCAGAGTCTAATCATTCAGGCCACTCTCCACAGAAGAGTGAAGTTGATCAAGTTTATCTTCTGGTCCCAGACTTTCAGCTCCTGATATCTCTCTGAATACCAGGCCTACTCTGGTGTTTATTTTTCCTGCTCTGCCATCTGGCTCCCAATTTCTGTTGCTCTTTCCTCCTTCCTCCTATTTTAAACCTGCTATCAATAATAGATTTGGTGTCAGTCATTTACCCCATTGGACAGTGCAAATTAACGAGTCTTAACGTGGCTTGGCTAGTTAAGGAACAATTTTTTTTTCTTCCCCTACTGATGATGTTTTTAGTGATTTTGTTTTTGGAAGCAAGAAAACCTTGGGGCAGGGTTGGGTAATGGAGAGTGCTTCCCAGAGCCCCTGAAATCAAACCTGCGGGTCGCTGCCTTCTCTATTCACTCATAAAACTACTCCAGTAATCAAGGGGCTTGGAAATTTGACTAAATTTGTTTTTTGTTTTTCTCTCTGTACATTGACTTTTAAATTTAGATTTGTGAACAGAAGTTTTCTGAAAAGGAATTTGGTGGAAAGGCTTTATTCCCGTTAATAGTTTGAAAACGGGACTGGGCACAATGGCTCAGGACTCTAATCCCAGCACTTTGGGAGGCCGAGGCAGGTGTGTCATCTCAGGTCAGGAGTTTGAGATCAGCCTGGCCAACATGGTGAAACCCTGTCTCTACTGAAAAAATACAAAATTAGCCGGGTGTGGTGGTGGGCACCTGTAATCCCAGCTACTTGGGAGGGTGAGGCTGGAGAGTTGCTTGAACCTGGGAGGCGGAGGTTGCAATGAGCTGAGATGGCACCACTGCACTCCAGCTTGGTGACAAGACTGAAACTCTGTCTCAAAAAAAAAAAAAAAAAAAAAGAAAAGAAAATGGGAAAATGGAGGACACACTTTTCAGTGTAAACCAGGGTGCAGAGAACAAAAGGGGGTTTGGATTTTACAAAGTCAGTGCCCACCCATGTTGCCAGTTAGTTCTGTTTGTGCAAATAAAGGATTCAAACTTGCTTAGTTCTGATTGGTTATTGGAGCCAAGTTCTGATTGGTCAATAGAGCTGAGTCCTGATTGGTTAATTTAACTGAGTTCTGATTGGTTGGTTCGGGTGAGCTCTGAAAGCCCTAAAAAGAAAAAGGTGCTGGTTTTCAGGGTACTTGAGTAAGCTGTCATCTCTAGTCAAAAAAGGGCCACTTGGATCTATTTTAAATTTAGGGCCAGTGGCCGGGCACGGTGGCTCACTCCTGTAATCCTAGCACTTTGGGAGGCCAAGGTGGGCGGATCACCAGGGGTCAGGAGTTTAAGACCAGCCTGGCCAACAGGATGAAACCCTATCTCTACTAAAATACAAAAATTAGCCGGGCATGATGGCGGGTGACTGTAAGCCCAGCCACTCGGGAAGCTGAGATGGGAGAATCGCTTGAACCCGGGAGACGGTAGTTGCAGTGAGCCGAGATCACTGCCACTGCACTCCAGCAGGGACGGCTGCGACTTCGTCTCAAAAAAAAAAAAAAAAAAAAATTTTGGGCCAGTAAACCACGTGAGATCCATTTTGAAGGATGGGCTCTTTGATTTTGACGTTTATTCACAGATGCATCAGCACACATGTAGTTTCATTAGACCAGCCTTTTCTCCATGAGAATGGTATGAAATTTTGCAATGAGCACTCAATTGGAATCAGAGGACTATTGAGGACTGTCTCCAATTGTCAGAGGACTGTTGGACTATTCTTGGGCTCAAAAATGCTGCCACAACTTTCCAGCTTGGCAGGAAGCTTAAGCTTTCTCTGCACCTCTGTTTCCTAATTTGTAAAAGAGGTGGAATTATTTACTTCCCAGCATTATTGTGAAGCTTACATGAAATAACCTATGGAGAATCAATTTGTTAAAGCATTCCTCACTTTTGCAGGCCTTTGAGCTTGAAGTAAAAAACTTTTCCTAGCTAACATGTGTCACGTTTCTAGCTAACATTCTTTCTTGCCCCCTAACATATCCCTTGGAGTAAATATTACATCCCTAGCTCAACCACATGTTTTAAATTTACATTCAGTATAACCATTTTTTTTTAAACCAGAGGCACAAAAATCTCCTACAAGGAGATAATGAAATGTGTCTTCTCTCATCAGTGCAGCAAGGCAGAAATTTATGATCATAATTGCCTACTTTGCGGCAAAGTATCTTTACTATGGTTGCTAATAAGGCAGTCTTTTTCTAAGAACTGCAGGGAAGTGATGTGGAAGTAAAGGTTTTTTGGCCTGAAGGGACATGCTGAGAAATGAAGCTGTTGGCAGAAAACTTATCCTTGGCAGCATTTGGTGGGATGAGGCGATAGACTCATTCCCTCACTCCCTGTGGCCTGTCTCCTTCAAGGCAGGACACCCTAAGCTTAGGGAGCATCAGAGAGGGTGTTAAAGGGTGAGAACACCATTGGCTTGCCTGTTAACATGTTACTTTTGTCGCCCTCAGCCCAGCATCAGCGGGGTGGACCTTGATAAGTTCCGCGAGATTCTCCTGCGTCACTGCGACGTGAACAAGGATGGAAAAATTCAGAAGTCTGAGCTGGCTTTGTGTCTTGGGCTGAAAATCAACCCATAATCCCAGACTGCTTTGCCTTTTGCTCTTACTATGTTTCTGTGATCTTGCTGGTAGAATTGTATCTGTGCATTGATGTTGGGAACACAGTGGGCAAACTCACAAATGGTGTGCTATTCTTGGGCAAGAACAGGGACGCTAGGGCCTTCCTTCCACCGGCGTGATCTATCCCTGTCTCACTGAAAGCCCCTGTGTAGTGTCTGTGTTGTTTTCCCTTGACCCTGGGCTTTCCTATCCTCCCAAAGACTCAGCTCCCCTGTTAGATGGCTCTGCCTGTCCTTCCCCAGTCACCAGGGTGGGGGGGACAGGGGCAGCTGAGTGCATTCATTTTGTGCTTTTCTTGTGGGCTTTCTGCTTAGTCTGAAAGGTGTGTGGCATTCATGGCAATCCTGTAACTTCAACATAGATTTTTTTGTGTGTGTGGAAATAAATCTGCAATTGGAAACAAAAATGTACTGGTAATTGCTTTTGTCTTGTGACCTTTGAAATGTTCTACCTGATGGTTTGACTAACAAACCCCTTATCTAATGGGGATCGGGGGAATGGTGGAGAAGGAGAGTGAAGGGCAATATCTTAAAAGAAATCCACACCACCAATCCTTCTATAGTCCTCACATGCCCTCACTAGGGCTGACTTCCTGGTGAGCTGGCATTAAAGTGAGAGCTGCCAATAATCACTTTTTATTGGAAGGAGGAGACCAGAACACTCATCCTGGACTGGGGTTTGTTCTTAAGTGCTTGGTGAGCTCACATGGCTAGGCAGGTAGATATAGAGAAGAAGTATGAAGAAAATGTTTCCCAAGTAACCCGGGCTCCCCTCTCCATCCCTTCCTTTTCCAACAGTGCTCCCCAGCAAATCTGGGACCACGACAGCCTTCTTCTAGGTACGTGAGTGCCTCTCATGGGTGCCTCTGCATGCTCCTGGCCCCAACATGTGCCCTGCTCTCTTCTCTCCTGGAACTCTGATGCCATCCCCATGGAAAGGAGACTGTTGGGGCAAGGGGAGAGTTTCTGCAGGGTAGGCCCCACTTTCCTTTACTGTCTTCATCCTTTATTCTTCATAACACCCCTACCTTATACTAGACTGTGTAGTAATTTCAGGCTTAGTGAAGTGTTACAGATAATTCAGAAAAATTAGTGTAGAACAGTGTATTTAGAGCTGTTCATAACCCACGAATTCTGTTTACAGGGGTTCCCTTCATTGCACACCGTCGTCCTAACCTGATTTTCTTCCCTTCATGTCACCCTTACCTCCAACATATAGATAATTCATATTAAGAACTGCTATTTACTAAGTGCTTTCTATGTGCCAAGTACTTCTAGGTGCTTTCCATACCTTAAGTAATTTAATCTTCACCAAATCCCTGTGAGATAGGTACTATCATGATACTCATCTTAGAGATGAAGAAACCAAGGTAGATAGAAGCTAAACAATATGTTCGTTATCATAGCTCTTAGAAGTGGGAAGTCAGGGAGTCTGACGCTGGAACCACGTGCTCCTAACCACCACTTTATTTTTTAATTTTTTTTTTTTTTTTTTTTTTGAGATGGGCTTTCGCCATGTTGCCCAGGCTGGTCTCAAACTCCTGGGCTCAAGTGATCCACTCGCCTCAGCTTCTGAAAGTGCTGGGATGACAGGCATGAACCACCATGCCCGGCCAACAACCACTTAATTACAGACAATTTTCACGTACCTTTCAGGAAGCCTTGGCCCCTTCCTGCAGGTTCTTTCTCACAGTGGGATCCGCCACACCTCCCAGAAGAACAATTCTCCAAGTCCGGGTCATTCAACCTGGAGTACACTTTGTAGGAGCTTAAAGAGAGTTCAGGAAGCACCACAGGGTGAACCACACATGCCAGATTCTTCTGTTGATTGTCCAAATGGTGAGCTAACTGTGCACACATACACTCTTCACAGAACAAACAACCATTTTCAGGATTGAGACTGCCTGAACCCACAAAGAGGAAAAGACATTCTCTATTTCCAGGACATCACATTATTCTGCAGTGATTAATTCCTCTTAATCTCCTGTTTTCTTGTTGTGTTTTAAGTAACAGAAGCCTTTTATTTTAACATAGTTGAATTTATTTTATATATATTTATTGCAACATATTTTATGTTTGGTTTGAGAAAACCCACTCTATATGTCACAAATGCATTCTCTTCCACTATCACTTTTTTAAACTTTAAAAAAATTATAGTCATAGATACATATGTGTGTGTTTGTAACATAACAATTGCCATGTAACCATTTTAAGTGTATAATTCAGTGGCACTAATTACATTTACAATCTTGTGCAATGATTACCACTATGTCTAAAGTTTACTCATCACCCCAGACAGAAACTCTGTACCCACTAAACGATAACTCCCAATTTCCCTCTTCTCCATTCTCTGTTAAGCTCTAATCTATGTTCTGTCTATATGAATTCACCTATTCTAGATATTTTATATAAGTTTCATCATAAAATATTTGACCTTTTGTGTCTGGTTTGTTTTACTAAGCATCGTAATTTCATGATTTATCCATGTTGTAGCACATATCAGAATGTCATTCCTTTTTATTGCTGAATTATTTTCCATTGTATGAGTAGTCTATATTTTGTTTATTCATTTGCCTGTTGATTGACATTTGGTTTGTTTCCACCCTTTGGTTATTGTAAATAATGCTGCAAGGAACATTGGCATATGAGCATCAGCGTCCCTGTTTTCAGTTCTTTTGTGTATATATGTAGGAGTGGAACTGGTGGTTCATATATTAATTCTATGTTTGTCTTTTTGAGGAAATGCCAAACTATTTTCCATATAGCTGCAATATTTTACATTCCCACTAGCAATGTAAGAAGGCTCTAATTTTAATCTCCTGTTTCTAAATACAGCTTTTTCTGGAACTGGCAAAAATCAGAACTAGACCCAAGGCTGAGCCATATCTACTTAATTTATGACTCTTCCTTTAGCTACACGAAGAGAGTCTTTGAGGTTTGCTGCTCCTGCAATGGGTGTACTGCATTCTTAGCTAAAGATGTGCATCCTCTTCCGTGTCTATCTAGTGGTGGCTGAGAGGAGGATGAGGATGGGAAGGGACGTTTTATTCTTTTAGGAATAATTTGTTCAGACCCATTGAAAGAAGCTACTTACCTTGAGCACCAGCAAGCTTTTAGTCATGGCACATAGCTGAGACTCTATCAGAAGCTCTCAGGTTTCCTGCTCTATTACAATCTTAAGTTGAAGACCTTTCCAAGCATGCAAAGAAAGGGCTGGTGAGGAATGAGTTAACTATATCCTATAATGTAGGTGCTGGTAGATTCATTTATGGATGGCCAAGGAAGATAAATGGACTTAGGTTTTTCTTGAAAAACCAGAGGCAGATCAGGGAGCTGAAGTAGAGGCTCCTAGTAGGCAGAAGTCTCTTATCAGAGCCCATGTAATATATATTTGATGTGTTGGGAAAAAGTGGAATGGCATCCTGAAAGCTGTGCTTTGGTCCAAAGATGTGTGTTCATCCATTCATTCAACAAATACCTATTAAGAATGAATGAAGCCTTCTTCAATTGGTCAGGCCCTCAGACACCACTCCCTCCCCTGAATTATGATCCCAGGTAGTCACTGTCCTACTCATCTGCCAACTATACCTCCAAATAGTGTTAATTTATATTTATGGATACTTTCCTTCTTAAGTAGATTGTAAAGTTATTGATACCAAGGAATTGTGTATTGCAATCCTTTGTATATGAAGCATTTTAGTTGTAATCAAGAATGCTGTTGATAGTGGTGGTGGTGATGCTGTTGGTGGTGATGATGGTGTTGGTGGACTAAGAATCTACTGCACAACATAGTTGGGGATTGGGCGGTGCTTAATGTAATCTTTTATTGGGTCTACATGATTATAAAGCAAAATAAAAATGTAATTATTTTTGCTGCATAGTGTAGCCTAAAATAAATAGTTAAGTGATAGATCTCAATCACTCATTTTTGTAAAATTTCAGTAAAATTGGTGTGGGTATCCAGCTTTACTTTATCTCTTGATATTGCAATTTCTGGTCAATTCAGCCCCAAATTCTATAAAACCCAGTAGCTGGAGTGGACTTAATATAACAC
Source organism: Homo sapiens (assembly GCF_000001405.40). Lineage (NCBI taxonomy): Eukaryota > Metazoa > Chordata > Mammalia > Primates > Hominidae > Homo > Homo sapiens. Next base: position 25,705,431 of record NC_000006.12, read on the forward strand.
AAATAACAGACTTTCTGATTAAACCTGAACAAGGCTTGGTGTAAAAACAACTTCAGAGGCCTTACTGCCAGACCCATAAGCTTCAGTTTTTCTTCTTGATGACTTATTTGTTTATAAGTTCTTGAAGGCAAAAGCTTATAGGTTTTTGTAGGTTTTTATTTTAGCAATAGTTAGCTTATTTTTGCTTTATCAGGGTCAGGGATACTTAGAGCCATGACCTCCTCTGTGAGACTTTTAGGACAATGTTGAGTTTCTAACTATCATAACAAACAGTCACAACCTGGGAGATAAACACCTGCTTCTGTCTCCTCAAGGACCTTCTCTCTTCATTCCCTCCAGGGTTAAAGGAACTAATTATTTTGACTGTGGACCTTCCCTTGTTTTTCTTAACATTCTGGGCCATCTTCCACTGACATCAGTCCCACTCTCCTCTGCTCCCACATTCCCTCCAGCCTCCCTCCTCTCTCTGCAGTGACTTCACAGCTCCCTAGTCTCTCTTCTTGACCTTTTTCTAATCTCTTCTTTCCACCTTCCATTTCATCCCTTTTGCTCTTGACCAATTAAAATGTGCCCTTTCTTCTTGGATCTCAAGTCCTAACTTTTCCATAAATCTGCTCCAATACTCTCCACTATCTCTTTTCACCCAATTTCTATTATTCTTTAATTAATATCCATAATTTAATCCTAATTCTCCTGTAGTTGCTGTATCTGTGTGTGTGATACATATGTGTGTATGTCACCTCCAACGAGGTGAAAACCTTCCAGTAAGATCTGGAACCCTGGTTTTAGACTTTGGTAGCAACTCCATCTGGCCCTGCCAGACCACTACATGAGTATACATCTCCTAGCACAGTTACCAGCACAATTGAGAAACTTTCATCACCGAGCGATGGAGAAAGCCTTGCCTCTGAGGCTGGTTCCCTGCTATTTATTTCCAATTCTGACTCTTCCTAGCTGTATAGCCTGGGGAAAATCAACAAATCTCTCTATATATCCATTTCCTTATCTGAAAAATAATACTGACTTCTGGTGAAAATGATGCTCTATGTTCAGGATTTGAGCAAGCATATCCCCGGGCCACCACTCCAAATGCATAGCACTGTCAGAATCAGTGATAAGAAATAATTTTAAAAAATAAGGCTCACAAATAAGACGAGACTTTTCCTGTAGGATAAAGCAGAGCCTGAGGTCTTGCTGGGCTCCAGATTCTGAGGCAAGAAGGGGCAGCAGCCGGCACCAGAAAAGTCCCTGAGCAGGGAGAAAGGAGTGGGTCTCACTGCTCAAAACCAGGGGCTGGAGATGGACTTCACAGGCATGAAAAGAGGCTGGAAAAGCTGAGAGGCGCTGCTGGGCCAAAGGCTTATGAGTGGCTCAAACCTAGGGAGCTGGACCTGTGCCAGGTCACTCACTGCACCATTATGCAACCTCTAACATCCACAGCATTTTTAGAGGGAAGGAGTCACAGTCCCCCAGTGCAAAATGTAGGTTTTAAGCTATGGCCCTAAAAGGCCAGTCTTATGTAAGCACCAAGCTACTGGACAAGAACTTAGAAGAGACACAGAGAGAAAGAGAAATAAAAAGAGAAAGAGAGAGAAAGAGAAAGAAAGAGATCATTTTTTATTCACATAAGCCTGCAAACTTTAATTCTAAAGCTCATAAGGTTAGAAATAGAACTATCAGCAATCCTTCTTCTGAGTATATGCCCAAAAGAGAAGAAATCACCACCACCTTGTAAAGATATCTCACCCTGATGTTCACTGCAGCACTATTCACAGTAGCCAAGATATGGAAAAAGTCTACATGTCCATTGACAGATTAATGAATAAAGAAAATGTGGTATATATATTCAGCCCTAAAAAGGAAGGAGAGCCTGCCATTTGCCACAACATGAATGGACCTGGAGGACATTATGCTAAGTGAACTAAGCCAGACACAAAAAAGAAAAATACTGCATGATCTCACTTATATGTGGAATATTTGGGGTTTTGTAAAAAAGAGCTCAAATACACAGAGATAGAGGATGAAACAGTGGTTGGGGGGTGAGGAGGGGACGGCACAGGCAGTCGGGAGATGTAGGTCAAAGGATATAGAATAGCAGGTATACTAGGATGAACAAATTTAGAGATCTAATGTACAACATGAGGACTGAACTTAATAAAATTGTATTAGGATTTTATGTTATATAAGTAGATTTTAGCTGCCCTTGTCACAAAAAATAACCACGTGAGATGACAGATATTTTAATCTGCTTCATTATAGTAACTATTTTACTATCTATATATGTCCCATAACATCATGTTGTAAGACCCAAATATATGCAATAAAATTTACTTTAAAAATAAATAGAGCAAAAAGTTTTTAAGGTCATTGGGAAAAAAGCTCATGAGAAAAGCTAATGCTGAAGAGACTATTACAAAATCAATACCCAGGGAGTAAACAAATGAAATAAAAACAATACAGCCATATAAAAATACCTTCAAAATAGGTATGTTTGTATTTGCTTAAATATATGTAACTTATGTTTGTAAAGGAATCTGTAACTTACTTGCCTCCAGGAAGAGGCACTGGGTGACAGGGTAGGAAGGAGACTTCACGGAATATTCTTTGTACCTTTTGAATTTTGAACCACATGAATGTATTATCTACTTAAACAGATATATAAACATAAAATTTAATAATTATAATACCAGTATATGTTTGCTTAGAACTCTTACAATAATAAAGGTATAATAATTAAAACAATTATTTTAAAATAGGCAGAATGAAATATAAGCAAGTGGACATAAATAAGAACCCATTAAAATAATGAAAATAAAATATATAATTACTGAAATAATATCAGTGCAAGAAATAACTTTTGACGGGTCACAGTTGGAATCAGTGAATACACATATTGCAGACACTTCACACAGGAAGACACACAGAGACACACTAGATAAAAATTAAAAAGAAGATAATAGTTTTTAGAGTCCACAACATATGTCTATAGCAATTGCATACAGAGAATAAAAATAGTGGATCAATACAACTTGAAGAGATAACAATTGAGTTTCCAGAAATGAAGACATGAATCCTCCAAATGTGAATACATATTGAATTCTAAACCTGGTAAATAAAAATAAACCCACACCAGAAACTCTATATTGAAAATGTAGAAAATAAAGGCTAAAAAAATCTCAAAAGCTGAGAAAAAGGAGAAAATTATATACTAAATAATAACTACATTGCCAGTAGATTTTTATCAGCAAAGACAGATAACAAATGGACAGTGGAGTATTTCCAAGTAAGAAAGGAAAATAACTGTTAATCTAAAATGTTACCTATCTAAACTAACACTCAAAATTAGGATGACTTTTTTTTTTTCCCCCTTGAGACGGACTCTCGCTTTGTTGCCCAGGCTGGAGTGCAGTGGCGCAATCTCGGCGCACTGCAAGCTCCGCCTCCCGGGTTCACGCCATTCTCCTGCCTCAGCCTCCTGAGTAGCTGGGACTACAGGCGCCCGCCACCACACCCGGCTAATTTTTTTTTGTATTTTTAGTAGAGATGGGGTTTCACCGTGTTAGCCAGGATGGTCTCGATCTCCTGACCTTGTGATCCGCCCGCCTCGGTCTCCCAAAGTGCTGGGATTACAGGCGTGAGCCACCGCGCCCGGCCTGAAAGACTTTACATAGACAAATATTTTGAGGGCTTTACTCAACTTCCACCATATATTCTTATTAAGAACTACATAAGGATGTATTTAAGCAGAAAACTAAATCCAAAAGGAAGTGTGGGATGCATAGTATGGAAAATGATTTTAAAATATTTAAGCTTTAAAATGGACAGAGATTTGGCTAAAAATTGATTTGTAAGGATGTTCACTACAGTACTAGCTGTAATATACAAAAGTATGGAAACAACCAAGATGCCCAATAGTGTTACTCCAAACTTTGCAACACTTCATTTTTATTAAAAATCTGGACTCTTAAAACATTTTTTTTGAGACGGAGCCTTGCTCTGTCGCCCAGGCTGCAGGGCAGTGGCATGATCTCAGCTCACTGCAACCTCCGCCTCCCGGGTTCAAGTGAGTCTCCTGCCTCAGCATCCTGCGTAGCTCGGAATAGAGGCGCCCAGCAGTTTTGTATTTTTCAGTAGAGAAGGGGCTTCACCATTGTTGGCCAGGCTAGTCTCGAACTCCTGACCTCAGGTGATCTGCCCGCCTCTGGAAGTGCTGGGACTATAGGCGTGAGCCACACGCGCGGCCTAAATAGCTGTCTTTCGTGGATTACATAATAATCTCAGAAACTGTCTTTGTGGCCTATTTTCCTGGGAGTAGAGATTAAAGTATTTTATTGAAAAAAGATGGCAAAAGTATAGTGTTGGAAAGGAGCAGCTCCCTTGTCTTTCTCGCAGGGAATGCGATGTAGCAGTGACCTGCTTCTTCCCTGCCCCGCTGCTGAAATCTCTAGGGCAGTACACAGAGAACCAGGTTATGGTACTGTAACGCTATGGCAGTGCCTAAGGGATCAATGTCTACAACTCCTGAAGCCCCAGCGGACTTGTTACAGGGCCCTGCAGTTTGTCTCGTTGTCTGTAGGCGGCTTATGTTAAACACCTCAATTAAACCGTCTACCGTAAGAACATGTAACTTTCTCTCAAGCTCTTGGTCTATGGATAGGTAGGCTTGGAAAATGAGTGGAAGGTCTTCAGAACGCAGCAGGCATAAAATGTCCAACAGTGGAGAAGCAAAGCTTTCTCCTGCTGTCAGAAGCCTGCTGAACAGCCCGAATCCTCCTGGCTGTTCTGACTGAGCTTCACCCCTTTCTGCCAGTGGATAACTTGCCAGCGGCGTGCTAGTTCTCGTTCTCGCGTTCCTCCAGCAGTATAAAGCTCTGAACGAACAGTTGTCTCTGTGTCCGCTTGCTACGGTCTCGGGGGTTTTTATAGGCACAGGATGGGGGCGTGGCAGGCCAAGAAGGTCTTGGGAAATGCAACCTTTGGTCAGGGAAAAAAACAATGCCTGTCTTCACCTAGGTCCGTGGGCACAGGCTCGGGGCGGACCCCTAGCCAAGGACCACGCCCTCCTCTACCCAGTACTTCTCTTTCCGCTTCGGTACCATTTAAACGGACCATGCCCTTCCTTTCCATATCAGTATTACGCAACTCAAAAAAGGCGCAATGACATTTTAAGATTAAGAGTACAAACAAAAAATTACAAAAAAGTGGACAGGAATGAATTAGGAATTCAAAGTAAAGATCAGATTATTCACTATTTTAGAAGTAGCATTCCAGCAACTTAGAGATACTGTTTAGGAAAAAGAAATGTGTCTATCTTGACTCTATTCCGTTATGTTAAATTAAAAAGAAAAGGCCAGGTGCGGTGGATCACGCCTGTAATCCCAGCACTTGGGAAGGCCGAGGCGGGCGGATCACGAGGTCAGGAGATCGAGACCATCCTGGCTAGCACGGTGAAACACCGTCTCTACTAAATATACAAAAAATTAGCCGGGCGTGGTGGCACGCACCTGTAATTCCAGCTACTCAGGAGCCTGAAGCAGGAGAATCGCTTGAACCAGGGAGGCGGAGGTTGCAGTGAGCCGAGATCGCGCCACTGCACTCCAGCCTGGGCAACAGAGCGAGATTCCGTCTCAAAAAAAAAAAAAAAAGAAAAAAATTACAAGGAAAAACTCCTAATTGTCTATGGAGACTGACAATGGAGATGCGAGAACGTTGAGGGTTGGGTGGCGATGACCTTCAAGAAACCTGATGCATTTTGTGGTATTTCTTATGCTGTGATTCCTTCTCTTCCATTATCCATCTTTATCTTGTCATAATAATCTATCCATTATCTTCCTTTAAATATAGAATTAGTGCTTGCCTAATTGGCTTTCCTGGAATCTAATTAGTTTTAAACATTTTCTCACCTTAATTTTTTGTATGTAAAAATGAAGATGGCGTTTGCAACAGAGTTGAGGTAATCGTTTTCACAGGGAAATCATTTCCAAGGATTTATAACTGTGTTCACTAATTTGTTAGAGCATGAAATGATGAACTCCATTTTTTTTTCTTTTGCACTCCAGATTACAGTCAAGGGAACATCTTTCTTCTTATACCCATCATAAAAAGAGACACAATAGCCAACGGCTTGCCTGCCATCTAGTGCTTACCTATTACCAGAAAAACTTCATGGTAGTGAAAATACGATCCTTCACTACTAATTTGACTTCATTATTTGCAATCAACAAGATCAAAGCCAACTCTTTGGCACAATTTCTTTTGCTAGAAGTTTAAGAAAGTTCACTGGGTTTTTTATTTATGGCAATCTCCTTTGATGTTTATTGAAATAGTTCAATAATGACTAAAATTTTCAAGTTTTTTGGCTGTCGGATTGATGTTTCCCTGAATAAATCACTGTGTATGAGTGGTCCACAAGGCTGCTCAATTTTATGGGCAGCACTTGGTAGTCAGTGTTGCCTGGTGAGTTAACATCTAGGGAGACTATCTGATATATACAGTCTTCTTCCATGAGGGGCTGGAAGCTTCCCCCTGACACAGTGTGGTGAAAGAGTTATTGAACCTGGGGTCTAATCCTGAATGTGAATTCCAGCTTAAGCCATTTTATCTCGGACAAAGTCACCTGACTCTCCCAGGATTACATTGCTTATGTAAAATGAAAGGCCAGATTGATTGATTTCTAAGGTTTCTTCTAGTTCTAACTACATTCTTGATTACAATCCATGTTGAATAATTAATAACCTGATGGAAAAGTTCGCAAATATTTTCATTTTGTATTTTCACTACAGATATTATTCTTTAAAATTACTTGCTAATAATTGTTGCCCTAAAGAAGATTCAGACCGGAAAGTAGCTTTTATGCACTAAAATTCTTCACGGGGCTTGTATACTTTAATAGGGCAGATGCAAGCCATTTGGGCCAAACAAATCCATCCAAAGTTAGAAAAGCTCTAGGATATGTCAGGTCAGAAAGAACATGTAATAGGAAGAAAACCTATATAAATGCGAGGGGAAAGTATATGAACCTAGTTAAATTTTCGAGCCCACCCCTTACTGGCTATGTGCTATTGAAACCGCCACTGCAAAATTGTAACTGCCCTAAAGAAGATTCAGAGCTGAAGAGTTGCTTTTATGTACTAACATACGTAATGGGGCTTGTTTACCTTAATATAGGTTTTATAGCAAAAGCCCCACCCAAGTTCCTAGTCATGTCTGTTTATGCAAATGAGAGATTCAAATTTGTTTAGTTCTGATTGGTTTATACAGCTGAGCCCTCATTGGTCAATACAGATGATCCCTGATTGGTTGGTTCAGGTGAGCTCTGAAAATTCTGAACTTGAACAGAGGTGTGGGTTTACTGGGAACTCAGAGTACTCCTTGTGACTTCTAGTTAGCAACTGATCCTTGGCTCTATTTTAAATTCAGGTCCAGTTAACCACTTGGGATTCATCCTGAAGGACTGGCTTTTTCAGTTTCACATTTATTAATGACAACTTTGCATTTTTTAGTTACCCTGTTAATCAATTTTGGTCAGCTTGTCCAGGCACAGTGGCTCACGCCTGTAATCCCAGCACTTTGGGAGGCCCAGGCGAATGGAACACCTGAGGTCAGGAGCTCGAGATCAGCCTGGCCAACATGGTGAAACCCCGTCTCTACTAATAATACAAATACTAGCTGAACGTGGTGGCGCATGCCTGTAATCTCAGCTATTCAGAAGGCTGAGGCAGGAGAATTGCTTGAACCCGGGAGGTGGAGGTTGCAGTGAGCTGAGATCACGCCATTGCACTCCAGCCTGGGTGACAAGAGCGAAACTCCGTTTCCAAAACACAAAAAATATTACCAGCTTGAATTCTCCCCATTGCACCCTGGGAAGTTCATGGCCCTGGTCTGCAAGTCTCCCAGGTTGTTCCTAAGAACTTCGTCTGTGGAGAAGATATAGAATAAAGAAGAAGATTTGGGGAAAATCAGAAGATCTTAGAGAGCCAGGAGAGCAACCTGGGCTCCTCACTGTCCACCAAAAACAAAACAAAACAAAACAAAACAAAACAAAACAAAACACAATTCCCTTGGCTAGAATAAGAAAGAAAGGCCTTTTGGTCCCAGAGCAGTGGAATTGGGCCTAGCTTCATAACAGAAACCCAGGGAAACAGCAAGCTGTTGGAGGGGAGACTGCCATGTGTCACATCAGGGCTCCCTGTGACCCAAGCATAGCAAAGAAGAATCTGAGAACGAATACTCTCAAACAGCTCTTCTTCATCTGTCAAAATATAATGCCCATTTTTTCTAGACAGTGAAGCAAAATTTTACTCCCCTAGTTATTTGAGTGCAGATGGTAGCAAAATTGAGTTAGGGAATGTTGTGCACAGTTGGGAGAGGGACAGGGAAGGATAGTTTGTGTGGAACCCTTTCTTGGTGCACACTTTGTATTTTTTTTATAAATCTATGCCATTCTGACTCAGCACTGATTACTACATGCACAATGATAGCAATCCACAGGCAAGCATTCATATTGCTAATGATACTGCTTTGCAGAGTGATTATCTGAGAGCCATTCTCAGCTGCTGCATCAGGATTACAGCATTTTTGCAACCACAAATTAAGGCAGGGGTGAAAAAGCCAGCACTTGTTCAGTCAAAAAGAGCTGGCAAAGAGGGCAGCCTGCAATTAAATTAAACATGCTTGTCACCAGGGGGCTGGCAGGCCTGGTTCACATGCTCGAGAGTAGGGGATGACCTTTAACAGATGTAGATTCTCAATATATAAACCCTTGAGTCCAAAGCAGATAAATGAACAAAGTGTTGTAGCTGGCTGCATCACGTTTTTATCTCCATTTGAATAAGCATTTTCTGGGCTTATTGTTGAGATAGAACAAGTCATTGTTGAGATCTCTTAAAGGACCACACCAGCCAGCCCCATCTGCGATCTTATGCTTGGATATCCCAGGGATCAGTTTAACCAAAATCATTCATTTGTGCCAGTCCCTTCAACACTTTCTGAAAATTTTCTCTTTGGCTGTTTTGGATAAGAAAACTTCATTTTCAAATGTTTTGCCTAATATCTTTACCTTAACTGAGGTACACAAAAAGATCTTCCAGAGACAGAGGATCACTTGTAATAGCAAAAGATTCAAGTAACTGACTCAGGAGAGAAGTGTCTGCTAGCAGTAGGACTGGGCTATTTGATATATTTCATGAAACTTCTCTCTACTTCCCATCCTGCCTTTATCAGGAAGGCAAAGAAAAAACTTGATTTCACAAAAGCTTGACCCTTTAATTACTGGCACACTCAGGTTCACAGAAATCCTAAATGGCTTTGTATTGGCCACAACTATTATCTCCAGCAGATTTATAAAACACTGCGAGGCCATATCGCTAGTACTCAGCATATGCAAACGTTTTAACCAGATATGTTTCCTTATATGGGTTCTCTGTTCTAGCCTTAACTTGCCTAGAGCCTTCCTAACCCTTGGTGTGACCCTCTGTCTCCACTCTCTTTTCCACACATCAAAACATTATTCACCTTCAAGCACAGCTCAAAGCTCACTTCTTCCAGGAGGCAGTCCCTGATTAATCAGATGGAAGTGGTCACTTCCCCTCAGGAAATGAGACAGCTGCTCTATGAAGAAAAGAGCATTAGACTGAGAATCAGAAGGGCTGAACCCAAATCCCAGCTTTGCTAAGAACTCATTGAGGGACTATATTAGTTTCCTAGAGCTTCCATAAGAAAGTATCACATACTAGGTGGCTTTAAACAATAGAAATGTATCATTTTACAGTTCTGGAGGCTGGAAATCTGAAATTAAGGTGTTAGCAGAGCTGTTTCCTTCTGAAAGCTATGAGGGAGAATCTCTTTCATGTCTCTTTCCTAGCTTCTGTTGGTTTACTGGCAATCTTTGGTGTTCCTTGGCTAGTAGAAGTGCTACCCTGATGTCTGCCTTTATCTTCACATGGCATTCTCCCTGTTTGCATGTCTGGCTCTGTATCCAAATTTCCTCTTTTTATAAGGACACCATTCATATTGGATTAGGGGCCCACCCTATGCCAGTATGACTTCATCTTAACTAATTACATTTGCAATGATCCTATTTACAAATAGGTTGTATTCTGAGGTACTGAGGGTTAGACTTCAAGATCTGAATTTGGAGAGTATGCAATTCAACCTGTAACAGGGCCCATAGGAAAAAAAAAATCCCTCTCAGTTTCCTGACCTATAAAATAGAGGTAAAGTAGAAATAACTACTCACGGAATCCTTGGAAGGATTAGTGTAGGTAGTTACCTAGCTCTGTGGCTCAGTGGATGCATATGTTAGATTCCATATGTTATCATTTTTATTTTCTGCTGTCTTATTATGCTTTTTACACCTATATATGAGTGGAAGCAGAGAGGAGAGAAGACCCAAACATAATTGATGGTTCCTCCCTGGGGGAAGTGGGGACACCATAACAGCTTCCTTCAGTGAGGCACCAAGCTAGGCAAGGACACAAGCCGTAAGCAAAGAGCTTACAGTCTGTTGGAGGGATTGCAGTGCCAGATGACCCAGCACAACTCATGAGTTAATGTTTGAAAGGTGTAGTGGTCTTTCCCTCAGTTCTTCAGCTGCTGCCTGGGACGCAGGATTTACTTCAGTGGAGTCAGTTATGAGATGCGGCAAGAAGAGAAAGTGCTCTCCAAGTGCGTGTTTATTTTACTGCAAATTTCATTTTCAGATGCATGTTTGTGTAAAATGCCTGTACATTTCCTTTGGACCATCTGCTGTGGAAGTAATAGGTCAGATTCAAGGGTGCTCTTTCCCTGCGGGCGTGGGGTCAGACCGATTCAGATCTTGTTCTCTTACACAGGCAGGGAGCCCAAAACTTGCCTCTGCTGTCCTTCTCTGAGAGTCTACCAAATGGCTTCCTTACTATTGTTGCACAACACTACACATAATTTTAAATTATATCACCCACAATTTCTTTTAGAAGCTCCACAGAAAGACGTCCATAAAATTAGCCCTAGTAGGGTTCTTATTGTTTCATTAAAGGTTTCTGGTAACTTTCTGATGTGATGGAACAGTCATAACTACAAATTTTATACATTTTGGATACATGACATAGGCGTTTGCTTTCTTTTTAGAAAAACGTGAAACTAGGAAGGGAGTGTATTCAGAACTGAGCTCCCTACCTGGCTGATGACAGAAGCATGGGCAGTGGAGGAGCCAGTAAGTGATCTCCCAGGCATTCAGCTCACTCAGCCCCGTAGCCTCCCTTAGAGTGCTTTTCCATGCTTGTGTCTTAAACAATGGGCACAAAGTGATGAATTCGGAATGGACACACAGTAGCTGCTTTTAAGCGTGATTCCACCTGCCTCTAGCTGTCGACATAAGGCCACACTAGAGTAATTTTGTGGCAAATTCTGAGCTTGGTTACAGAACTTTTGGGCAGGCAGGACTCAACAAGCAAATCCCCCCCAGAGGGGGATTATGATTTATATTTGCAAATCACCAAATAAAGTTCACATAAACCTCATGAGAGATTCCTCCTTCCATGCTATAAAGTGGAGGTCAGAAATGTCGAGACTTTCCCCAGGCTCCTCAGGAAGAAAGAAGCAGAGCCAGGACTCACACAGGACTTCTGACTCAAAAGCCTTTTCTCTCATGAGCCACTGGCCATGTGCGGTGGGCAGAAGTGGCTCTTACTCTCCTCCTCAGGAAACTCCCCAGGGCTGAGGGAGGGGATGTGCTGAAGGGTCAGCAGGTGAAAGCAACCCTCACATAGGCCCATTCTGTAGGAAAGGGCAGAGCCCCTGTGCCCCAACATCTACTGCAGCAGAGGCCAGCACTTGAATAAGAAGTGCTGAGGAAGTGACCAGCACTTCTTTCTGAAGCAAGCCTAAATTAAGGGATAGTAAACCCCAGGAAGGAAACTCTGGACTGCTCCACTAGCATGAAGACAGCCAAAAGGGCACCCAGGGTGCTCTGCAACCTTTTGCTCACAGAAGTGGAGGTGCTGAAGGTGCTTACTCTAAACTGAAAAAGGGATATTCTCTGAACTTTCCTCACTCTTTCCCATCCCCAAACTCGCAGACTGTGATAAGCCATAGTTCCACTATTAGACGGTAATCCCCTGCATGGCAAGATCTTTGTATTTCATGGTATTTCCAGAAACTCAAATTGAATCCAACATAGAATAGGCTCTCAGCAAAGGAGTATTAACGATGATATTAGATTTCTCTAGATAGATAAAGATTTCTCAACCCTGGCACTTTTAGCATTTGGGGGCAGATAATTTTTCTTTTTGGGGAGTTGTCCTATGTAAGATGTTTAGTAGCATCCCTGGCCTTGACTATGAGATGCCGGACCCACCACCAGTTGTGACAACCAAAAATGCTTCCCAACATTGCTGAATGACCATTGGTAGCAAAATCAACCTTGGTTGAGAATCACTGCTTTAGAGGAAGAAATGAACTAACATATCTGAGCCTGGGCTATGTGCTGGATGCTTTATTGATGTGATCTCAGTTTGATCTTCACAATAACCCTGTGAGGTAGGTATTACCATGTACAGCTGAACAGACTGAGGCACAGATTATGTAACTGGTTCAAGAACTCTCAGCTTAGATGTAGCAGAGCTAGATTCTGAAGTAGGCCTGTCAGATTCCTATGCTGACAGGAGGCAGAAATAACAACGGAAACAAGATCTGTACAGGCATTCGTGGGTGTTCTACAACTGTTGTTCACATAATCATCATTCTCATGTCTTTTTCAGTTTACTAAAAGGTTGAAGTCTGAATGTATATTTTAAGCACCGATTTCTATTTTTTCTCCGTAGGACTATTAAATGCAGTATTCATAATTTCACTGTAAATTTTCTCCAGTGTCACTTCAGAAATGTATTAAAAGTCAGATATATTTTCACATGGAATGACTACTGGGCTCCCCCTGGTGTTAGCTTTGATTATATTTGACTTTAAAGGAGCTCATGTGTGACCGCATTTCAAATTAATGAGAGCTTTCTCTAAGAGGCAGTTTAAAAAATTCAGCTGGCTCTCATTGATTGCATTATAAAATTGTTTTATTCAGATTTTGCAAATATTATATTTAAGGGCCTAATGTAACTTAAGTTTTATAATGTTACAAAACAACTAATTTGAATTTGTTGTTCAAATTATTTTTTATGGACCCAAAGAGACATTTGAGAATATGGGAGTAACTGGCAAAAACAAACATATACAGTCATGAGCCACATAACAATGTTTTGCTCAATGCCAGACCACATATATAACGGTGGTCCCATATATTATAACACTATATATTTACTGTACCTTTTCTATGTTTAGATATTCAAATACTTACTATTATGTTACAGTTACCCACAGTGTTCACCACAGTAACATGCTGTACAGAAACCCAGGAGAAATAGGCTATACCCTATAGCCTAGGTGTGTAGCAGGCTCTACCATCTAAGTATGTGTAAGTACACTCTGATGTTAATACAACGAAATCGGCTAATGATAAATTTCTTAGAATGTGTATCCCTGTTGATAAGCAATGTATGATAGATGTGTGTGTGTATATATATATACACACACACACATATATATGTATGATAGATGTGTGTGTATATATATATATGGAAATGTTCAGTCTCACTTTGATGAAAAGAAGTGCAAACCAAAATAATGTGGTAATGCTGTACTCTACCAACTAAACAAATTTTTCTTTAAATAACACCAAATTATGTGAGGGCAAAATAAAATTGAAACAGTCATGCTTTGCTACTGGCCTTCTGGTGCAATAATCTGGAATAGTAACAATATGCAGAAAAAGGCATAAAATCTTGTGTATTCTTTGACCTAATCATCCCATATCTAGGAATGGTTTAAACAAATACTTCAGAAGGAGTTAAAGCTATTTTTGCATAGATGTTCATTACAGCATTGATTGCAATAATAAAATATTGGAAACAGCCTAAGTAGTTAACAGTGATCAGCTTGGCCTGGCCTGGTGGCTCATGCCTGTAATCCCAGCACTTTAGGAGGCTGAGGCAGGTGAATCATCACGTGCCTGTAATTTCAGCTACTCGCGAGGCTGAGGCAGGAGAATCATTTGAACCTGGGAGGCAGAGGTTGCAGTGAGGGGGATGTTGTGCCACTAGACTCCAGCCTGGGTGACAGAGTGAGACTCCGTCTCGAAAAAAGAAAAAAAAATTCCCCCCAAAATATCCCAAACAATGAAAGATGGTATATTTAACTAAATTATGGTACAACCACTTTAGTATAGTTGCAGTTAAGGTGGGCTTTAGAGTCAGACTATCTGGGTTGAAATGCTGGCTCCAGTGCTAGTTCTGTTGCTCCAAAGAAGTTGAATCTCTTCATTGGTAAGGTGGGTATAATAGTAGTACCTAGCTATAGGATTGTTTTGAGGATTAAACAAGATCAAGTGCATAACACATTTAGAAAAAAATGTGTGGTACAAAGTGCTCAGTATATGTCTTGATGCAGCTATTGAAATTGAGAATTTAAAAATAAGAATTATAAAATTACATAACCACTTAAAAATCTAATGTTATGATATATTTCAAAAAACATGATATTGAAAGAGAAAAATGTTCTCTATAAGCATAAAGGTTGGTGGAAAAAATACAAAAATAAGAATAAATATGTCAAAATGGGAAATGATTGATGACCTTTCCACTCTCAATTTTCTATTTTACTATTATCACTTAAATACTAAAAAGTAAGCAGCTGGAACTCAGAAAAAAGTGTTTTAATTTATGTATTCAACCAGTCATTAATTGGTGTCTTCTGTGTTTTAGGCACTGCAAAATTTGGCTCAACAATTAAAACATTCTCATAAAAAGCTTTATAGTTTTATAAATATACAAAGCTTTGTATTTTAGTAGAAGAGACAGGCATAAACATTAACACCTTTAACTAGAATGTGCAACAAGGTCACCAGAAGGACATCTAAATGACTCTAAGATGGGAGGGGGGGAATCGTCAAGGAAAGCTTCACAAATGATGTAATGTATAAACGTATCCTTGAAGGACGCATAGAAACTAATTAAACGAAGAACGGCAAGAACATTCTAGAAAAGTTACACAACTCATAAAGACACAGGTGAATTAAAGTGCAATGGGTTCAAGGAACTGCAAGTAGATTGGTTATGACCACAGCATAGGAGAGTGTGGTAAGAGCCTGGTGAGACAGCTAGGGGGAGCAGTTGAGAGATGTTAATCGGAGAAATGGCAAAGGGAGAGAAGTCCTTATGTATGTAAGACTTGATGATGGGGGGTATGTGGGTGGTGAGTAAGAATAAGGAACTTCGGCTCCAGGAGGACAGGATCTCATCTGATGTGTACAGCACTGTTTCTCCAATGCTGGAAATATCTATCAAAGAGACACTGCAGGAGAAAGAAAACACCGTATGCATGTAGATGTTTGTTTCAGCATTATTTATAATAGTAAAACGATTAGAACTGTGCCTGATACTTCGTAAACTCTCAATATCATAAATCTATGACTCTAAAGTTTAGGGAAGAGGCCGGGCGCGGTGGCTCATGCCTGTAATCCCAGCACTTTGGGAGACCGAGGTGGGCGGATCACCTGAGGTCAGGGTTGGAGATCAGCCTCACCAACACATAGTGAAACCCTGTCTCTACTAAAAATACAAAAGCTAGGCGTAGTGGCACAAGCCTATAGTCCCAGCTACTTGGGAAGCTGAGGCAAGAGAATCGCGTGAATCCAGGAGGCGGAAATTGCAGTGAGCCAAGATAGTGTGGCTGCAATCCAGCCTGGGCGACAGAGAGAAACTCCGTCTCTCAAAAAAAAATATAATAATATTTTTTAAAAAAATAAAGTTTAGGGTAGAGGACTCAGGTTTCTTTGGGACACTTAAGCATATAGATGACAATTAATAACATACATTTTAGAGACAGATAGAAACAGAGGCATACTGGTAGACTGACAGAGACACAGTAAGAGGTTTATGGTTTTGCTATTAAACTCATGAATTATGCTTTAGTGTGTTTTTAACATTCCAATATGTGGTAGGGGTGATTACCTTTTTCCAAGACAGACATATTAAAATATACACTATAATTGTGAATGTATTCTTTGTCATACATTTCTGCTGTTTGTTTTCTATAAAGCTGTGTTTTGGGGTGTTAACACAATGAGAAATAGTGTATCTACCTATATTTTCCGCTTTTAATTTTCAAATTACTTTTTCATTAAATATTATCTCTGCCATTAATTTTGCAAAATAATTTTTTTGGGGGACAGTTTTGTCTGGAATGTAATTTTTCCACTCCTTTTCTTCTAAATGTTCTTCTGTGCCAATAAATTTTAGGTATTTTATAACCAAGGTATAGCTGTGTTTTACTCCTAGTCAAATACTGTCTTTTAAATGGCAAATTTAATCGGTTAAACTTCATTTTGATATTTGGACTCATTTCTAATGTTTGACTTTGCATTCTAATTTGTCATGCCAGTCCTTTCTGATTTCCTGCTTTCCACTGGACTATTTTTTTTTTTTGCTATTACCTTCTTTCTAGTCTACATTAATTTTATTATTTTAGTGGTTACATTTAATATCATAAAATATAAACCTGACTTAAGAAAATATAACAATCAGTATGTCTGTCCTCCTTATAAACAGTACAAGGACATCAACATGCTTTAATTTGTTTCAGCCCCTTTCATCTTCTGTAACTACTCTCCAGTGTTTTTGGTTTTTTTTTTTAATATTCTAGTATTATTGTAGGTTTTTTTTTTTTTACAACTAGTGTATTTATTTAGATAGATTTATACTTTTACCTCTTCCTTTGGCAATATTATTGCTTATTGCATCTCAGTCTTTCTTCTGAGTTCAGTCTTTTTATTTCAGTACATTCTTTAGCATTAATTCTTCTAGTATGAATCTGAGTGGCAAAACTTTCCAATCTTTGTCCAAAAATTATTTCACCCTTACACAAAAAAGAGTTCATCTGAGCACAGAATTTTAAATTGAAAGGTATTTTGCTTTAGAACTTAGAAGGTGTTATTCTATCGTTCCATGACTTCTGTGATTTCTGATGAGAAATCCATAACATTGTAGTGGAGGAAGCAAAACTTTACTTCTACCCTCAGGATATTTTGGTTGGGTTTGAGAATTAAATTGACATGAGAGGTCAACAGGAGAAAAGCATATAAATTTATTGAATGGAAGTTTTACGTGGCACAGGAGTAGGAAATGAAGACCCGAAGACAAAGAATGGAATGCTTATGTGAAGAATCTGACAAAGTGAAGTAAGTTGTGAAAATGTGACAGCAAAGGGGCTTGGGTTAGAGTAATTAATTAGGTGGAGAAGTGACTAGAGAGGTAAGGGTTGGTGTAACAAGGTTTATTTGTACAGATTTTCCTTGGCCTTAATTTTCTGTCCTTGATGAGAATGATACTTTCCTTCTGGTATAGGGAGGGCATCTTTCATCTCCTGCTTTTAAGAAACAAAAGGAAGGTCAGAGTGTATGTGCATCTGCTGTTTTTCAAGTGTCTATCTCCAAATAGTCAATATGTCAGAGTGACATATTTTGAAATGGTGTGTTCTGAATTCCTTCAACGTGATTTATCATAAAAAGTAAAAGGAGGCTGAGCATGGTGGCTCATGCCTGTAATCCCAGCACTTTGGAAGGCCGAGTCGGGCGGATCACCTGAGGTCAGGAGTTCGAGACCAGCCTGCTGAACATGGCAAAACGCTGACTCTACTAACAATACAAAAAAAAAAAAAAAATTCGCTGGGTGTGGTGGCAGGCGCCTGTAATCCCAGCTACTCAGGAGGCTGAGGCAGGAGAATCGCTTGAAGCCGGGAGGCGGAGGTTGCAGTGAGCTGAGATGGTGCCATTGCACTCCAGCCTGGGTGATAAGAACAAAACTCCGTCCCTGCCCTCCCCACCCAAAAAAAAAAAAAAGTAAAGGGAAAAAAGTGGCATATATTTGTCTCAGTTGCTGCTGAAGTTTTATTGTTAATAGCCAATATTTATTTTTAATTAACAACTTTTAGCAATTTTGGAATTACACAAATCCCATAAAAACCCAGCATTAGGCATAAGACAGTGTCATATTAGTCTGATTATAATAAAAAATAAGTCAGCCGGGCATGGTTGCTCACGTCTGTAATCCCAGCACTTTAGGATAAGGCCAAGGTGGGTGGTCAGGAGTTCGAGACCAGCCTGGCCAACATGGTGAAACCCCGTCTGTGCTAAAGATATAAACATTAGCCAGACATGATGGTACATGCCTGTAATCCCAGCTACTTGGGAGAATGAGGGAGGAGAATCGCTTGAATCCAGGAGGCAGAGGCTGCAGTGAGCTGAGATCAGGCCACTGCACTCGTCTGTGCGACAGAGGAAGGCTGTTGGGGGGGAAAATAAGTCAATATCACCATTTTTATTATCACGTGTAACTATTAGACAATGCATTTAGACAAAGTCAACTATTTAAAACAACAGGACAAAATTATATGATTTTTCTGCCTACCTGGAAAACCACAGAGGAAAAAAGCTGGACAACAGAAATGACAGAATAAGGAAGGAAATACAAACCAGTACGAATATCAAGAATGTTCTATCTGTAAAACATCGTCAATCAGAAAACATAATAAAAGAAACCCTTCTAATATTTCCCCAAAATACAGTAATAAAAAAGAATACCTGGAGATAAACTCTATGAAACGTGTGAAAGTTCTATAAGAAGAAATCAAGGCTGGGTGCGGTGGCTAACACTTGTAATCCCAGCACTTTGGGAGGCTGAGGCTGGCGGATCACCTGAGGTCAGGAGTTGGAGACCAGCCTGGCCAACATGGCGAAACCCTGTCTCTACTAACAATACAAAAGTTAGCTGGGCGTGGGGCAGGCGCCCGTAATCCCAGCTACTCAGGAGGCTGAGGTAGGAGAATCACTTGAACCTGGGAGCTGGAGGTTGTAATGAGCCGAGATCACGCCACTGCACTCCAGCCTGGGTGACAGAGCGAGACTCTGGCTCCAAAAAAAGAAGAATCAGAAACTTCTGTAGGTAAATTGTTTTGAAAAATCAAGGGGGCATGTCTCCTGTAACATGTATTCACAATTTTTTAATATATTTTATTCTATCTAAACATTTAGTTTAATGCAATTTTAATAGGATTGCATTAGAGATAGAAATAAAAGTATTATGTAGTGCATTTGGAATAAAAGAATACACAGGTTCTCTTCTATAAAGTCAAGTCCCTCCTCCTCTGCCTTGGCAAGTCTGAGAAGTTAAGTGCCACTTTCTTGACAAAGTATCTACATTAATTACTTGGAATTCATCTGTTTAGGTTTGTCTTATATCCTGATTTTAAGTTTTACATTTGCCATGTTCTAAATATTACCCAGTTTTATTCAACATATAGTTGCCATTTCTGTTTTCAAATATCTTCAATTTTTGCCGTCCCTAACTGCATCCCTTATTTATTATGTATGCAGGTTAATTCATACTTTTGTAACTTGATTGTCCTTACTCGGCATGTTTTATTTTATAGAACTTTACCTGCTTCTATACATGCCTTATTATGTGTAGACATCAAGTGTTTAGCAGTTTTTTTTTTGGTAACCAAATGATTTTTTTTTTTTTTGAGGTAAGGTCAACTGTTGAATATCGTACAATAATTTTTAATTTAGTTATTTGGCAGCGTTACTGAATGGGTTTTGCTTTTCACTTTCTCTTGGTGTTTACAGCACAAACTGCAAACACAGATCAACAAACTATTTTGCCTCTTTTCAACAGTCAAAACTTTTGAAGCATATACTCTTCCAAATTTCTAAACTTCAAATTATGTTCGGCCTTCTAGTCCCATTCCTGCCTGAGTCTAACACTAGTATCTCACCATCACATATGGCGTAAGGCTTCTTTTTGACATATTTTACTTACATTTTAAGAAATAATTCTATTATTCTTTACAAAGTACGTGAAACCACAGGTATCAAATATATATGCTTACCCAAATTTTAAGATTAACTTACTTACATGCCACATTTAATTATGAGTATTTCGTGAAACTACCATATTTGAAAGGAAATTCTCTAAAATGTACTTTAACCAGCCAGACTGATGTTACCTGGATTTAAACAGGAAGATTACACCTCTCCTGCTTGTAATGCAATTTTCACTTCCATGTGTAACCCTTAACATAACTAACATACATAAATCTAGTTTGAGATAGTCTCGCTCATGTCACCCAGACTGGAGTGCAGTGGAGCAATCAATCTTCGTTCACTGTAACTTTCGCCTCCCGGACTCATGAACAACCCTCCCACCGCAGCCTCCCGAACAGCTGGGACTACAGGCCTGCATCACCAGACCCAGCTAGTTTCTGTGGGGACAGGGTCTCAATTATGTTAACGGTCAAGCCCCAGGCTTGAACGACCCTCCCGCTCCAACCTCCACTGAAGTGCAAGTACTGACTGCTCACAAGCGTTAAGCCACCTCGCCCAGTGACATATATAACCAAAATTACCTCAAACTAATGGCCGATGGAACGCTCCTTGAAAATTCAGTCCCCGTACATTCCCGAAATGCGCTTAAACGGGCATTTGTGACAGGCAAGTAAGATGGCTGGTTAACAGCAGTAACGTTTTGTAACGTACAGCCTTTTTCTGAGACGGTAGGTGGCTCTGAAAAGAGCCTTTTGTTTTTTCTGACACAGAAGTCTTTTTACCAATGACAACCTTAAGTTACTTGCTTTGGGCTTTATGGTGGTGACTCTCAGTCTTCTTGGGCAGCAGCACTGCCTGAATGTTAGGCAGGACTCCGCCCTGGGCAATGGTCACGCCGCCCAAAAGCTTATTGAGTTCCTCATCATTGCGGATCGCTAGCTGCAGGTGGCGGGGAATAATGCGAGTTTTTTTGTTATCGCGAGACGCATTGCCTGCCAGCTCAAGGATTTCTGCTGTGAGATACTCTAACACTGCCGCCAAATACACTGGTGCGCCTGCCCCTATCCGCTCTGCATAGTTTCCCTTACGAAGCAGACGATGGATCCGGCCTACGGGAAACTGCAAACCCGCTCTAGAAGAGCGAGACTTAGACTTGGCGCGTGCTTTTCCTCCCTGCTTCCCTCGTCCAGACATCTCCTCGCATCAAATTGCAGCAACACGAGAACCACATTTCTAGGGCTGCTACTGGGCCTATTTATAGTCTGACTGAGGTTGGCATTTGCTATCTGATTGGCTGATGGCCGTCTACCCAATCAGAAAGTCGTACTAGAATCGCCTCATTTGCATTCACGCCACTTCCCATTGTCCAATCAGATTTTGGATACCGAACGCGGCGTTTGAGGGCCGTGCCTATAAATACCGCATCTTTCATCCTCCAGTTCTGTTTGTTTACTTGGCGAGACTTGGAGCTGAGGTCATTTGGAGCTGTTTAATACTGAAGAGCTGTTGAGCACTGGAAAGTGCTGTGTAACCCTGGAAAAGAACCGTGTAACGCTGCAGAAGTGTGTGGTAGCTATGCCGGAGGTGTCATCTAAAGGTGCTACCATTTCCAAGAAGGGCTTTAAGAAAGCTGTCGTTAAGACCCAGAAAAAGGAAGGCAAAAAGCGCAAGAGGACCCGTAAGGAGAGTTATTCTATTTACATCTACAAAGTGCTAAAGCAGGTCCATCCGGACACTGGCATCTCTTCGAAAGCTATGAGCATTATGAATTCCTTCGTCACTGATATCTTTGAGCGTATAGCGAGCGAGGCATCACGTTTGGCTCACTACAGCAAGCGCTCCACCATTTCTTCCAGAGAGATTCAGACAGCAGTGCGCTTGCTACTGCCGGGAGAGCTGGCTAAACATGCTGTGTCTGAGGGCACCAAGGCTGTCACTAAGTACACCAGCTCCAAGTAAGCCTGCTAAGTAAACGTCATTTCTAACCCAAAGGCTCTTTTCAGAGCCACTTAAACATACTGAAACAGCTGTGGGCTTCGTTTTTGTGTAGTTTCTAACCGTAAGGGTTTTTTTTTTTTTTGAGGCGGAGTCTCACTCTCCCAGGCTGGAGTGCAGTGGCGGAATCTCGGCTCACTGCAAGCTCTGCCTCCTGAGTTCACGCCATTCTCCTGCCTCAGCCTCCTGAGCAGCTGGGACTACAGGCTCCCACCACTACACCCGGCTAATTTTTGTATTTTTAGTAGAGACGGGGTTTCACCATGTTGGCCAGGATGGTCTCAAACTCGATCTGGTGATCACCCACCTCGGTCTCCCAAAGTGCTGGGACTACAGGCGTGAGCCACTGCGAATATATCCAAATCAGCTGTGGGCCGAGGGTAGACGAACTAGTTGCAGCAAGACAATCCTTGCTAGGCACCGTGACTCGCCTGTAATCCCAGCACTTGCAGAGGTCGAGGCTGGCGGTTCATGAGGTTAAGAGACGGAGACCATCTTGGCCAACAAGGTGAAACTCCGTCTCTACTAAAAATACAAAAATCAGGTGGGCGTGGTGGCGTGCACTGTAGTCCCAGCTAATTGGGAGGCTGAGGCAAGAGAATCGCTTGAACCCAGGAGCCGGAGATTGCAGTGAGCCGAGATCGTCACTGCACTACAGCCTGGTGACAGCGAGACTGTCTCAAAAAACAAAACAAAAAAACCCCCTAGTTTGTATAAAAGCTACATGCTGATACTGGTATATTTAAGGTTAGCATTACACATAATAAAACTAAAAAGCGCAGCGACATAGACAGTATAACTTGCATTATGATCCCAAATTTTAAGACCTCACAAAAAGGGAATAGTTTAGAGGAAGTTACGTTTTGTGCCACAGGTAAGTCAAGGTGTGGAAATGATTGTGCGAACTCTGGAGAACTCACAAATCTGGTTAGCAGGAATTAAACGGATTTAAAATGTCCCTTAATTTTCTTAAATTTATAATAGTTTCCTTCATTGTCATGTTACTGGTTGTTGGACTCCATCTGTAAGAGCTCCCAAGCATTAAACTGATTTCAGCCACCTTAAAAATGGATCAAATATTACTTCCTGGAAACCTGTGGTTAGCTGGAATTCTCAATTTGTTTAACGCATCTTCATTTAACCTTTATCTTTTAACAAAATTTTGGATATGTATATGTGCTTTCTCTACATTAAAAAGTTAGTACCGGCCGGCGCGGTGGCTCACGCATGTAATCCTGCACTTTGGGAGGCAGAGGAGGGCAGATCACGAGGTCAGGAGATCGAGACCATCCTGGCTAACATGGTGAAACCCTGTCTCTACTCAAAATACAAAAAATTAGCTGGGCGTGGTGGCACGTTCCTGTAATTGCAGCTACTTGGGAGGCTGAGGCAGGAGAATCCCTTGAACCCGGGAGGCGGAGGTTGCAGTGAGCCGAGATCGCCCCACTGCACTCCAGCCTGGGTGACAGAGCGAGACTCCGTCTCAAACACAAACAAAAAAATATATCAATGTATAACAAGACCCGTTAAAATAAGTGCCCCCACACTTTTGTGAACAGTAAGACAGTCCCTGCAAAGCCCCTGCATGCTTTAGCTGGGAAATCTTCCAGGGAGGTGACAAATTGGGGGGAAGGGGCATCTAGCATCTATGCTCACCTTGTATTGGGGATGGGATCATCTCTAATCAGGGATTCATGCTTCTCTAACACCTTGGAAAACAGCAGGTATCACATAGCTGCCAAATAACCTGTCGACTTTGTGACCACTGTCAGACTACCCTGATTACCCAAGGACTTTTAGGCTTATTTGGGCAATAGATAAGTAGGAATACCAGCAAATAAAAACTGTTTTCAGACCAAACTTCATGTAGCTTTTATATCAGATGTATTTTGGCTGCAAATAATAGGAAATGCTAGCTGAACTGGTTGAGATAAGTAATGCAACCAAACAGGACAACATAAAGGCAGAGAAGTTCCACCAATAGGATAATCACAGCCCTGGCTCCACTACCCTGCAGTCTTGCCTCTGCCCTTCTCCACACTGTGACTTTGCCATCATACTAGTTACAGTTGCAAGTGTTCATGCAGAGAGGATAGGATAAAGTAAAGGCAGGAAGAGTCAGTCTATTCCACTGGGTCTTGGATTGAAAGCAAGAGGAGTCTTCCCAGAGGACCCGTTCCTCTCAGGTCCATTTTCTAGAACTGAGCTAGTTCAGGTGCTGCCTGAGTCATTCACCTACAGAAAACCACGGGATGGGTGTGAACTGATCATCTACCTTCATATATATTTGGCATTTTAAAAAGTTAAATATAGTTCTGGGTATTTTGTTTTTGTTGTTACTGTAAATGAGGTATTTCCTATTCATTATTTTTTAACTTTTTTTGTTATATATGTAAGACTGCTTTCCGTGCATTTTTTTTTAATATCCTTCTAGTACCTCACTGAATTGACTTATTTTCCTATTGGTTTCTTGATAGATTTTCTTGAGTTTTACATGTTTGCAATATAGGTTGAGCATCCGTAATCCAAAAAGCTCCAACATTCAAAACTTTTATTGTACTATTGATTTCTTTGCAAGTCTAGCTGATCCTATACACAGCTTAATATAAATTTCTAAGTGCATGCAATAAAATACTTAATACTATTAATAAAACAATACCAAATTGAGTTTTCAAAATATTTTTTAAAATGTGTGATATAGTAATATTTGTGCTTCAAATAAGATTGAAAATGGTAATATTTTAGTGCATACATTGTGGAAAACAGTATAGAATTTCCTCAAAAAATTAAAAATAGAACTACCATATAATCCAACAATCCTACTACTGGGTATATATTGAAAGGAAATAAAATCAGTTTCTCAAAGAGATATCTGTACTCCCATGTTCATTGCAGAATTATTCTCAATAGACAAGATATAGAAAGAACATAAAGGTCCTTCAGGAGATGAATGGCTAAAGAAAATGTGGCATACATACATAATAGAATACTATTTGGCCTCAAAAAAGAAAAAGAATTCTGTCATTGGCAGCAACATGGATGAACCTGGAGGATGTTAAGTGAAATGAGCGAGGCACAGAAAGACAAATGCTGTATGATCTCATAAGTGGAATTAAAAAAAAGTTGAACTCATATAAGTAGCAGAGTGGTGGTTACCAGTGGCTAGAGTTGGGGAGTGGTGGGAAGATATTGGTTAAAGGATATGAAATTTCACTTAGGAGGAATAAGCTGAAGAGCTCTATTGTACAATATGCTGATTATAGTTGGTAACAATATGTTGTATTGAAAATTGCAAAGAGTAGAGTTTAAGTGTTTTCATAAAAAATATGTGGGGTAATGCATATGTTAATTAGATTGCCATTCCGCGATGTATACATATTTCAAAACATCATGTTGTACACAGTAAATACACAATTTTTGTCAATTTAAAAAATGAAAATAGTTGGGTGGAGAGTGGTTTTTAGGGAGGCAAGATTAAGAGCAGTGAGATTAATTGGAAACTAATTCAGGTGTGAGATCATGAGTATGCAGACAAAAATGTTAGCGGTGGAGATGGTGTATAATCAGACAACAGAAATATGTAGGAAGTAAAATTACCATATCTTGAGAGACTGAAGTGGATGGAGGTTGAACAGAGACTATTAGGGAAAAAATACATTTCTGGCTTGGACAACCATGTGAATAGGGTGGTACTCATGGATATAGAGAATGCAGAAGTTCAGGAACAGTTCTGTTGGGATCAACTGGAAATCCCTGTGGAGATAATTCTTAAGCGGCTAAGCAACATAAGAACTGTGATATTGAGTAAGCAGTTTACTGGAGTTCACAGAGACGCAGAAACCTTAGGCTTTGGACCTCAAATTCCAGCAGTTCAAGGGGAGTTAGCCTGATCACTTTTCATAATGTGCAAGAAAAGGAGCGTAAAAAGCACAAGAGATGCTGCAAAGAGAGCTATTCTATTTACATCTACAAGGTGCTGGAGCTGGTCCACCCGGACTTGGAGAATGTTTTGCACACATTATGGCCAAAGTCAAGAAAAAGCAAACAGCCTAATGCTCAGTGCCAGACTTCCCTAAGTGGGGAGCTCCAGGCCTTTTTTGCTGTCATCGTAGAGTGTTTGTAGTAGAAAACGTCATAGACAAAAAAGCCGTATTTCCCCATGGCACTGTCCACAGAAAGAATATCCCCATGAACCCAGGATTACGGGAGCTCCCATTTAATTGCCTCGGCTGTGAGATTTTAGCTTTCACCAATACTGGGGCAGATACAGTTGATTAATGCAAAGTTTAGACTTAAAGATAACCATGTTATGCCTAGTCTAGGAAAAAATTATCAGTCTGGCAACGAGGCATACTCTATAATAAAATAAACATTCTACAGCCCTATTAGAAACTTTCATTGGCTCTTAAAAGAGCCTTTGGTTTGTGGAGCTCATCTGCTGGCCCTATCATGTTTTACTTGGAGCTAGTGTACTTGGTGACAGCCTTGGTGCCCTCCGACACAACGTGCTTGGCTAGTTCCCCAGGCAGCAGCAGGCGCACGGCCGTCTGGATCTCCCTGGAGGTGATGGTCGAGCGCTTGTCATAATGCGCCAGGCGGGAAGCCTCACAGGCAATGCGCTCAAAAATGTCACTAACAAAAGAATTCATGATACTCATGGCCTTGGAAGAGATTCCAGTGTCCGCGTGGACCTGCTTCAGCAGCTTGTAGATGTAAATAGAATAGCTCTCTTTGCGGCATCTCTTGCGCTTTTTGTCCTCCTTCGAGTTTTAGCAACTGCCTTCTTAAAGCCCTTTTCGGAAATGGTAGTGCCCTTTGAAGCAAGCTCCAGCATGTTTATCTTCCAAGTTCACAGGGAGATCACTAACTGATGTTTGACTGGAGTGAAGCGTGATATTTATAGGCATGGCCCTCAACCTACGTCATTTGCATCCAACATCTGATTGGATAATAGGTAGAGTATGTAAATAAGGCAATAGCAGTAAGGTTCTCTGATTGGATAGATGGCTATCAGCCAATCAATCAGATAATCCACAATCTGCTGTCAGACTAGAAATACGCTGAGTACCCGTTTTAACGGGTGTCTTTTTCCGTTATAACTTTTAGTTTTGGGCTATGTCTTAGACTAGGGAAACTCGGGGGAAGGGTACGCGCTATTCATTCAGAGAGGTTCTGCAGTTCCCCGTGGGCGGTGTCAACGGGCTGCTCAGCAAGGGCAACGATGCCGAGAGGGTCGGGGGCTGCACGCTAGCGTACCTGCCGGCGGTTCTGGAGTACCTGGCCTCCGACACCCTGGAGTTGGCGGGCAACGCCGTCGGAACAAGAAGAAGACCCGCATCATCCCGCGCCACCTGCAGCTGGCCATCCGCAACGACAAGGAGCTCGACAAGCTGCTGGCCCGAGTGACAATGGCTTAGGGTGACGTTTTGCCCAACATCCAAGCTGTGCTGCTGTCCCAAAGGATTGGGAGCCACTACCACAAAGTCCAGTATGAATAACCACCCAAGTTGTAAAAGCCAGCGAAGTGACTTGAATGTCTAATGTCTAGAAGAAACAAAAACAAAAACAAAAACAAAAACCCCAAAGCTGAAATCAAAGGCCCTTTTCAGAGCCACTCAATTTCTGAGAAAGAGCTAGTTTACAAAAGGATTACAAAATGCTGTTTCGTCAATAAGACTACAGCTTTCGTAAACAGGACTCAGAACAGTTCTGGTTATTGGGGTATCCGAAGCAGTTTCCTTTAATACTCGGTAGTATTGACAGCAGAACTTGATGTTTCTGGGTGGAACTGTTTCAGCACCTACTTCAGGTAGGCAGAGCAGTGATTATAGCAGGCTCCTGGAAGGGAAAATGCCATTCTTCTTGGGAAAATGAACAAACAAATTAGGATGTTATTGTGACAACCTATGTAATTCCTGAGAAAAATAATGTGAAGATGGGGAATCATATTTTGGGGGTTGAATTTTAGTTAGAGTGTCGAATTAGACTAAATGATTAGAAGGAAAGGAAGATTTGTAAACTTGCAGCTTTCAGCACAACTCTTGTTGGGAGAGCATGACTGTATGGACATCAGTCAAGGAATGGGCATATCTAAACATACTCCTAGGGCGCATGTTTTCTTCTGCCAAAGAATTACCTTCCGAGAATTCTAGGATGGTTATATGTCTAGAAGACCGTAGCCATGCTATGTTAATAAACCAAAAGATAAAAGGTACATACAGGTATGTGATACCTTACTTATGTGAAGTGCTTAATACACTATAATAAAGTTTATAATGTTTATAAGGTTTATAACATACACACTAAGATACAAACCTATAATTAGCCTTTGGTTTGAGATATAATGGACACACTGAGATATAAATATGTTCATACTTATAAATACTCGTATTTATAAGTATAAAGATACTAATATTTTAGTATGTGGGTTATATCTCAAACCAAAGCCTAATACTGTGTGTGTGTGTGTGTGTGTGTATGTGTGTGTGTGTGTGTGTGTGTGTGTGTGTATGACAGAGTATTGCTCTGTCGCCCAGGCTGGAGTGCAGTGGTACAATCTCATTGCAACCTCCACCTCCTGGGTTCCAGTGATTCTCCTGCCTCAGCCTCCCGAGTAGCTGGGATTACATGCACGTGCCACTATACCTGGCTAGTTTTTTGTATTTTTAGTAGAGACGGGGTTTCACCACGATGGTTAGGTTGATCTCAAACTCCTGACCTCAGTTGATCCGCCCACCTGAGCCTCCCAAAGTGCTGGGATTACAAGGGTGAGCCACTGCACACGGCCAAAAGTTATTTTCTTCACAATCCTTGTGTCCATAAAATTATTACCCTAAACCTATAGAATTAAATAAATATAAGAGCTATTTGTTGAAAACAATTATTAAACCTCCTGGGAACTTAATTTAGATAGCGATATTTAGGAATTGTTTTAAGGTTACAAGGACATAGTTTAAAACAACCTATGTTAACATATTTGAAAATATTGAAGAAATGTAAGAATTTCTGAAAAAATAGAAATTGCTTAAATTAAACCTAGAAAGCAGTGAGGATTAAGATGAATGGGGAAAAAAATGAGGTTACCAATGAGCTAACATCCTCAAATATCAGGCTTCTTCTTAGACATTTAAGAAAAGGATAAATCTACAGCTAACGAAATGGTTTCAAATTATTAAAAAAATCCCAAAAGTGAATGAAGAAGGCATGCTACTAAGTGCAGCACATTCTCAGTTATAAGTAAATATACACAAATCTTCCATTAAATATGAGCAATCAACTCTGGTAGCCAATTAAAAAGTTAACAGTGATAAACCAGGATCCATCTACGAGTGTAAGGATGTTTGAATGCTGAGTAAAATGCAAACCTGTTTGCTAAAGGAAAAATAAATCTTAAACTCAGTAGATGCTTAAAAAGCATTTGTTAATATGTTTAGATGGATAATCTTTGTTTCTTAGTGGAATACTAGTAGTTGTTGTTAGAGGACTTTTAAAATCACTGTTATTTAATAATGTTCTTGATGATTAGACAAATCTTTAAAAAGGGTATTAAAAAGATTCTCCTATACTAGTAGAAGGAAAATAAAATCAGATTTAAGTAACAACTGCAGGGCAATGCCCCACAATTAACTGGGAAATAATTATTGGAAATCAACAGTTCTCAGAGCCACACACCCTTTCAGAAAAGGAGCTGTGATCAAGTTTCAAAAAATATCATTTCAGTAACTCGCTTATGTTCAATGTAGTAATTGCAGCTGCTTCAAAATGATGGCATTAATCTATCATCCTTAGTTCATGCAGATTGTATTATATGACAAGGGATTTTAATAAGTAAAACAGAACATTTTTGGTGAGTGTTGGCTATTTTTCATTTATAAATTCAGAAAGCCATAGTAAACATTTGCTAAAGGAAATGACAATATTCTACTGTAATTATACTGTGGAAAATAGGGAATGTAGGGGGATTAAAGACAAATGAAATGGAGAATGAGCAAGGACACATAATACTTGGTGTTAAAGCCCAGAAGGGACATAAGTACATCTGATTACCCTCTAAAGTGGGTGAATGAGGAGCAGAGAGATTAAGTGAGCAATCATGCTCTAATGCAGTCTGTTCTGCAAAAGACCAAACAAGGGAACTGTCTTACTGCTGTAACACATCACAAACTCCTAATCTGGAAACATCAACATTGACTGAATTCAAGTACCCAAACCATACAGTAGAGCTAAAAGTTTTTTCACTTTTTTTTTTTTTAACTACAACAAACATTTAAGAAATACCTTTTATTCCATGACCAAAGTCACAGTTAGGGAAACATGTACATACCAAGAGCTAAAACAAAAGTTTTCAAAAACAATATGCTATGGTGGAAGCATTCTGACATTACTTTCTAAATTATTGTGTTGTGTTCTATTGTTTTATTGTATGTTCTATTTCACAAGTGGTTCATGACTTGCTCTTCAGAACAAGATTGGGATGATGAAAATGGTCAATCAGGGCAGTCCACTCTGCACTCAGGTTTAATCAATAAAGGAACTGCACTCACTGGGGTACCATGATTGGTTCAAAGGTTGGGCATGCCACCCAAGCTGAGCCAGTAAGAATCTTTTCTGATATTTTCAGACATGGAGATTGAAGAGACATATTTATAGGGTTGCAGGACAAATAAAAAATTTTAGAAAATTAATCCAGAGCTGCCAGTGGCTGAATCTCTTGCTCTTGGAGCACTTTAAAAAATAAAGGTGACATCAGAAATAAAAACTTCTGTGGCTGTTGAAAGAGAAGGTGGTGGGGGTGGGGTGGTAGGGGGAATGTCTGTGTATCTCAGATTCCACTCTCTGAGGACTTCAGTCCCAGCAGCTTTTCTTTCTAGTCTACGGTTACCCTAGAAGAGAACTGTTAGTGGGCCCCACCCTTTCCTCCTTAATTTATCTCAATAATGAGTTTCTTTTGTAAGAACATCTGTCTGACAAATTTAAGCAAAATTTTCGGCTTGACACAATAAAAACCTCTCCCCCAAATCATAGTCAATTAAATGTGTTTGGTCTTTAACCATGGCCCCGTATCTCAGTACTCATTTCGGTGAGATTAAATGGCTTTGTTCTTAATCAGGGTGTGCCAGAAGGGATAAGAATAAGGAAGAAGCATGAAATTAAGCTAAAAGATGGAATTTTTCTCTTTCCTTTAATACTGTAAAGCAATTAGAAGACAAATTTAGAGCCAAACAAGGGGTATGGCTGGTGCTTTGAGAAGATTTTTGGATCCTCAGAACATTTTGACTCCCTTCCATGGGGTCATTAACCCATTCCTTCCTTCTACTGTTAAGAACCCATATCAGACCAGTGGGATGGGCAGGTCTGACTCTCAGTGTCTTCTGTTACACCAAGATTCTTTTAAAATCCTGAAATTTATCAGAACTGGACCATATTTAACTAAATTGTTCTCAAGGTCTTTCTACACAGTAAAAATAAAATTAACACCCTATTATCTTTTCCATTAAATTGTACAAAATTACATGGTCCAACTGAACTCATTATGAAATCACATTTGCAAAAATTGTAACAGTGAGAAAATTATGACAGTGAAAGAGATCTGACCTAACCAACTTCATCTTGCTAGATCTTGTTAGATCTTACCTAACCAACCTCCAAACCGCCCTTGGTTATTTCTGGGCACGGGCCAAGCTAACTTTGGGAGAAATTTAGTTTCTAGTTTAAGTTATAATAGCCCTTCTCAATAAATTAAACCACCTTTGTAAAACTAATGAAAGCCTACCAGGTTAGGAGGATGAGAGGGTCTTAATTTGTAGTTGAAACATTATTCCATTACCAGCCATTATTCTATAGGTGACAAGATTTGCAACTTCTCCAATTACTCTTGTAAATAATGTCATTAGTGTAGAATCTAAGATTGGATTTTTGGATGTCTTTTCAGGCTTTTGCATTTCTGATGACTGGATGGCCCCACTGGATCCATGACTCTTGACTCAACTGGTCCTATGGCCACTACTCAGAAGTGGACTCAGCTTCAGGAAGGCCATTTTCCCTATCCCTATGATTGCTTTCTCAACCAATCAGCAGCACCCATTCCCTAGCCCCCTGCTTGCCAAACTATCTTTGAAAAACCCTAGCCTCCAAATTTTCGGGGAGGTTAGTTTGAGTAGTAATAAAACTCTAGTCTCCCTTCTAGCCTGTTTTACATGTATTAAACTGTTTCTCTATTGCAATTTCCTTATATTGATAAATTGGCTTTATCTGGGCAGCAGGCAAAAGAAACCCATTGGGTGGTTACAACTGCTATTACAACCAGTAATATATGACCATCATATGGCACCCAAATAACATGATTTTGGAAATAAAAGTTACTGCCTTCCAATGAAATAACAATGTTACTAGATCACTGACAGTTTCCCCCTTTCAAAATATAATAACAAAAATTAGGAATTCCTTCAAAAGAGTCTTCTCTACGATTGTTACGACAGAGAAATATAAGTCCTACATTATATAAATTGTTTTATTCTTAACATGTTTCTTCTGATTCCCCTTAATCCTAGACATTCAGATTCTACCTGGATTCTAGATTGGTATCTAAGATCAGGAGCAAGGCAAAATGTTCACTCACAATTAAATTCAACTGTATACTGGAAGTCCTTGCTAGTACAACAAGGCAAGAAAAAGAAATTAAGGGCATATGGATTTGGGAGAAAATAAAACTCCCTATATTCACAGATGATATGATTGTTTATGTGAAAAATCACAATAAATCTTAAAAGTACAAGTAAAAGGAACTAGAACATCTAAAACTATTTTGAAAAAGAATAAAGTGGTAGGGATAACTGTAACCAAATTCAGGACTTATTATATAATATAGTAATCAACACTGTGTAGTAATGGCAGAATAGATCAATGGAACAGAAGAGAGAACACACAGATAGTCCTACACAAGTATGACCAACTGAGTTTTGACAAAGATTAAAAAACAATTTAATGAAGGAAGGATAGTGTTTTCAATAGCTGATGCTAGAGCAATAGGCAAAAATATGTATGTTGACTTAAACCTTACACCTTGCCTAAAATTAACTCATATAGATCATATATTTAAATATGAAAAATGTAAAACTATAAACCTTTTAGAAAAAATATGTAGGAGAAAAGTCTTTTGAGTCTAGATGTATGCAAAAAGTTTTTAGACATGAAATCAAAACAATCCAGAAAAGAAAAAAAAAGTAAAAGCTTTTGTTCTGTGAAAGTCTCCGTGAAGAAAAAAACGACAGGCTGCAGACTTACAGAATATATTTGCAAACCATATATATGGTAAAATACTTGATCTATGTTAATATAAAGAATTCTCAAATCTCAACAATAAAAAACCAAACTATCCCAGTAAAAAATGAACAATATTCATGAAGAAACATTTCACTGCCAAGGACACACAAAGGGCAAAAAAGCACATGAGGAGATGTTTAACATTAATGCTCATTAGGAAAGTGTAAATTAAGACTAGGATGAGGTATCACTACACACTTACTGGGCAACTAAAATTTAAAAATTGACAACATCAAATGATGGCATGAATATGGGAAAACTTGATCTCCCATACATTGCTGGTAAAACTATAAAATGGTACAGATCACCTTGGGAAACATTTTGCAGTTTCTGTAAAATCAAAACATATACTTACAACATGATCTAGTACTCCCACTATGGAACATTCATCCCAGAGAAATGAAAATGTATGTGTTTTAGTCAGTTTGGGCTGCTACAACAAAAATACTATAGACCAAGTAGCTTAAACAAACAAACAAACAAAAATATTTCTCACAGTTCTGAAATCTGGGAAGTCTAAGATCCGGGTGCTGGCAGATCTGATCTCTAGTGAGGGAACTCTTCTTGGTTTGTGGATAGCCTTCTTGTATCCTCACGTGGCAGAGAGAGAAGAGAGATAGAAAGCAAGCTTTCTGGATTCGCTTCTCATAAGGGAACTAATCTCATTCATGAGGGCTCTACACTTATGACATAATTACATTCCCAAAACTCCACCTCCTAATACCATCACACTGGAAGTTAGAATTTCAACATGTGAATTGAGGGTACACAAACATATGAACTAAGGGACATAAATATTCAGTCTATAATGTTATGCTCACACAAAAATCTGTATGCATATATCCATAGCAGATTGTTTTTAATAGGTAAGCCTTAGAACAATTAAGATGTCCTTTAAATGAGTGAATGTTTAAACACACTGTGGTATATTTATACCATGAAATATTACTCAGCAACAAAAAAGAAAAGCTATTGGTATACAGAATGAGTAGAATGGACTTCTAGGAAATTATGTTGACTGAAAATAAAGCCAATATCAAAATATTACATACTATATGATTCCATTTATATAACATTTCAAAACAAAGTCATAGGGATGGAGAATAACTTAATGGTTTCCAGGGGTTTGGGATGGTGAGGCTGAGGGGATAGCATGAGGTGTGGTTATTAAGGTGTAACATTAAGGAGATCTTTGTGATGATAGAATTGTTCTGTACTTTGATTGTGATGGTTACACAAATCTACACACGTGATAAAATTATATGGAACTATTCACACATTGTACCAATGTCACATGCCTGGTTTTGAAATTGTGCTATAGTAATTAAGATAAAGCCACTGGGATAAAATTAATGAAGGATACAGGGAACCTCTGTATACTAGCCTTGCACCTTCCTGTGAACCTATAATTATTTCAAAACAAAAAGTTAAAACCAGCCCCTTTTAGCTATGAGGCAACAGTATAACTCATATCCATTAGTTACTAGGGAAAACAAAGCCAGAGCTGGAGAAATCTGGGATCAAATAACATTATAAAAATAAATTAAAATTTTATGAAGAGAAATGTAAAGTCACAGGCTGGAGCAGGAACTGACTGACATAAGGGAAGACAATGATCCTAAACCTCAGTTACTTAGAAAACTAAAATATGATCCACATTCTCCAGACAATGGAAAAAACAAACCAAACACCTGGATATTTACAAGATATAACTTCAAGCATCTACAAAGTCATTTTTTTTTAAATTGGGTTTCTCAAATATTAGAAATTATTGATTAATATAAGTTATTTGTTGTATTACAACAGTTATTAGACTGAACTTCTAATTTCATTAGGAAAAGAATAAATAACCGTAGGGGTGGTTTAAAATTACAATAAAATGTAAGTTGCAAAAAATTTAACCACCAAAGAATGGACTATATGGAATGCAAGATACTGACTTTACTGATGAGCTCCTTTCTCAGAAAAGTGAGTTTATTCTGAGATTTTTATAAAGATAATTCTGAAAATAAAATGGTTCAAAAAATGAATCTCAATTCTAACACATTAAGAAAATATATAAAATATCTGCACTTCCATATTAATTATAGCATTACTCACAATAGCCAAGAAATGGAATCAACTTAAGTGTCCATCAATGGATGACTGGAATTTAAAAATGTGCTATATATGCACAGTGCAATACTATTCAGCCTTAAAAAAGGAAATCCTGTCATTAGCAGCAACGTGGGCGAACCTGGAGGATGTTAAGTGAAATAAGACAGGCATAGAAAGAAAAATATCACATGTTCTCAGTCATATGTGGGAGCTAAAAAAGTTGATCTCATGGAGATAGAAGGTAAAATTATGGTTACCAGAGACTGTGAAAGGTGGAGGAGGTGGTAGGGAATGAAGTAAGGTTGGTTAATAGGTAGAAAATAAAAGGAATAAGTTCTACCATTTGATAGCACAGTAGGATGAGTATAGTTAATAATCACATTATATATTTTAAATTAGCTAAAAGAGAAGATTTGTAATGTTCCCAACACAAAGAAATGATAAACATTTGAGGCGATAGATATCCTAATTACCCTGATTTAATGATTACACATTGAATGCATGTATCAAAATATCACATTGTTAAAGTATACAAAATATGGCTGGGCACTGTGGCTCACACCTGTAATCCCAGCACTTTGGGAGGCTAAGGTGGGTGTATCACTTGAGGTCAGGAGTTTGAGATCAGCCTGGCCAACATGGCAAAACCCTGTCTTTACTAAGAATCCAAAAAAAAAAAAAAAAAAAAAGGGCGCAGCGGGTCACGCCGGTAATCCCAGCACTTTGGGAGGCCGAGGCGAGTGGATCACCTGAGGTCAGGAGTTTGAGACCAGCTTGGCCAACATGGTGAAACCCTGTCTGTACTGAAGATACAAAAATTAGCTGGGCGTGGTCATGGGCCGCCTATAATCCCAGCTACTCAGGAGGCTGAGACAGGAGAATCGCTTGGACCCAGGAGGCAGAGGTTGCCGTGAGCCCAGATCACTCCACTGCACTCCAGTCTGGGCGACAGAGCGAGACTCTGTCTCAAAAACAACAGCAAAAATACAAAAAGAAAAAAAAAATTAGCCGAGCATGGTTGTGCATGCCTGTAATCCCAGCTAGTCGGGTGGCTGAGGCAGAGAATCCTTTGAACTTGGGAGGCAGAGGTTGCAGTGAGTGGAGATCACACCAAGACAGAGTGAGACTCTGTCTAAAAAAAAAATGTATACAAAATATCACATTGTTGAAGTATATCCTTGGCCGACAGACAAAATGGACTCCCTGTGACAAACTGAGGGTCTCAAACTTCAAACAGAACCAGAGGGCCACAGCTGGGTGAGGGAGCATTCAAATACTCTGTGTTCTCAGAAAAATGTTGTAAAAGTATCACAAAACTTCCCTTTCTATAATCAAGCCAAACCGGTCATTGTTGGTGCCAAGGTAAAACTACAGCCAAAGCCTCTGGGCAACCACTCCCAAGGTTAAAAGAATCATCCGGCACAGAGACTTCTGGGCTTGGAAGCCAACCAATCAGTGTTCAGCTATGGTGGCCAATCAGAGTTCAGCCATATCAGGACTTGACTGTATTGACCAATCAGAACTAAGTTACATTGACTGATCAGAACTAAGTGAATTTAAATCCTTTATTTGCATAAATGGGCCTGACTGGGAACCTGGGCAGGAAACTTTTGTTATAAAACCAAAACCCAGTGGGGCATAGTGACTCATGCCTATAATCCCATCATTTAGAGAGGTCAAGGAGGGAGGATGGCTTGAGACCATGAAGACTAGCCTGGGCAACATATTGAAATGCTGTTTTACAAAAACAAACAAAAAACAATACAAAAAAAAAAAAAAACAGATGGGTGTGGTGGTATGCACCTGTAATCCTAGTTACTGGGGACTCCAAGGCTGGAAGAGAAATAGGCACACTCATACAGCTGCTGGTGGAAGTGTACAATGGTATAATATGTATGGTGGGAAATTTAGTCGGGTGTGGTGGCACACACCTGTAGTCCTACCTACTCAAGGGGCTGAGGTGGGAGAATTCCTTGAGCCCAGGAGTTCAAGGCTGCAGTTAGCTATGATCCTGCCACTGCACTGGGCAACAGAGGGAAACCCCATTTCTCAAAAAATAATAATAAAATAAAAACACAAATTAATACATTTTGTGCGGAATTTAGTAAAACCTAACAAAATAACATATGCCTTAACCATGGACCCAGGAATTCTCCTGACAATCTATCCTGAAAATACAACTCCACATATATGAAACAACAAAGATGTACAAGGTTGTACATGCAGATTATTTGTAATATAAAAAATTGGAAATAATGTTAAAGTCTATCCACAGGGGAAATGTTGAGTAATGTCTAGAACAGACTCACAGTAGAACACCTGGGAAGCCATGGAAATGAATGAGAATCATCTCCATGTGTTGGTACAGAAATCTCCATGATATATTTGAAGTTTTTATAAAAAAGGTGAAAAAACTGTGTATTGAGTACTACTTTTTTTTGTAAAAAGGAGTAACAATTTAAACCATGTTAATGATTTACAAGCTCAAGAAATAAAATTAAATCAAAAGGAAAATAAGCAAACTCTGACACTGAAAGCAAACTGAAACGAATGAAACAAATTGTATTTTGTATTGGTAACATGGTTACACAGAGAACAGATTATTTCCAATGACTTTTGAATATAGTTCTCTGATGATACATTCTTTATGAGATGCCTTCTATTTTTGCCAGAAACTTAAAAAAAACTTTCTAGGTTTTATAAACCAATTCAAAGCATAGGAAAATATAGCACCTTCTATGTAATTCTGTGAGTTAGTGTTACCATGAAATCAAAACTAGATGAAAGGAAAACAAGACAACCTGAAGCTAATCTCAATTACTAGAGTAGATGCAGAAGTCCTAAACAGAATAATATGAAATTCAATTAAGTAGTTTATTAAGAAAAACTATATTGTGAAAGTACATGATTTATGCTTGCAATGCCAGTATAGTTAAGGTCTTAATGTCATCCACATTAAACAAGGGTTACTGAGCATGCACATATGACAGATACTGCTCCTGGCCTGGGAAAATTAGGTAATGTT
Source organism: Homo sapiens (assembly GCF_000001405.40). NCBI lineage: Eukaryota > Metazoa > Chordata > Mammalia > Primates > Hominidae > Homo > Homo sapiens. The sequence continues at coordinate 25,743,773 of NC_000006.12, forward strand.
TCAAGGAGTTTATGTGTAATAAAATGGATAAATAAATAAACCACATGCTTTCAGAAAATCATAAATGTGAAAGAAAGCTGTGCTATAGCAGATATATGTACAAAAGTTCATGAGAATTACTGGGTTGAGCATGTGGTTCTGACTGGAGGGAGAAGAGAGTGAGAAAAGTTTCCCAAGGAGAAGAATATTTGAGTCAGATCTGGAAAAGGGTGTCACTAAGTTCCATGCAGAGAAAAGGGCAAGGTCCATTCAGGGAGATAGAAGAGAGTCATTGAAGGCACTAGGGTGTGGCCAGCCATGGCTTCTTTGAGTAATAAAGACTAATCTAATATGACTAGAGAACATGGACATACAGTGGGGAGATATGACTGGATGGCAGCTTAAGGTCAGTTGACACAAACCTTTGTGTGGCATGCTAAGGAGATTGGAACCTCTAATTTAAAAAGTAGACATCCAAGGCTTCTGAGTACAGGAGTGAAATGGTCAGATGTGTGAGTAATCAAGAAACTGGTAGCATCAGTGTGGATGGATTGCAATGGGGAAGTGGTGAAGTATGAGGAAACACACCTGTCCAGTTTGCTTGAGACAGAAAGTTGGGATTCTCTTAAGCAGTCACTTAATCTTAATCTCTATAAGCAGTCACAGAGCCAGGGTTGTGCTGGAGCTGGCTCAAATGAATGCAATCTTACTCACAAGGACCAATTATTAAAATTGCAGGAATTTTGCAAACTGGTTGTTAAACACCACCATTATTAAAAATTAAATTATATAAAATTACAGTTAAATTAAATTTAGAAAGGTGAAAATACAGTACATTTTAGTATTTACTCTCCATGCTCTTGAGGTTATTTATGTCAATACTATCTGAATTGTAGAAATGCTATTTAATGGTATGCTATTGTGCATCTCTTCCCAACTCTGCATTCAATAATGTGTGGGTAGCTGGAAATCAGCCTGGTGGACATTCTTACACCATGGAAATCAACAACCACTATAAATTAGGACTTTATTATTGATTGTCTAGACTTAAGAAAATCTTGGAGAAAATCTTAATAATGTAGATTAAACTTAAAAGTGTGACATATCTATAGCTATTACATTCTGAATAGCCCGAAATATTAAGGAAATATTATTTCAGTACCCCAAAACTATTATCCAATTCAGCAAGTAGTTGCTCATGCCATTGACATCTGAGCAAAGTTTTGACATACTTTCATTTTCCTTCATTTTTTTTTTGAAACCAGAAATAAAAGCACATAACCAACTTTTATGTCAGGACTGCACCCATTAGTTAATGTGTAAGTGACTTCTCTGATCAAACAGATAGTAATCAAGCAGTTTGCAGTCTGATTTTGTGACACTATTGTTGGCAATAAAATTCTAAAAATTGATAGAATTTTTACAAGAAATAGTAATTCCTCTGAAGTTATAGGTCTAAACTGAAAATCAAGAAAGCAGTTTAGCTTAAAATTTATTTCTCAAATTATATACAGAAATGTTAGTGGAAGTTTTTACTTTAACTTGCAAGTGGTACCATGGATTTTATTAACATATATATGTATGGATATAGGTGTGTAAATGTTTTGTGTATGTATATGTACGTATTCACTTTTCTCTTAGAGCCAGTTGTTAAAAACATACCAGCACATAACTATCTACAAACTATACATTTGAGAGAGGCCTCCAAACGAAATACGTGTATGGAGGACAATGAGAGAGAAAGGAATACTTTAACATTTACTTGGTCTTTGGTCTGAAATTCACACGTTTCCCAATGTGGGTAAGGCCAGATCATGGCAAGAACACCTTTTCCCTTCACTAAAAAACATAGAGAAAAAGTAAAACTTGCTCAGTCTTTGTGTTACAGACTTCCCTAAGTTGGAGGCCTTTTCTTAGGCTCCAGGTCTTTCTATTTCAGACTTACAGAATAACAAATCATCAAAGTAACCAAAACAGATGATCTGGCCTCTTTCTAGAAGGAACTAATCCGTTACTCACAATACTCTGATACAGTGGCTGAAAGGTCTGAGGGACCAAACCCATGTGGGCATCATCAGGGCATTTATTAGTTGTTTCTTTAGAGCTTCTCCCTTATATGAAAAATTGGTTCTACCATATTTCATCTGTAAAGTTCAGCCAACGATCCTGATAGGCTTTGTAGAAAAAGTGCCATTGCACAAGATTGCTTCAGAAGTCTTTAAAGATACACTTGGAAGTAAATTCACATATTTGACTTAAAAGACAGAGAGGATCACTCATGAGCAGATTTCGCAATCCTAACAATAAATAGTATTAGCCGTTATCAATCTAGTGAACTTAAATGTTTACTGCAGCTTCAGATAATAAATTCAACAAAAATGCATCATGTCTTATCTATATTACCTGTCTTATCAAATTAACGGTATGATTCATAAATAGCATATAAATATGGAAAGCATAGTTAATCACAGCTCTTATTTTTAAAACTTAGTTGCTCTGAAAAACCTTTAGTTTTGATGATCCTTCGGCAGCTTATTTTCAGGTGGAGCCTCATGGAGTTCCTCTTCAAAGTGCAAGGATGTCCATGATTCCAGTATAACATTTATAAAGGTAATTAACTAAATAAGTCAATACTGATAAAATATTATATTCCTGACAATAGTTGCTAAAATGCATTAAAAATGCTAGCTATGGGCTCTTTAAAGTTTAAAGCTCTTAATAAACTGGGGGTAATGGGATAAATTATAAAAATTGTTGAATGAATACATCCCAAAAGAAGGAGCAGCATCCTAAGTTCAGTAGTAAGATAGTTTTATTGCCATTAGAATCAGAAACCTCCAAAAAAAAATCAAATTCTTATCACCACCCTATGCCTTGTTGTGGAATATTAGACAAGTTATTAAGCATAGAATTTAGCCATGGTCAACTATAAGACAGTATCATACTTTTGGATGACTTAATTGTAGTCCTAGTATAATAGCTAGCTTCTAAGGTGGCACCCTATTATTCCTGCCTCCTGCTATTCCAACCTTGCGTATCCCCTTCTGACCCTGTACCAGGGTTGGCCTGTGCAACCAATGAAAAACAATATGGCAGGATTGATGGTATGCCACTTTAGAGGTTAAGTTATAATATGTAATGCAACTTCTTTTAGTCACAAAGTAGGAAACAGAGCCAAAAATCTACTGATTGATTCATCAGGGATAGACTGACAATAAAAAACAGTACTTTTGTCACAACTCTTATAAGTTCACAGTATGCTAAAAAGTATCTTTGATTGTAATAACAGGGGCCTCTCAAAGCAGTTCACCAACAATATCACCAACAGAGAAACTCATGATGTTTAAGGCTGCAGAAAGGATGCCAGTATCAAAGTGGATCTACTTTAGCACCTCCTACAGGTAGCAGAGTAATCAACCCAGTGCATTCCTGCAGCAACATTGCCATTCTTCCGGGTTAGGGCATTCAGGGTAAAGAAGCAAAGTGCAATTGTTCTGGCATTCTGACAACAACACAGCTCCTGAGAAAGAAGAATAAATATGTAGATCATGGTAGATCCATGGGGAAATCTTATTTTATGGCTTCCATTTCCACAATGTAAGAGCTAGGCTTAAATGCTGGTTGGACTAGAAACAATGAAAGGAGGCATGTAAACTTGCAGCCTTCAGCTCAACTGTCTGATTGGAGAATATGACTCTAGGATGTCAGTAAATCAGCCAACAAATAACACTACACCTCCAAAGCTGCACAAATTCTTCAAGTATATTTTAGCCAAAAATATTCTTCCAAGAAACCTACCGTTATGGACTGAATGTTTGAGTCTCCCTCAGATTCATATGTTAAAATCCTAACCACCAACGGGATGAGATTAGGAAATGATTAGATCATGAGGCTGGATTCCTCATGAATGAGATTAGTGCCTTTATAAGAAAAGACATGAGAGCATGCTTTCTCTGTTGTTCACCACTAGAGGATACAACTCTTTGGAGTTGGAGAAGACAGCTGTCCACAAATTGGGAAGTGGGCCCTCATCAGATACTGAGTCTGGCAGTATCTTGAACTTCTCAGCCTTCAGAATTGTGAGAAATACATTTCTGCTGTTTAAGCCATCCAGTCTATGGTATTCTGTTATAGCAGCCCAAATTGACTAAGATGCCTAGGATATATTGACATTTGGAAATCTATAATATGGAATTTATAATTCCAAGCCAAAAGATTCAGAAAAGTGAATTCAAAAAACTCAAAATTTGCTAGAAGGGCATATGTGTATATTTGTTACTTATTTTACATGAAAAAACACTTAGTAAAACAAGAATAACATTATTCTTAATACATGGGCCAAATATACCTTAACCTAAACCCCAATGTCTTGTTTCATGATGAAAAATCAGTACTATGTCTATGACAGTCAGGAACACAAAAGGTCTCAGATTGGTGTTACTGAACAGAGGCAAACAAAAAACCTCTCTGGAGAAACAATCTCTCAATCCATGGCAGGGTTAGCTGAGGTGAAACTCATTAAATATGAGCTCACAATCTGAAATTACACAACACACCTGAAACAATCCCATATGAGCAAGAATCAGGAGAACACAAAAAGATTGGACATCCTACTCCAGATCTTGAGATAATAAAACACCATAAGAAATTACAGAAACTAAGAAAATAGATATATAAAACACCAATAAACTATTTATAAAGACTAGAAGAAAAGGGAAAAAATGGGAGGAGTGAAGGGATGGCCTGCCCCTCCACACCTGTGGGTATATCTCGTCAGGTGGGACGAGAGACTGAGAAAAGAAATAAGACACACAGACAAAGTATAGAGAAAGAACAGTGGGCTCAGGAGACCGGCGCTCAGCATACGGAGGACCTGCACCGGCACCGGTCTCTGAGTTTCCTCAGTATTTATTGATTACTGTTTTCACTGTCTCAGCAAGAGGAATGTGGTAGGAGAGCAGGGTGATAGTGGGGAGAAGGTCAGCAAGAAAACACGTGAGCAAAGGAATCTGTGTCACAAATAAGTTCAAGGGAAGGCACTATGCCTGGATGTGCACGTAAGCCAGATTTATGCTTCTCTCCACCCAAACATCTCAGTGGAGTAAAGAATAACAAAGCAGCATTGCTGCCAACATGTCTCGCCTCCCGCCACGGGGCAGTTTTTCTCCTATCTCAGAATTGAACAAATGTACAATTGTGTTTTGTACCGAGACATTCCATTCCCAGGGGCAGGCAGGAGACAGATGCCTTCCTCTTATCTCAACTGCAAGAGGCCTTCCTCTTTTACTAATCCTCCTCAGCACAGACCCTTCACAGGTGTCAGGCTGGGGGACGGTGAGGTCTTTCTCATCCCACGAGGCCATATTTCAGACTATCACATGGGGAGAAACCTTGAACAATACCCAGCTTTCCAGGCAGAGGTCCCTGCGGCTTTCCGCAGTGCATTGTGCCCCTGGTTTATTGAGAATAGAGAATGGCGATGACTTTTACCAAGCATACTGCCTGTAAACATTTTGTTAACAAGGCACATCCTGCACAGCCCTAGATCCCTTAAACCTTGATTCCATACAACACGTTTTTGTGAGCTCAAGGTTGGGGCAAAGTTACAGATTAACAGCATCTCAGGGCAAAGCAATTGTTCAGGGTACAGGTCAAAATGGAGTTTCTTATGTCTTCCTTTTCTACATAGACACAATAACAGTCTGATCTCTTTTTCTTTTCCCTACAAGGAGACAAAACCTAAAAAAATGAAGTCATTGAAAATAAAACTCAATACAAGTGAGTTTGATATCAAATTAGACACTGCTTACTTCTTGAACTGTATACAGGTAATGGCTTAAACAAATAGATTTTTATTTTTCCCAATTTATAGGCAGTTCAGATCTGGTATACCAGTTCAATAAAGCCAGAGGGACTCAAGTTTTTTTTTTTATTTTTCTACTCGACCCCATGGTAGAATATATTATTGTTCACAGATACTTGCTGCCTTCTTCATACTTCTTGGCTGCATTAATATCCATCTGGATCATGTGACTTACTTTGATCAATTCAATTTAATTAGAAATAACATGTTTCCAGCCATAAGTTTCTCCATATATTCTCTCTTTTCTGTGCCATGAGACTGGCTGTAATGTTTCAGATGGAAGCTGCCTATAAGCCTGGTCCCAACATGAAGATGATGTGGATCACAGCTGCTGCTGGCCTGTGCTAGACATGTATCTTGAAGCAGGAAATAAAATTACATTGTATGCCACTAATTAAGGCTTCATCTCTTACCACAGCCTAACTTCTCCTTTCCTAACCAACACAGAAATTAGTGCAAGGCGTAGCATAGGGTGTTGCCATAGATTAAAAACAAAATAAAACAAAGCACCGCCTTTTTTGGGGCATTGGCTTCAGGGATGGGATAGGAGCAGAAAAGAAGCTGTTATTAGAGTTTAGAAGGGCAGTAGTACTTAATTTGCATAGGTGAAACATTTAGAAAACTTTAGAAATGAATTTATAGGTAATTTCCCTATTGAGCTTATTATTTTTGGTGAAGTTCTTGGCATAGTTAATGTAAATCATGTGATTTACTATTGACTATATTTCACAAAGTATAATAAAACAAGACATAATCTGAAAAAGTAATTAGCTGGTTTGAAAATCAGAATGAAGGAAATTGAGAGAAACTAAAAACTGTAGACTTACTGAGTTGAAAGATACTATTTCTCAACTCCCAACAGTTAAAGATAAAACTGAGAAATGATTTAAGTAAGAAAGTCCTTTTAAAGCTTGGTCTTGTGCAAGTATCAAATCAAGGTGGTAACCATTCATAAAAATAATGAAGCAAAGGTTATGGCTTTTCTATTGAAGCCTGGTAGGCTCAAAGTAACCCATGTCAGAGAGAGAGAGAGAGAGAGAGAGAGAAAGGAGGGAAGGAGAAGCACTTGTATAGGAAACTGGTTATGATTTTGAGTGACATAATACCACAGAACTACCAACCTGGATAAAGGAGACTGTGACTTATCAAGGGTTATGTCACTTGTGTGTGTGGGGGGAGGGGGGTGTCGTATTTTAAAAAAATTTTTTTTGTCAGCAATGGGCCTAGTATTCTGCCCAGTCTGCAAGGACTATTCAAATATGGTCAAAGGAGATATTGGAAAAGGAAGGACTGGCCAGAGCATGGAGCCAAGACCTGTGAAAAATAATATCCTAGGGGAATTACTCATGGCATGCACAGCCACAGATTAATTAGGGATTATCACATATGCGGAGATAGGAGGAAGACTGAAATAGCTACCCACATGATCTCAGATTTCTTTGAACTACAAACTCCTGTGCAATTCTGTCTGCAATTATCTTTTCTGTGTCCTAGCATGACACATTGGGTGTGCATGGGTGTGTAGGGGAAGCAGACACCTAGTCTCGTTAGTTCATGAGTTTCTGGAGCAAGACAAGTCATATTCAACCTGACGAGATAATATCATAAAATTGTCAACATCAGCCCTGAAGCTATAATTAAATGAGACTTTGACTTGGCTTTTCATAGGAAGGGATTAAGTATATTTTGTGTGCAGAAAGGATAGTTTACTAACTAAATAATTTTGAATTGAAGCTTGGACAGTGATAGCTTATATGACTGTTCAAAAATTTTCCCTGGCCCTGCCCTGGAAAGAATTGTATTTCTCTATTTTGGTTCTATTGGGCTTGGCCATCTGACTTGCTTTGCCCAATGAAATTTGAGTGGAAGTGACACCTAGGCAAAACCTGTAAGAGCAAGCACTTGGCTCACCATAATTTCTCTTTTACTTCTGCCATGAGACCATCCATATTCCAAATAAAGCCTGATTTGTCAAACTGGGCCCCTAAGTGAGGAAAACATGGTGAGAAGCTGTAGCCAAGACACGATGGTCATGAATTGTGAACAGCACATAAAACTTTGTTATTATAAGCAACTGAGATTTTTGGGTCATTTGTTATCCCAGTGTAACTTAGCTTATCCTGACTGATAGAGCCATCATCAGTTTATTGGCTTTCATCTTGCTGTTGTCTAATGAGCCTCAGGTACTTGCCATACCTCAAGACCTGATATCCACTGTTACGGCAGAAGGAAAAAGAAAAAAGAAAAAAAAAGATGAGACACAGGCCTACTTCTTTTTATGCATCAATGGCCAGAAATGTGTAGGCCCCATTTGTTTCAAGGAAGCCACAGAAATGAAGTTTTTGTTCCTATATGCCTTATAGTAGATACAAGCTAGGGCACAGAAATTTGGAAATGTGGTTTTGCTTAGCCAATTAATAATGCTGGCCACAGAAACTCATCTACTGCTTCTTCTCCCCACAGAGCATGTGCTGTATATTTGCTATAATACAAACACGCGACGCTTAACCATAGGAATACATTCTGAGAAATGTGCTGTGCGGCAGTTTTGTTGTGTGGATACCATAGAGTGCAGTTACACAAACCTAGATGGTAGAGCTTGCTATACACCTAGGTTATGTGGTCTAGCCCATTGCTCCTAGGCTACAAACCTGTACCACATGTTACTATACTGAATATTGCAGGCAATTAAAACAGTGATATCTGAGAATCTGAACATATCTAAACATAGAAAAGGTACAGTAAAAAGATAAAAAATGGTATGTCTAGGAGACTTATCATAAATGGAGCTTGTGAGACTGGAAGTTACTCTGGGTGAGGCAGTGAGTGAATGTGAAGGCCCAGGACATGCCTGTACACTGCTGTAGACTTTGTAAACACTGTGCACTTAAGCTACACTAAGTTTATAAAAAAATTTTATTTCTTCAATAATAAATTCTAGCTTACTATTTCATTTTGACTTTATAAACTTTTAAATGTTTTTAAACTTTTTGACTCTGGTAATCACAGCTTAAAACACAAACATATTGTACTGCTGTACAAAAATATTTTCTTTAGGCCGGGTGCGGTGGCTCACGCCTGTAATCCCAGCACTTTGCGAGGCTGAGGTGGGCGGATCACAAGGTCAGGAGATCGAGACCATCCTGGCTAACACAGTGAAACCCCGTCTCTACTAAAAATACAAAAAATTAGCTGGGCGTGGTGGCAGGCGCCTGTAGTCCCAGCTACTCGGGAGGCTGAGGCAGGAGAATGGCGTGAACCCGGGAGACAGAGCTTGCAGTGAGCCGAGATCACGCCACTGCAGTCCAGCCTGGGCAACAGTCTGAGACTCCGTCTCAAAAAAACAAAAAAAAACAAAAAAAAAACACCAAACATTTTCTTTATACCCTTATTCTATAAGCTTTGATCTATTTTTAATTTTTAAAAATTAAAAAAGATTTATTAAAACTAAGACACAAATATGCAAGTTAGCCTAGGCTGACACAAAATCAAGACCATATTAGAGGCTTCTTGGAAAATCTATTTTCAAGTGTTTTACTTTTCTAACAACATTGGTAAAACACTTGGCAATCATCTTGGGGAATTGGGCATCACTGACAGGAGGAACTGCAAGTGTAAAGGCCTTGAACTTCATGGACAAGGCAGAACTAGTTGGAATTTAGTGAGGGAAGGACAGCAGGGCAGAGGTCAGTAAGGTTGGTGTGTCCAAGGTGATGTAAGGTGTTGGAGCACCTTCAGGAAGGTGAATTTGCTCTCTTTTCTCCTAGGTTCTCTGGGAAGGCTTTGGAAGACTTTTACACCAGTAAGTAACATGATCATATGTACATTTCCAACATTCTGCCTGCTATGTGGGGTGGATTAAAAGAGAGAGAATGGAAACAGTGGGGCCCGGTAAATAATCATTTTATTTACCCTGGTGATAGATGATTGTGATAGGAATGGAGAAAATAAAAAATAATGGAAAGAGATGAAGGTGGAACTGATAGAACATACTGTTGGAATTAATGTTGATGGAAAGTATAGAATGAAGGCTGACTTTTTTTTGGCAAGATTAACAGGGAAATGGTAATGCCATTAACCAAGATGGGGGATCCTGGGCCAGGAGTAGGGTTGGAGGGAGATTCAGTTCTGCTTGCAGTCATAAGACTGAGATACCTAATGGGTACTCAAGGAGAGATGGATGAAGTTGAAGTCGAAGCTCAGAGAAGAGGTCAGAATTGGGTGTGAAAGGAAAGGGGACTGGCTGAGATCTCCTTGGGAGTGAGTTTAGATAGGGAGGAAGTTCAAGGACAGAGTCTTAGGCATATCAACATTAGAAACCAGAGAAAAGATAAGGATTCAGCAAAACGTATTGACAAGGAACAACCAATGAGACACGAGGAAAATCAGATCTGAATGAATTAAATGAAACAAGGCATCAAGAAGGAACGAGTGGTGGAATCTGTCAAGCACTGACAGATGGGGCCTGGGATGTGACCACTGGATTTGCTGGCAGAGAGGCTGGTGATGGCTTTGCTAAGGGCTGTCTTGTTGCTGATGGATTCATGAGAAAACTAGAGGTGGGGAACCAGAATGCAAATATGTATGAGTCTTCTGAAATGTTTTGCCATAAAAGGGAGGAGAATCACAGAGTTAATTTTCATGGAAAACTCAATGGCCTTTGTGCAAAAAATTACAATCAGAAAACCATAAAAATCACTCAAGTCGACCAAAATGTATTAAGTCTCTCCTCTTTGGAAAGCTCAGTTCTATTAAACAGCAGGATGGTGGAAAAGGGACTCAAAAGGGGCAAAATATACCCCATCTCCATGAAGATTATAATAACTCTGAGAGACCCCAGAAGGGGATAGTGCTGTCAGTGAAACATGTGGGGTGTCAGGATCCTTATAAGAAGGGACATTGATTCTGATTAAGGATGAGGGAAGACATAGGTGACCTCAGCTGGGCTTGAAGCATGAGGAAGATTTAATGAGCTTGATTTGATTATCAATCAAACAATAAAATGTAAAGTTAAAAATTAAACCACTGGGCCAATAAAATTCTCCAAGCTGGTAACATAAGGGCTAAAGGTTTTGGGTAATTATTTACCTCCCAGAATTAGACAATTGCAAAGAGCTTAGAATATTTATTTGAAAGGAATGAGGATCCTGCACTCTTCCTCCCTCAGGTTAGTTAGCTTTCAAACTTTTACCCTTAATATTCTGCTTTTGAGATGATGGGAATGGGTCTGTTTCTGTTAGAGAGCAGCTTAATTTGCTGTTTAGGGGCAGAGATTGTGGGAGTGGAGAAGAGAATGCCTGTGTCCTGAGATAATTCTGGTAAGTGAGAAGGGATGTTGCATTAAGAGCCCTGGAACTACAGGGAATTAATTCAAGAGAATGAAATTTTCTAAAAGTATAGCTGAACAGAGACAGACAGACAGACACACACACATACACACACACACACACACACACACACACACACACAGAGGAAGAAAGAGAGAGAGGAAGAGACAGAAACTAAATGATATATTTGGATTGTTTTTGTGAAGTACATTAATTTTTTTAAGCATTGATCAAATCCACAGTGAGACAATAAATGCCAATACTGAATTCTCAGAGAGGAAGATTTTCATCATGCCTAAAAAATTAATGAAAACCAAACGGTTCTGGTTTGGTTCCAGCGAATTTATGGGAAAGCAAAATAAATGAAATCTAATATGGCTTTGGGAAGTAGTTAATGATGAAGAGTTTAGGGCAGAGGACTTTATTTGCAAACTGTGAATAAGAGCCATGGGCTGTTTCTCATAAGGAGGAAAAATGTTCAGTGCTGAGACCACCTAAGATGACATTTGAGCTGTTAATAGCTCTGCCCAGCACCTTAAGGAAAAGTCTCATTCTACAGTGGACTGATAACTAGCAGAGGAACAGGGTGCATATGAATCCAAAAAGAACAGACACAAGCAGTCTTGGCAAGAAAAACTGATGAGAAATTGATATAAGAATGGCTGGCTCCATTTCTTTGCTGTTTTTTCCTCATTTACCTGGTTTCAAAATAAATAGATAAGGCTGATGACTCACACATTTATATTTCTACAAAGGCCCTTCTGTTCTTAGCTATGGACTCACAGACACAAAACTTACCTGTCAATCTTCCCTTCTGGGTCTAACAGGAGTCTCAACCCCAAGTGTCCAAAATAAAGTTCTTGCTTTTCCTCTGGAACCTGTTGCCCTCCCTGCTCATTTCGCCAACTTCTTTGAGTGCAACACTATTCACTCATTTGCTCAAGCCGTAAGTCTAGAAGTCTCTGATGATTCTTCCCTTTCTCTCATTCCCATATACACCTCATTAGCAAGTCTTAGTGGCATATCTCCAAAACAGGTCCTGAATGTGGTCTTTTTCACCACAACTAGCCTAGCCCATCCACCATCAACACTTGTACAGGTGAAGAAACAACTTCTTGTTCAGTCTCTTGGTTCTCAATCTTGTCCTTTACAGCCCATGTGCCACACAGTGGCCATAGTAGATCCAGTCCCCTTACCAGGCCTATAGGACCCAAAATGGTCTGGCCATTTTGGGAGATCGAGACCATCCTGCCCACCCCTTTGATCTCATCTCCTACCATTAACCTCCTCATTCACTCTGCATCGCCATGTTGGACTACCTTCTGCCTAGAAAAACGTGACAAACTTGCTGGTTCCTCTGCCTGGAATTGTTCTTGCTCAGCGCTGTCTCCTTCTCAGTGTTCCCGTTTCAGCTCAAATATAACCATTTCACACAACCACACTAGGTAAGTGGTTAGACTAGGCAGAGTGCTTGCCCTCCTCTCCTGATGCTAATGACCTAGTTGCTGTCAATGCTACTCTTGTTTTTTTCATACCATGTGGCATTCTTACTTCTTTCTTTTCATATGTGCCCCTCCTGGGATGTAACTTTCTCGCAGGTGTACTGTCTGTGCCTGCATCACGCTGTCCCCACAACAGCACTGTCCTCCCTTCACCCTCGGCTGTCTGTTCCCACTGCTCTCATTAACGCCAGCAAAACCATTATCGCCTGTTACTGAAAAAACTGGCAATTGATTTCTGGTTATAATAAGTAAAAGGAGAGGGCAATTTAATGAGAACTAAGTTCTTCAGTCATGCAGGAGATGGAGCTATGAAAGCACAACATTGCATTCATTGATTCAATAAATATTTACTGAATCAATGAATGAACTTGCGGCCAGTGAACTCTTAGACATTGGAACACTCGAAGAGTCTGTGTGGGTATAGCTTGTGGAAAAAAATGTTGCCCTGAAAGCTATGTCTTTAGTTCTTGTGACTGATATGATTTTTTCAATTCAACTAATTGCCCTGAGGTGTGAAAATAAATGATAAGCAAATTATTTTTCCAGCAGACTATTCAGTCCCCTCATTTTACCAAGTTTCTTTTCAGAATTACCAGAACCATTCCATTTGCCAATGAGTATTTGTTTGGATTTCAATTCAATTTTGAGTGTGTTTTCGAATTCCAGTGCAGACTAGAGGGTTCCATGGTCTAACATCTGTGGTTTTGAATGACATCATTGAGGCAACTTCTCTGTCAGTTGCTTACTTACCAGCTTTAGTGGTACGTTACATAACATTTCCACTTATCTTTAAACACAATAGCACCAAAGGATCAGGTCTATTTTCTTTTATATTAATAAGAATAGTCCTTCACAGAGAGCACATGGAAAATGATTTCATTTCACCAGCACCTACTGCTTATCCCTTTACATTTTATTCCTTTACATCTGCTTGGTGCTGTAACTTTATATCTGCTTGGTGCTGTAACTTCTCTGATCATTGTCAGTAGTAATAGATTTATTGCTTATTTGTAGTCTTCAAATAATCTCATTTTTTAATTAATAGGTCCAGTCCAGTGAAAACCAGAAAATTCCAAACTTGATCTAAAAGTATACCTTCTTTCCCCTGCCCCCCAACCCGCTGCTCCAGTTTGGGCCTGGGGAGGGAAGGGATCATTTGGTTGGTTTCTTGATCCCTTTCTCTGTCAGCAACTCCTCTCACCCCTCTTGCTAGCTGTGGCTTCTGATCTTTCCAGGGCTGGTGGGTAGGGAGTTAGAAGCAAGAAGCAGGAAGTGTCTTTCTTAGCTGGAGCTCTTGTGACCTGGCATTGGTGGTCTCTGGGTTGGATGAATGTTCAATGCTGAATCCTTTATTGTACCCCACTGGGGGCATCCACCAGTCCTCCCATGTCAGGGGTGATATGTGTTCACTAACTCAGCAGTTAGGGTTCCTTTCTCAGGTGTTGGGCATCAGGCAGTCCGCCCTGTCTTTTGGGGTCGTGTGGCTTCTCCAGACAGTTGTCATTTAAGAGATTGTAAACTGGATTTTTCCTGAGTCATCCGTATCTGGTTCACAAGGGACCTGCTGGTCTCCACCTGTGCTTCTTCACCTCTGCTGCCGTGGGACGTATCACAGCCTCCAGTGTGGTGTAGACCTTTGCTGTGCTCTGCAGCCTCAGACCAAGAGTCACCACCTCATGCCCTTAGATTCTGAGGCATGTGTCACTCACCTTTATGCACACACATGCACACACACATAGGGGACATATGTCAAGCTCCCTGAATGACCTCCTTGCAGGCAGCTCCTATAATTTGACTTGAAGTGACGGGGCAGTGCCCTCCTCCTTTCTTTCCTGGAGTGAGAGTGAATACCTGACAGAGAATACCAGCAACTGTCTCTAAAAACATTCTCACCTTTTTCATCTCAGCCTACCTGTGTCCCTGAAATTTATTTTTAATTACAGTAATAATTCAAATTACATTATTGTTGTAACACATGTAAACACCAAAGACAAAGTTCAATGCCTGCATGGCCGTTCCTACCCTCCCCATTCCTTTGCAGAGAGAGTTTCTATTTCTTCCTGGTTTAATCTAGGAGGGTTTTATATTTCCAGGAATTTATCCATCTCCTCTAGGTTTTCTAGTTTACACACGTAAAGGTGTTTATAGTAGTCTTGAATGATATTTTGTATTTCTCTGGTATCAATTTTAATATCTCCCGTTTTGTTTCAAATTGAGCTTATTTGGATCTTCTCTCTTTTTTCCTTGGTTAGTGTCGCTGATGGTCTGGCAATTTTATTTATCTTTTCAAAGAACCAGCTTTTTTGTTTCATTTATCTTTTGTATTTTTTGTTTGTTTGTTTCAATTTCCACTTAGTTTTGCTCTGATCTTGGTTATTTCTTTTCTTCTGCTGGGTTTGGGTTTGGTTTGTTCTTGTTTCTCTAGTTCCTTGAGGTGTAAACTTAGATTGTCTATTTGTGCTCTTTCAGACTTTTTGATGTAGGCATTTAATGGTATGAACTTTCCTCTTAGCACCGCTTTTGCTGTATCCCAGAGGTTTTGATAGGTTATGTCACGGTTGTCGTTCAGTTCAAAGAATTTTTTAATTTTCATCTTGATTTCATTGTTGAGCCAATGATCATTTAGGAGCAGCTTATTTAATTTCCATGTATTTGCACAGCTTTGAGAGTTCCTTTTGGAGTTGATTTCCAATTTTATTCTGCTGTGGTCTGAGGGAGTACTTGATATAATTTCGATTTCCTTAAATTTGTTGAGACTTGTTTTGTGGCCTATCATATGGTCTGTCTTGGAGAATGTCCCATGTGCTGATGAATAGAATGTATATTCTGCAGTTGTTGGGTAGAGTGTTCTGTAAATATCTGTTAAGTCTATTTGTTCTAGGGTATAGTTTAAGTCCATTGTTTCTTTGCTGACTTTCTGTCTTGATGACCTGTCTAGTGCTGTCTGTGGAGTACTGAAGTCCCCCACTATTATTATGTTGCTGTCTATCTCATTTCTTAGGTCTAGTAGTAATTGTTTTATAAACTTAAGAGCTCCAGTGTTAGGTGCATATATATTTAGGATTGTGATATTTTCCTGTAGTCCTTTTGTTGCTATATAATGTCTCTCTTTATCTTTTTCAACTGCTGTTGCTTATAAGTTTGTTTTGTCTGATGTAAGAATAGCTACTCCTCACTCCAGCCTGGGCGGCAGAGTGAGACTCCGTCTCAAAAAACAAAACAAAAACAAACAAAAAAAGAATAGCTACTCCTGCTCGCTTTTGGTGTCCATTTGCATGGAATATCTAGTCCCACCTCTTTACCTTAAGTTTATGTGAATCCTTAGATGTTAGGTGAATCTCTTGAAGACTATAGATACTTGGTTGTTTACCTGTCTTTTAAATCTTTATATGCTTTTATATATGTATCCAATTCTTTGATAGCTGTATAGTATTTCAGAAAATATCTGCATTTAACTATGCAAATATTAAATAATCATTAGTTAGCTCCTGACTTTTTGCTTTTACAAATATTGCTTTAAGGAATGTCCTGAAACATATTATTCTGTGTGGCTGTGCTTATTAGTCTCTGGTACACACCGTGAAGCAGCAATACAAGTGGGAGGATGCAGCTTGACTCCCTCAAACAATAGCTCATTTCCCCACATTTTTGCCTAAGCTTGGTGATCATAGTTTTTTAAAATGTTTATGAAAACTGATAGGTAAGAAATAATAGGATCTGGTTCTTTTAATATCCATGTCCTTGATAGCAAAGCGAAGCACATTTTCCCATGTTTGTTCTTAATCTATATTCATATATTATTCCAATAGTTTCCTACTTTTTACCAATTTACTGTATTTTATTTTTTTATTAGCTTGAAGAAGTTGAGCAAATGCTACTCCATATCTGATAGAATGCTGTAATTAATTTCTCCCCTTCTGTAAGTGATCTTCTATGGTATCTATTATTATAAATAAGTTTTGCTCTTTTTGTGTCCTGCAGTATCCTTAAATATGTTTAGGTGTAAATTTCATTTCATTTCTCTAGCTTGAGACTCATTTTGATTCCTGAATCTGAGAAATCTTGTGGTTTCATCTCTTCTGAAAAATTCCTATCCGTTATTTCCTAAAGTATTGCCTTTTCTCAGTTCTCTTTATTTTGTCCTCCTAGAAGTCCTATTCAACATACATTGGACCTTTTCACTCCATTTTCCAGGTTCTTAACTTTGCTGTCATCCCTCATCATCTCACTGAGCTTTATTCTGTACAATTTACATAGCTCATTACCGTTGATTTTGCTAATTCTTTCATTAGCTATGTCTAGTCACTTAGTTTCAAATTTTAATGCCTAATTTTTTTTGTATTTCAAGTAGTATCTTTCTTAAATCTGCCTATTCTTTTTGGTATCTTTTTATGTTCTAGGGTCCATATTTTATTTCTTCAATTATTTAAAGCATACTTACATAATGTCTTTGTCAGTTTATTCTATTTTTGGAAGTTCGCAGTAGTTTAATTTTGCTACACATTGAGTCTGAAAACTTGTTTTGGATGGATCACTTTTTTGAGTGTTTATAATTTTTTATTTTGAGCTCATAATATATAGAGCTTCATCTGCAGTAATTCTGTGTAATCTGTTTTGAGTGAATCAGACTGGGCTTGATTCTTTGGTCAGTTTTTTAGCTGGGGATGAGTTCTCAGACAATGAAGACAGTATGAATTCCAACCCTCAATTCTCCATAACCTAGATATGAACTTTCACAATTTTCAGGTGAAGTACTTTATTTTCAAACCATAACTCAGGACAAAGAGGGTTGTCACTGTTATTGTTGAAAGGGGAAGAGCCTCTGTAACCAAGTTTTGAACCCCTGTGAGGCATCTGACTCTATATTAGAATCTCCCTTATAATCGCCTCCCTGGCATGGGCCTAAGGCTTCATCCTTCATCCCCACAGGCACTTAGATCTCAGGCCCCCACATCACTGAAATTGATGCTTCTGTGACCCAATCTCATGGTCACTGAAGTTAGCACAGACATCTAACTCGGTGGAGATATCTCTTACTGTCTTTGCAGCTACGTAAAAGGGTGTTTGCTATATTTTATGTAATATGTATAGGTGTTTATAATAGTTTTTCAGGTAATTTAATCCACTGGAATCTCCTAGATGAAATTTCAAATAAGGTTGTCAAGTTTTCATGTCCATTTGATACTAGTATCAATTTAGAGACATGGGAACACAGAACTAGAAAGGATATTACAATTTATGAAGGCAATCCAGGCCAGATTTCTCACTTGCGAGATATAAATACTAAGACCCAGGGTAAACTGCGACCTTTCAAAGACCAACCAATTGGTTAGTGATAGAGCCAGGATGACAAGTTAGTTTTCATAAACCCTAATCTACCACTTTTCTTATACAGCAACATTTGCTCCTAGTTCTTAGAAAGAATTGGGGTAATATCATATAAGATTCTCCCTGTATTTTCTTTTGTATTCTTTTTATTTCAGTAAGTAAATGCCAGTCCCTAGGAAGAGAGAACCAAAATGTCTACCGGACCAGATGTCAAGGCTACAGTGGGGGACATTTCCAGTGATGGCAATTTAAACGTGGCTCAAGAGGAATGCTCCAGGAAAGGTAAAATCATGCACAGTAATCTGGTAGTAAATAAAACTAGGATCTGTGGCACTGTAACTTGTGGTACTAAATAAAACTAGGATCTGTGGCATCTTTTGTTGATACACATCATTTTCCTTGCTACCACCAATTGCCAATAATTCTATACGGTTATACATTGTTATTGATAATTATTTCATTTCTCATAAGAAACTTTGAAGGTATATAAGACAGGCAGGTATCATGACATTATTTAGAGATGAAGGAAAAAAATCAGAACAGGTTCTAAGTAGGAAATATAGAAACCAACCTTGGCTTGTCTGATTCTAAGTCCAAGACATGTCCTATTAGATCTCTCTGCTCATGTTAAATCCAGACCTGACCCCGAACCCCAAAATGGGCTTTTTGCTTCTACCATGTCATAGAAGTCACCTTTCTCCCTTTCTCTTATCTATATTACAACATCATGCTTTTTATAATATGCATTAAGGGAAACTGTAGAACATCTTATTTTACCCTAAATGCTTAATGAGTTATAACTATGTTATCCATTAATTCTTTTAAGGATATAGTCATTTCATAAGATAATGACTTCAAAAGGCAAAACCCTAACCAAGATGGAATGCTTTGTAATACTCAACATTTTAGCCAGTTTGTCTGTTAAGAATTATGCATATCTTCAAGAAAAGAGATTTCTCCTAATCTCAACCATCACAGAAGAAATCAGGAAATGTGCATGTTAGTACTCAACCTACAACTAGTCACCATTTGACCCAGAATGAATACTATTCCAGTAGTCTCGGCTGAAGGTCTCATCTGTTTCTAAGGATTTCAGAGTCTACTAGACTATACCATTGGCCAAATTCTTTTATCCTATCATTCTGTCTCTCCCTTAAAATTAATAATACGAAGAACTTATGTGTAAAATTTTACCAAGGTGCAGTATGGCATACTGGGTAAAAGCACGGGTCAGAAATCAGAATGCTTGAGTTTCCAATCCTGATTTTGCCATTTATGAGCTCATTATTACCACTCACATAGTGTCCCTTCCTCAGCCCACCTTTGGGCAGTCATTGGAAAGTTCATTTATAATTTGTCTAAAGTGGAACTTCTATGGTCTTTCTGGTTCCTTCTATAGTCTCCTACAACATCTGGCCTACCATGCCACCCAGTCCTCTGGTGACCACTCCAGGCTATAGCTGTATCAGACAACAACTTTGTAACCCACTTTACCCTGGCCTGTTGTTTCAAACAGCATCATGCTACTAACACTCATCCTGTTTTGGTAGTCTCATCCTACCTAATAAGGCAGAACCCCAGCTACTCCTCCAAGCCTTACCAAGTTATTTTGTTGTGTATCCAAGTATTTCTCACAAATGCTTAGGAATAAACCTTGCAGAGTGCTTTGTCAGTTGGTGTCCAACATCAGTTTTATTCTCATCCCCTTCTCTGGCTCATGCTTACTGGACATGGCTGGATCTTCTGTATTAGACTCCCAGGGCACTGCTGGGGCTTTCTCTGGGTACCAGTACCCCCATCTCCAAAGGCCACTCATATCTTTGCTGTGTTTCTAAGACACTCAGTGAGCTGAATCCAGGGGTTCCATGGGATGTGGAGAAATGCCCCCTCCCCCATTATCTGGTCACCTGCTTATGCAAAGTAACTGTTCCAATAACCCAGAAACCTTGAGTGAAAAAAGCTGGGCCTTCAGGTTCTGCCTGAAGATCAGTAGTTTTTCTCTATCAGTGTCAGTTAGGGATTTCTGGGGCCAGGCTGTAGACAGACATCACTTTGACCTTCTGATCCCCTTTTCCCCCAGAAGTCCATGAGCTTCTTTCTGTATCAGTCAGGGTTATATCACAAAATCAAAAGCAAATCTAGGTATTTCTGAGAAGAAAGAAGATTAATATAGGGGACTGGAAGATTCCACAAACGTTGGAAGGCTAGGGAAGCAAAAGTCAGGTTGGTTACTTTCAGAAAATCCAGGACATGACACTGCCAATGATCCCAGCCATGTGCATCACAAAGTGGGTATTTTTCAGGAGGACACCCCAAAGTCACAGGCAGAAATCCCATGTCTAACATGACTGATCCTCACTTATCCACCTGCAGCTGCCTCCAGAGCATAGTGGTTTCTCATTGAGTTCGGCCTGCCACCTTGGGCCAGAATGCCCTCATTTGTGGAATCTGAATGGAATCCTGAGGATTGTAGCTTCCAGATATTTGTCCCTCTGTTACTGTGGAGACCAGAGAAGGGTGGGAAAGGCACTGAGAACAATATCAGGGACGGTATCCTTTCTCCATATCAAATGCCTGCAGGAAAGATATACTGCCCCCCACCATGGGGAAGAATGCCATCTGAAGGACAATTTACAACAACATCCCCTTCTGAAAGCCATGGAAATGAATAAAACAAGCACAACACTTTGAGAAAGTACTTCCAACTAGATTGAAACTAAGGAATTATTCCTACCACACACTACAAACTCTAAATCTTGCAGACAGATTTAATACAATTTGGAAGAAATTGAGAGAGGAGCCAAGAGCTCATAAAACTCCCATCCTTGAGGCAGGGTGCAGTGTTATAGGAAGAACAAAGAGGATGCTGTGGAGCTTCAGCTTGTGCTCCTCAGCTTGGAGTGGCAGTGTCCAGAAGCTGGGCAGACCACAGACCCCATGAGCCCCTCAAGGGTCTGCAGTGCTGGGATGTGCTGGGTGAAGCGTGCATGGGTCCACATCCTGCAGCTTTCCCCTCACGCTTCACTGGCCTTTCTGATCTGCAATTTAGCATCAGGGGCCAGTGCTACAAAGCAGAGGAAAATATGAGTAACTGCAGAAATCAACTTGGAAATTTGGAAGGCTTTCTCTCAAATTATACAATGTTATTGCAGAATTAAAATGGTACAGTAGTTAGCTTCCCTTGAATTGGTGAAAGAATTCCCTACCTCCTCCTCCCCACCCCTGCCACCAGCCCACCCACATACACCACCACATTATAGCTGGGCCTCAAACCAGCATGGGTGGCCCTGTGCAGGGGTTTCAAAATGTGAGAACAAAGTCACACACAACTGGCTTTTATGGTCCAAGGCTGTAGGGGTGGACTACAAGGAACCTACGTAAATATGTTTGTGCAAAGGAAAGAATAAGATAAGGCATGTGTTAGATAAAAAAAGAAATTGACAGGTACACTTATGAAAGATAACAGTTCATTATATAGCTGTCACATAATGAGTGCATGCCCTGTGTTAGACACTGTTCTAAGCAGTCTTTATGTATTAATTCATTGAATTCTCACAACAATCCTTCAGGAAAAGTGCTACTAGCATCATCCCCATTTTGTAGGAGCCTGCTCAGGCACAGAGGGATGAAGTAACACATCTTAATCATCCAGGCACAAAGAGGTAGCAGCTGGATTTAAACCAGCTGTTGTTAGCTTTTACATCACACTGCTGTGCTTACGTTATTACGGGGAAATTGAGGAATATTTTCATCTTCAATTTCTTAAAGTTCTCAATAATGACAATAACAATAATAATAAAATCATAGAGTGTAGGAAGTAAATCAACAGAAGAATATGGAAGAAGTCCCAATATAGATGAGAAAGGAAACTAAGGAGGAAAAAAATGTCACTGCAGAGTTAAAATGGAATTAGTAGCAGCAAGGAGAAGATAGATTTGAGAAAAGGAAGAAAACAAAGATTGTGTAATAAAAAATGAAAACTAGTTAATTAAACATCCAATTCACTGAGCCTACAACTTCAAAGAAATTACATAGAAAAATGAAACAGACAACTTATAGAAAATAATGTGAACTCAAATCATGAAAAAATTGGATTAAAAATACATACAAGAGCTGGTTCTTTGATAAAAATGATGCTACTCAAGGCAATAAAACAATCCACTACTCAGATTAATCAGGCAGAGAGATTAAATACAAGCAATTATGAGAAAATAGGAGACAGAAGCATTGAAAATGTATAATATGCTAATTATAGGGAAAGTACATAAGTAAATGATTTTCTAGGAATTATAATTTATAATTATAAAAACTTTAATTACATAATCATAATTAACTTATTAAAATTTAATATTTAAAATATAATTGAATTATAATTTTATAGAAATTATTATTTCTAAGAATTATACATTTTTATGTTTCTAATTTATAAATATGAATAAAGAAAAAATTATACATGTCAAAAAACAACTAAGAAATGAAGAAAATTGTCAAAAAGTTATTCCTTTTAAAACAAACACAGAAACAAACAAATATATTCTAGTAGTTTCACTAGAAAAATTATATGAGATTTTTAAGGAGAGGAAAATGCCTATTTATCCTGTGCAGAAGAGTTCCAAATAGTTCATATAGCACTCTACCTTCTGAAGATGGAGCTTAGCTCCTTGCTCCTTAAGTGTGACTGGTGCTTGTGACTTCTTCCAGAGTACATTTGTACATATTAATTCATACAAAAAATTAAAAGGAGAAAAAGAAAAAAGAGAGTAATTTTACAGTGGAGCAACCTGACAAACACTACCTCAAGCCAGGGCACCAAGATCAACTCAACAGTAAGAAGTCTTGTTGACAGTGTGTGGCCTTAATATGATGTGATGAGAATGAGTTTACCTCCATGGCCTTCCTCTCAAAAACACATAATCCCAGTCTAATCATGAGAAAAATATCAGACAAATTTCAATTAAGGGATGCCCCACAAAACACCTGACTGGTGCGTTTCAAAACTATCAAGGTCTTTAGACATTTTAGACTACAAAGTATTTAGAATACATTTTAGAAACAAGGTAAGTCTGAGAAAGTGTCATACCAAAGAAGAGCCCAAGGAGACATGACAACTAAGTGTAATGTGGCTCCCTATATGGGATTCTGGAACAGAAAAAGGACATTAGTTAAAAACTAAGAGATCTGAATAAACTGTGGACTTTAGTAGTTAATAATATATCACTGCAGGTTTATTAATTGCAACAAATGCACCATAAGATGTTAATAACAGGAAATTTTGTGTGAGATATAGAGGAACTCAACAATTCTATATATCTAAAACTGTCCTAAAATTAAAAATTTATTAAGAAAAATGGCTATGTACCTAAAACATTTCAGATCACAGATTGAGATGGAAGCTTATAACTTTTAAAAAAGAACAAAGCTAGTATAGCAAAAAATAGCACATACATATGTACATAAACAACATTTTAAGCTCAACTATATATACTAAATAAAATTCCAGCTAAAATGCTAGCAAAATACATCATGTTTTTAAATTTTGTAATAGCCTATTAAGAATAAGAAGAGATCATCCCAATAATACGAAGGTGGTAGGCTATTATAATTATAATAAACTTACATAAACTTATTCAGTTGTTATCACAGTGCCTTGAGGTAGACTCTGTTATTAATCTCATTTTTCAGGCAAAATTTGGGGGCCACAGAGAGCTCAGTACCTTGCCCCAGAATACACAGCTATAAGTAGACCACACAAGCTGGAATTGGAATGCAGGTGTCTGATTCTAGGATTAAAATACATTTTATAAAACTTATGTATCCCCATAAAAATATTTAAAAGTAGGAACAGAGTAGTTTAATATAATTAAAGGACATGTCACACCAACAACTAGCAGCATACCTAGTGGTGTAATGTGAGAAGCAGTCTCAGTAAATGCAAATATAGCTGAGGTGCCCATTCTTACCATTCCTGCTTTGTCCATTTTTTTGAAAATGCTGGTGAATTAAATTACCCAGGAGAATGAAATACGTGTTGCAAACGGTAAACATAATCAACTATATTTTTCATTATTTGTCCATAATTTGTCTTTCTTTATTGAATCAAAACTCAGTGGGGGAAAAGCTGATGAATATGATAGGAAAAAGAACAGTTACACAACAATAAAAAGTAATTTACAAAATTTGTGAAGGCCTTAACTGAAGATAACTATAAAATTCCACCTCGGACTGAGTAAAAGACCAATACTGGTACATGGGTAGGTATCTCTTCTTGACTAGAAGACAATCCTACAAATGTGGCAATCCTTCTTAATTTAATCTGTCATATCAATATGACTGATCAAAATTCCAATGTAGATTTTCATGGGTGGTGCATTGGCTGGGTTGGGGATGGGGAACTAAATGCTCTCAGAGTTGAACCAAAGGTAAGAGCTAGAACTTAGCAAGAGCATTACTACACAAAATGAAACCATGCTGTCCATTCCAAGAGCATTTGCTCCCTTTCAGGAACCAAGAAAATGGCATCTTCATACCTTGTGATCATACATTACCTCTGGGATTTCTCTACAGGGATAGTGGATGAATTCTTCCCGCTGTTGTCAAACTAATGTATATGGACTCAACCACAGGGATATCCCCAGAGCTCCTATGGAACACTAGCAAATTTTGTGTAAGCATAGATTATAGTATTAAGATGAAGTTTAAATACTTCTATGATCTAACCATAGCCTATCTTTCAAGTTTCATCTCTCCCCAGCCCCAGACAAGCTAATCTTCCATGTTTCCTGGTTATAAATGGCACTTCCAGCTATCCCAGCTGCCCAAGCAGGGAACTTGGGAGTCATCTCCAGCAGTTTCCTCTCTCTCACTGTCCATACCCAATCGGTCACTGCTCCCAGCCAATTCTTTCTCTAAATCCACTTCTTCCCATTCCTATTCTAATCTTCTCATCCCAGAGCCCTGCCTAAAAAGCTCTCCCCTAATGCTTGTTCTGACCAACTCCACACATTCTTCAAGTCTCTGAGAAATGTTTCTGAGGGAGCCACCTCCCCCATTACCTCCCAGGGGAACAAAATTCCACTACACACCTACAGAGGAATGTCTGCTCTCCCTATATTTCTGCATCTCAGACAGATACCAATCTTCTCCTTCTTCCAGACTTAGGGAGAGTGGGAGAAAAGCATTCTGATTGTGATTTTTCATGCCCTTTTCCTCTCAGGTTTTTGTTCAGTCCGACATGGGCTGGCCCTCATCTTGCAGCTCTGTAATTTTTCAATTTACACCCAACAAATGAACTTGAGCATTGCCATCCCAGCTATGGTGAACAACACAGCCCCACCTAGCCAGCCCAATGCTTCCACAGAACGGCCCTCCACTGACTCCCAGGGCTACTGGAATGAAACTCTAAAAGAATTTAAAGCAATGGTAAGTTTAATGAGACTCTGGACTCTTTCTTTGACTCAAATAATTTGACTTAAAGAGTTATAAAAGAGTGAGATTCATTTAACCACTAAGTATTTACTGAACATGTACTATGTGCCAGGAATGGCACAAGTACCTAAGTATCAGGCCGAGCATGGTGGCTCACACCTTTAGTCCCAGCACTTTGGGAGGGTGAGGCATCTTTACTAAAAATATGAAAATCAGCCAGGCATGGTCATAGGCACCTGTAATCCCAGCTACTCTGGAGGCTGAGACAGAAGAATCTCTTGAACTGGGGAGGCAGAAGTTGCAGTGAGCGGAGATCGTGCCACTGCACTCCGGTCTGGGTGACAGAGTGAGATTCTGTCTTAAAAAAAAAAAAAAGAAAGAAAGAAAGAAAAGAAAGGAATAAAGAACATAATAAGTATCTAAGGGGATTGCATCCCTACTTAGTGCATATGAGTGTAACCAGGGACTAAGTTAGAATAAATGAAACATTTTACCATTTAGTGGACATAAATTCTTCCCCTACAATGATGAAAATCACTACAAAATATGTTTCACAGATTTGTCTGCTTTTTCTTCCTTCCACGTATTTTTTTTTTACTACCTTGCTTATGATGCTTTCTTCTTTATAGTCTTTGTTTCTTTACGAACTCTCTTATATTTTAATTTTTGGTTAGTTGTGTCAGGGTGAGCGGAAAGAGTATATTGGGCATATATTTAGGGTTTTTAAATACATGATACTGGTATATTGGAGGAACTGGAGAAATGTAAACAGAAAGATAACTGCCAATTAATTTTTGCCTCTCAAGTCCTCACAATGAAAACTGTCAATCCTTCAACTAAAGACAAACAGTAACTCTCTTTGTCATCTAGGCCCCTGCATATGACTGGAGTCCTGAAATCCAGGGAATCATCCTCAGCTCCCTCAACTATGGCTCATTCTTGGCTCCAATCCCCAGTGGCTATGTGGCTGGAATATTTGGAGCCAAGTATGTGGTTGGTGCTGGCTTGTTTATTTCCTCATTCCTGACCCTCTTCATTCCACTGGCAGCTAATGCGGGAGTGGCCTTGCTCATTGTCCTCCGGATTGTACAAGGCATAGCCCAGGTACCAAGATGTTTTCCAGGTATAAGTGGAATATAGGTTCCAGAATGACCTCAGATCTCCAAGAATGGAATTTTTCCCCCCAGGTTATGGTATTAACTGGTCAGTATTCAATTTGGGTCAAATGGGCTCCCCCACTGGAAAGGAGTCAACTCACCACCATTGCTGGATCAGGTAACTGGTACCCTAAACCTCACTTTACATGCACTGTCCAGGAGAACTCAGCAAAGTCCTGCCAACAGAACCAAGATCTTATATATCAATCTCTGTGTCTTCATAGTCCTTTCCTTAAAGCACTACCCCATACTGCCTTACTTGATTGTAACTGAATAAACTGAATGCTTACTATGTGCCAAACATTCTTGTGTTTTGCACATATTTTCATCTTATCCTCAAAATAATTTTATAAGTCAGCTATATATAATTACTTCCATTTCACACATATGGAATTTCAGACACAAACAGACTAATAACTTCTCCAAGATCACATAGTTACCAAGTGAAGGAACCTAGATAGTTTGGCTTGAAACTCATACCTTCACTCACTGTGCAACTCAGCATTGTAGAAAGCACATAGAGCCCCAAGACGAGTCCTCTCACCCAGAACATCCTCGCCTCTTCTGTTCAGGGTCAATGCTGGGGTCCTTCATTGTTCTACTTGCTGGTGGTCTCCTCTGCCAGACCATAGGATGGCCTTACGTCTTCTATATCTTTGGTGAGTGTGCTTTTCAAATCTCCAATTTTTATGACAGAGACTTCTGTGATGCAATTTATCTATGGTTAACCAAATCCTAATAGATATGGATATTTACATAGCTAAAGCTGGTAGTGTTCAGAGCCAACTACATTTAACATTTAAGTTTCAGCAGCCCGAGTGTGTAGCTAGAATAATCTTATGACATTAGAGGCATCATAACATTCCTTACTGCTTCTAAATTTGACCTAAAGGAATTCAGAGCAAATTATCTCATAAAATGTTGAAAATACTATCTTAGGCTAGGCGTGGTAGCTCATGCCTGTAATCCCAGCACTTTGGGAGGCTGAGGCAGGTGGATCACATGAGTCCAGGAGTTTGAAACCAGCCTGGCCAACATGGTTAAACCCCGTCTCTACTAAAATTATAAAAATTAGCCGAGTGTGATGGTGCATGCCTGTAATCCCAGCTACTCGGGAGGCTGAGGTGGGAGAATCACTTGAACCCAGGAGGTGGAGGGTGCAGTGAGCCAAGATCACACTACTGCACTCCAGCCTGTGTGACAGAGTGAGACCCTGTCTCAAGAGAAAAAAAAAAAGAAAATGTTATTTTAGTCAGATTACATTTTAGTCATGCTTTTTAATTTAATATATTCTTTAAAATTTCTCCAGTTATTATTATGGCAAAAACCACAATTGCTTTTGCACCAATCTAATATCATAGCTAGAAAATTGTGTGACTGTGACCTAATCATAGGTAAAATACTAATTAGAGTAGAGAATCAACTAGTGGAGACTGCAGGACAGGGCAGATTATGTGAGGTTCAGAAGTGGACATAATACACAGAGAGATGCTGCAGAAAGGTTCCAAAGACACTTGGAAAGTTCCAGAGGCAGTATTTTACTACGTTACAGTTTTACCTTCATGGAGCTGTGGTTGGAATCTGCCTAGCTGCTGTTACCTTTAGTTTGTTTAATATTTGAAACATTCTCCAAAATCGCACCCCTAAATTGTTTATGGTAATACCTTATAGTCCCACTAGTGTGTTCATTAGAGGACAGGCCTGTTAGATCAAGGGTTTCTGTAAAATCAGGTGAATATATTCACCAAAAATAAAATATGTAATGATTCCATAGCATATCAACCTTTAAAGTTTTTATCATGAAAACTTTGAAAGGGCAGGTTACAAAAATTATTCAAACAACAAGAAAATCTTACTGTGCTTATGGTTTCAAGAAACAGTAAGGAGCATATACGCAATAGAAACTCACTAAATATTTGTTGAATAAATATTAACATCCTCCAACCCCAATGTGCAACATTGCTAATTTTCATATCTATCCCTCCGCACTTGATTATGTTCCTTGATGGCAAAATTGTGTCTTCGCCATTTTATATTCTCAAAATTTAGCAAAAAGCGTGGTGTATAGTGGCTGCTGTATGATGTTTGTGAAGGAATTTGTAAATGACATGCTAGCCAAACAAAGAGAGCTCATAAGATTTCTTAAGATTCTAAAAAGGGAATTTGAAGATGGGCCATATTTCCACTCAATACTGATAATGTTAAATTCCCAACTCTGTAATAATGTATATATTAGAAAAAATGTCTTTGCTGAGGATTCATTTCATTTCATATCTACAAATTGGGTAATTAATTTCACATAATGTACTGCTGCTCACTCTTATGTGCTTTGAGGAAGATAAGAGATAGATATGGAAAGGTTTAATGATGAAAGGAACTCTGCAAAGCATGACTAGCAGGAGGGATGCTGACTGGTACGTGAATGGTGAGGGCATTTTCAAGCACGTGGGGCAAACACGCTACTAACTTGTAAGGGTGCTATAGCTTTAATAATAGTTCATTTCAAAACCTCCCAAAACTCAATGGTTTAAAACAATAATCATTTATTCCCATGGTTCTTTGTGGGACAGCTGGGTGGCTCCACTCTCTGTGTCTGTCATCTGCCTTGGTCAATGGATGAGCTGGAGCATAGTCTTCCAATAGCAGTGGGCAAGACCCAAGAGGATAAGTTTAAAAAAATCCTTTTTAATGCCTAGGCTTGAAACTCCTCCATGCCATTGGCAAAAGCAAGTTGTATGGCCAAGGCCAAAGTCAAGTGGTGAGGAAGTACCCTCCCCCATGATAGGGCCATGCAAGGGATAGATGCCAGGAAGAGTGGTGTACTGAGGCCAGTCACTCTGTCAACCACAGGAATCATCTTAGAGTCAAACTGAAAGAAGTACTTCAATCCATCCAGTGCTAACTGGATCCCCTTTTCCTAGGAGGAATTGGCTGTGCTTGTTGTCCTCTCTGGTTTCCTCTCATTTATGATGATCCTGTGAATCATCCCTTTATCAGTGCTGGTGAGAAGAGATACATTGTGTGTTCATTGGCTCAGCAGGTACATTGAGGAACTCCTCTGACATTTCTCTATGTCCCTCTAGACGTCTGAGAGATGAAGAATGTGATAGAGAGAGCTGCCTTCTGACGGAGGGGACATTGATGTGTGCTTTCTTCCAGGACTGTTCACCAGGCTGGTCTCTTCCCATTAGGGCTATGATCAAATCCTTACCACTCTGGGCCATTTTAGTCTCTTATTTCTGTGAATACTGGCTTTTTTATACCATTATGGCGTACACACCAACGTACATCAGCTCGGTACTTCAAGCCAACCTCAGAGATGTAAGTACAGAGAAAGCTCATTCTGATCTTCTGTTTAAATGCTTAAATAATGAGAGCTCATATATAATCCTCTGTCTGTCCCATAGTCACAAAATCGGGGGATTAGGACCAGGCAGGACCTCCATATAGGAAATGCAATCTAGTTAATTTGGATTCTGATTGATCTCAATGTGGTTCACTACTTACTGCAGGAGGATGATACATATGGTTCTAGTTTGATTTTCATACACTATCATATTTTATTATACTATTTTCATATATACTATTCATATTTATCATATTTTAAGGGCCCTGTGCAAAAATTTTATACTCAATCCCATCAAAATTTGCAAACAAGATGCTCTGCTGGCAGCATAAATAATAAAGATTAACCAAACAAATTCTGCCTTTGAGAAAATTGTGACAGAGAAACATAAACAACATATGCTGAAAATAAGACATTAATAGGACATAAAGTCCCAAATAAGACTTACATAGACATTTGCGGAGTAATGTTTGTTTTAAAAAATCATTTTTATTCAAGTATAACATAGAGAAAGAAAAGTGTGTATATGTGTACAGCTCTCTGAATTTTCACAAAATAGACAGATACTCTGAATGGCTGACAGGAGCCTTTCAATTCCTGCTGGATGGATGTCTTAAAAGTGGCTATCAGATTTCATAACATGTTAGTGACAGTTCACAAAGCCAGTGTTATTCTTGTACTCTCACTCTGTACTCAGGAAGAAGCCTTCTCGTATTGATTGGGTTCCTCTGGTGAAAATGTGCTAAGTAGCCAACAGAGAGCTGACCTTCTTAGCAGTAGTCAGCATCTGCATGCAAGCAGGCTGCAGGCACTGAGATTAGAAAGCCCCAGGAGGCAGTGGCTCTGGGTCTTTTCAAAGAGGAAGAGGGCCAGAAATTAAACCAGAACCTTAATCCAGGGGATTGGGACACCACATAAGCAGGAGTCCAGTGCTAAGCAACAGACTTCCTGAGGCTGGCTGTTGGGAATGATTTGTCTTTGGTGTGAGGCTGGGTGGGCTTGACCCTCAGAGGCCAAGGCTGAGGAAGAGGAAAATGGGAAAATGAATGGAAAGACAAGTAGTGACCAGAAAGCAGAGCTTTCCAGGCTAAAAAGTCAAGAGACCTGGATTCTCATTGCCTTCAGGGCATTTTCTCACAAAGTCACATAACCTTGACAGCCTCGGCTTACGCATCTGTAAAATGAACTACTTGAACCAGGTGAGTGCTGAATCCTTTCCATTGTTTGGATTATATACAACAGAGGAGTCTCCTTTTCATTGCATTATATTCGATAGAATTTTAGTTTAGAAGTTTAATTGATAACAACAAGGTTCAACATTTTAAAAACTATATTGAAACATAGAGTGGGTCAGGTGTGGTGGCTCATGCCTATAATCCCAACACTTTGGGAGGATGAGGCAGGTGGATCATCTGAGGTCAGGTGTTTGAGACCAGCCTGGCCAACATGGTGAACCCCCTGTCTCTACTAAAACTACAAAAAATTAGCCAGGTGTTGTGGCATCTGCCTGTAGTCCCAGCTACTTAGGAGGCTGAGGCATGAGAATCGCTTGAGCTGGTGAGGTGGAGGTTTCAGTGAGCCGAGATTATGACATTGCACTCCAGCCTGGGCAACAAGAGCTAAACTCTGTCTAAAAAAAAAATAGAAAGACTGAAAAATCTTTCTTTCATTACTGTTCCTAATCTGCCCTGTCCTCCCAGCCCATTCCAATGATAATTCTTTCTATGTCTTTTTTCTTTTTCTTTCTTTCTTTTGAGACAACGTCTCACTGTGTTGCCCAGGCTGGAGTGCAGTGTTTCACTCATGGCTCACTAAAGCTTCGACCTCCCAGGCTCAAGCAATCCTCCTACCTCAGCCTCCTGAGTAGCTGGGACCACAGGCGTGTACCACCATGCCTGGCTAATTTTTTGTGGAGATGAGGTCTTGTTATATTGGCTAGGCTGGTCTCGAACTCCTGAGCTCAAGTGATCCTCCCACTACAGCCTCCCAAAGTGCTGGGATTACAGGTGTGAGCCACCATGGCTGGCCTAAATTTCCTATATATATTCTTTCTTTGTTTCTTTATGAGAATGCAAGCATACATGAATGTGTATTCTTATTTTCCCAACTTTTAAAATACAAAACAGTATACTTAGTAATATGCCGCTATGCTTATATACTAGGTTTTTGCCAATTAATATGTCATGGAAATCTTCATATCAGTACATGAGAACCTTGCTGAGCAGTATTTGGATTGTTTCCCATCTTTGAGCAATGCTGCAGTGAAAACCTTGTTCATTTCTCATACCTTTGTGCAACCCTCTGTGGAGTAAATTTCTGCATATGAGATTATTGAGTCAAAGGGTAAATGCACTATAAACTTTTATATTTGTTGTCAAATTGCCCTCAATAGAGCACCAGTAATATTTGTGAGAACCTGATTCTCCACAGTGTTAGCACAGAGCATGCCAAAAAAAAATGGGTGTTTTTGCCAATTTGATCCATGAAAAATAATATCTCACCATAGTTTTACTTTGTATTTCTTTCATTATGAGTAAAGTTGGATACCTTTTAACATGTTTAGGAGCCACTTATTTTTCTTTTTTTCTTCTTTTCTTTTTTAAATTGTCTGTTATTACCCTTTGCCTATTTTTGTACTGGGTTTTGGTCTTTTAAATATTTATTTCCAGGTGATTTTTATATATAAAGAGAGCCTTGTTCTTTTTTTTTTGCAAGCAGAGCTATGAACATATACATACTAAAAGTATATTGGCTCATTATAGTAACATGGAATTTGTATTAAAAGTGATGCGTATATAAAGAAAAGCCACAAATGTGGACAGTCTGTCCAAGGTTGTCTGTGTCGTGGTGGGGGTGGTAAGGGCACATGCACCTGACCTAGTCTCTGGTCCTCAGAGTGGGATCCTGTCTGCCTTGCCGTTTGTTGTTGGATGTATCTGCATTATCCTTGGAGGTCTACTGGCAGACTTTCTTCTCTCCAGAAAAATCCTCAGACTCATCACCATCAGGAAACTCTTCACTGCCATTGGTAAGGGAGAGACTGGACACAGGGGTGAACGTGGGAAGCTCAGAGCAGCCTTCAGTTTACTCTGTGTTTGTCCTCCTACCCCAGGGGTTCTCTTCCCATCCGTGATCCTCGTGTCCCTGCCCTGGGTCAGATCCAGCCACAGCATGACCATGACCTTCTTGGTGCTGTCTTCTGCCATCAGCAGCTTCTGTGAATCAGGAGCCCTTGTTAACTTCTTGGATATTGCTCCTCGGTAGGGACCTCTTTTGCCTCATCCTTTCAGACACTCAATTCAAGTCTAGCAGCCCTAAATCTACTCTGATGTGAAAGTAAAATGTGGCAGGTACAACAGGTTGCAGGAAATGTCAGCACCAGCTCTACATCCTACATCTAAATAATTCCTGGAAGAGACTCAAAGCTGGTGGACCATTGTGAACTTAGTTTTTCTGGGCGTGAACAAGAGGAGTCAGTGGCCATGCTCAGAGTCAACTGAGGGAGACTCACACAAACCTCTCTCTGTTGAGGAATGCAGCACTTGCCTAAGGCGGAATCACTGAAAGAAATCTTGAGATTCTATAGGGTATGCTCATGAAAATCTTTAATGAAGGCAAAGGACACAGGACTGCAGGAGAAATATCTGTCTCTGATACAGTAAAAACAGTTGACTGAGACTTCCAAACATAGCTCCCAGGGTGCTGTCCCAGTCAACAGGACATCCTTCATCTTCAGATAATGAACCACCAAGAAATGTGAGAGATGCCCTTGTCACAGGGGAGCCGACGTCTCATCTGGTGAGGGGTCTTTTATACCCACGGAGGGTATAAAAGTTACAAGATCAGACTCAACAGCAGAAGCCAAAACAACAACAACAACAACAACAACAACAACAACAACAACAACAAAAACCTTACAAACCAGGTGCAGACCATCAATCTGACC
The DNA here is from genome assembly GCF_000001405.40 of Homo sapiens. NCBI lineage: Eukaryota > Metazoa > Chordata > Mammalia > Primates > Hominidae > Homo > Homo sapiens. The sequence goes on from NC_000006.12 coordinate 25,777,646, forward strand.
ATCTTGCATAAACAATGTTGACAAGTTAATAGAGGTTACCCCCTTGGGAGTACCAGTCCCTAGCACAGGATTATACTAATCATTGGTCAGTACATTTCATTCAGGTTTCACCAAGGCTTACACAATTCCAGTCATCTCCAGAGGTAAGCACAGAGTTGCAGCAGACCAGCTGATATTAACCCTTTGTTTGCACAGGAATATTTGCCTCCCTCTCCCGGGTATTGAGACTTTCAAACGTAGGTATACTTGGTTATAATAGAGTACCATCTCTCTCTCTCAGGTACACTGGCTTTCTCAAAGGACTATTGCAAGTCTTTGCACACATAGCTGGAGCCATCTCTCCTACTGCTGCTGGATTTTTCATCAGTCAGGTGAGGTCAAATGTTCTGATGAATATTCATAAAAGAAACCTATAGAGGCATGGTTTTTTCACATATGCACGGCCTTGTATCCTAGAAGATGCTTTTAAAGTAGTCAAAAATAAACTAATTTACATGATGACTTAAGAATTAAAGAAACTTAAGATTCTTAAGTTTCCTAAGAATCTTACTGGTATAAACTTTACATGAATAAAGAAGTATGTGGCATTCTTATTTTCTGCCATATACTTCATTTACTGGAAAAAAACACTGCCATATACCATTCACTTACTGGTGAAAAACCACAGGAAAGTTAAAGAATGACTTTCCTGTGGTTTTTCACTGGTAAATCAGAAAAATAAATGAAGAATAACAAAGAAAGAGTATTCTTTATGAAATCAAGTCCCTTCTCTTTTCTTGAAGCTTCAGTTCCCTCCCAGGCACTAGCATACTGTCAGGAAATGGTTGTTTAAAATGGAAATTCTCAAACTGCTCTTGTTTCTCCTGTCATTCAATGACTTATTCATTCATTCATTCAATAAATATTAAACAGTAGTATGTGCTACGTGCTATTTAAGTGAATGAAACACAATTCCTTCCCTTGTGAAACCTATATTGTAGAAAAGAAACAGAAAGAAATCTATGGAAGTAAAATATATGACATATTGAATGGTAACAGGAGAATAGCAAATGCTTAGCAAATGCTAAGAGGAGAATAAAGCACAAGGGGTGGAATTTCTAACTACAATGATCAAGGAAGGACTCACCGTAATCACTTGCTTAAAAAGAACACTTAAGCAAGGACTGAAAGGGAGTGAAGATGTGAGACAAATAGGTATCTGGAGGAGGAGCGTTCCAGCCAAGGAAATGCCCAGTGCTTTGGACTCATGGCAGAAATGTACTTGAGTATTCTAGGACCAACTGGGAAGCCCATGGAAGCCAGAGTGGAGGTCGGGGAGGGAGCAGGAGGACACAGAGCCAAAGCCTTTCTGAACCAAGAGGGACAGGAATTGGGTGACCGTTAATAACTTGTAATTTTCTGCCTCCAGGATTCAGAGTTTGGTTGGAGAAATGTCTTCTTGCTTTCAGCTGCTGTTAACATATCGGGCCTGGTTTTCTACCTCATCTTTGGCCGAGCAGATGTGCAGGACTGGGCTAAAGAGCAGACATTCACCCACCTCTGAGCAAACCGAGAGATGTGCTAGATCCTGGTGCTTAGTTCATCATTGTTTTCCCTCACAGACATTTCTCTTTCATGCCTGCTTGACTGATAAGCCATTAGCTAGACCCTGACTATGTAACGCTAAAGATTTTACCATGCCTGGAAATTTTACAGGGGAAGAAAACACGCTAGTTATTTAACTGCAAGCTACTAAAAGCATAGGTGTGTTGAGATTTCTGTGTTCTCCACTCTTCCACTGTTATCCTAGTAAAAGCATCAGGGGCTGGGGACAATTTCTTTCCAAAGCAAAAGAGGAAGCCAGACCTTGGGACCGAGAACTGAGAATCACAAGGGAGTTGCGCCCAACATGCAGAACATGAATCCTCTGAGCTGTCCTCAAAAGAAAGCCCCAAACAACAGAAAGCATAGTGTTTTCCATTGTTGGTGAAAAATGTCAAGGAGGAAAGAACAATAATGATTCCATCATGATAAGAGGAATGAACGTGTCTGCAACTAATGGGAGCAAGATAGTACACTTTAACTCTTTCAGACAACTTGCATTCTGTGGATGCCAGCTTTGGAATCAGAGCCGCCTCTGGAATACCTGTGCTTCCAGAGTTAGCTTTTGGACAGTTACCTTCTTTCTGGCCATCTTGACTTCTGCCCCACATCTGCTTTTTGGCTTTGTGCAGATCTTTAACATGTTAGTGAACAGACATTGCCCAGTGTCTCTTCTAGCCCCTCCAACAGTTCTTCATGTAGCACTGCTTTTGGACAGTGACCCATGATATCTGCCTTCGTTTGCCCCTCTGACTGTTGGAATCCCACGCACCATTCAGTAGGATTCAATTCAATGTGGAACCATTCAACATTCACCTCATTAACCTAAAATGTCTCCCAAAGATGTATGTAAGACACACACTGCCCTAACCTCACTCCAAATGTCTGGAGAAATGTGTGTAGTGCTTTTGTTAAAGCCCCTATATGGGCAGCATGGAGGATCATAAGATAGCAAAACCATTTCAACACTAAATGAATATTAATGTACACACACCTTGTGTGGATGGCAGAAATCAAATCATACACAGTATTAAGGAGTTCAGTGTCTCGGGAGGGCAGATAACTTTAATCAAAGTATCACACAAGTGAATATGTAATAACAACTGTAGAAATAATGAGTGGTTACATGGGTTATGAGAGTGGATGATAAGTGCACTAATCTGAGTGTAAGGAAGGGCCACCCCTGCAAAGTTTCAGCTGAGCTGGGATCTGAAGGATAATAGTTAACTGTTGTGGGAGACTGAGAGGAGAATATTTTAGGAAGAAAGAACAGCATAAGCAAAAGTTTCATGGCAGGAGGGAGAAATTAGCTATGGCCAGAGTATAGAGAATAAGGGAAGTATGATTTGTGAGGAGACTGTAGAAGAATTAAGGTCAGGAGCACACAGGATGATGTAGGCCCAGTGAAGTGCGTTGGTCTTTATTTTGAAATCAGTAGGAAGTGTCCTGGTTTTCAAAGGCACTCTGCATGAGAGATTAGGTTGGAGTAGGAGCTTACAGTGTAGTCCAGGAGAGAACAATGGCCCCTGGCATGAGGCAATAGACATGGTGAGAGGTGAATGGATTATTTGATTTAGGTGGATTATTTGATTTAGGGAATAAACCTGACGGGTCCTATTACTAAGTGAGAGAGTGAAAGATGTCCAGAGTAACTCCTGAGTTTTGGTTTGCTATTATATTAATGGGGATGCCTCTAACACAGACAGCAACACAGATAGCAATTATATCCAAGTGTAGACAACAAGAAGGAAAATGGACACATGACTCTGGATTTCTCTTGTGAGACCTGGGCTCCATTTACAAACGTATAAATCATCTTGATATAGGTAGTGATTACAATTTTTGCATGGATGAGTCATCCATGGGTGAAAGTGGCATAAGAAAAGGAAGCTTGGGAATAAGCCTTAAAGAATTCCAGTATTTAATGGTCAGCTGGAGGATGATTAGCAGAAAGAAAGAAAGAAAGAAAGAAAGAAAAGAAAGAGAGAGAGAGAGAGAGAAAGAAAGAAACAAAGAAAGAAAGAAAGAGAGGAAAGAAAAACAAAAGAAAGAAAGAAAGAAAAAGAAAGGGCCTGAAAGATAGAAGGAAAATCAAGAGAATATGGTGCTAAGAAAGGGAAGGGAAGAGAGAATGTTTCCAAAAAAAGTGAGTAGTTACCAATGCCAAATTTGCAGTGATCTGTCCAGATGAGAAGTGAGCAGAAAGTACAGAAAGGAGACCACTGCTGAGAAGTTTGGGTATGAAAGGGTGGTGTCTTTGTCGCTTTTGTGTTGCTATAAAGGAATGCCTGAGGCTGGGTAACTTATGAAGAAAAAGAGGTTTATTTGGATTGTGATTGTGATGGCTGGAAAGTTCAAGATTGGGCATCTGCATCTGGCGAGGGCCTCAGGCAACTTCTGCTCATAGTGGAAAGTGAAGGAGTGTAGGCCTGTACAGAAAGCACATGGTGAGACAGGAAGCTGGGAGGGGGAGAGGAGGTGCCAGGTTTTTTTAAAACAAGCAGCTCTTGTAGGAATGATCTCACTCACCCCTGAGGAAGAGCTTTAATGTCACTAGGGATTCACCCTTATGACACAAACACCTCCTGCAAGTGGACCCAACATTGGGATCAAATTTCAATATTAGATTTGGAGGGAACAGACATCTAAACCATAGCAGAAGGAAAGAGGCAAGAAAGTAGCTGCAAAAGCATATGGGCTCGAAGAAGGAGTTGAAAACAAACATGTTTAAGATTGTGAGAAGGTGCTAGCTGACAGAGAAAAGTCGCATATGCAAAAAACACAAAGCACTAATGGAAAGTTCCTGAGAAGGTTGTGACAAGGGAGGAATTTTGTGACTTGAAGCCCAGTTAGGAGAATTATGAGAGATGGTGTGAGGACAGCTCCTGCCTTTTCACCTGACAGCCCAAGATGGTGTCTTCATCTGCTAGTGCAAGATCTAGGGAGGGTCTTATTTTTATATCTTTCTTCCTACTTGGAAGGGAGGCAGTAAGTGGAGAAAGAAAAAGGTCTGAAGTGCTCTTGTCAGACCAGAGGAGAGAGGCCCTGCAGGTTGCCTGGCAGGGCTATCGCCACACTGTTCCTCAGCTGCTTCATTTATGACAGTTTCCTCTACATAGTCTGAAGACAAGCTCTTAAAGTTCAGGAACCATGACATACATTATTTTGTAGCATCTTTAACACAAAGAACAACAGTATCATATACAGTAAGTGCCAGTAAATGCTATTGAATCGCAGTATGAATCAATGAATGAACAGCTCCAGAGTGGTGGGAGAACAGTTAGGGGAGAAATGGATAGGAAGGAAAAGGACCAGATTTTTCTTTAATTGTATTTGTTTTCTGAGCATCGAGTCATCTAAACCTATGTATTATCTTTTTTCATCTGGAATTAAGATGTTAGAGACTGGGTCTGCTCCGTATCATTTCTCCAACAGTCACCAAGCCAACCCTAGCCTCTCCCTGGATCCTGTTCTTTCTTTCTTATCTGTCACTTTTAGTTATTTCTGAAAATGAGTTACATTTCTCCCTGGGCCCACCAGCGAGGGAGCTGACTTGTGCTGTTTCCTTTAAAATGGGCCATCCTTAAATTATGGAAATCTCCTAAAATTTTGCACTAGCTCACACATCTACAATGAGAAAGAATAAAAGTTAAAAATTGTGGAAAAAGTCTTTCATGAAGCCTTAGAATAAAATTTTATCTTGTGTGTATTTATTGGTTTGACAATCATTTATAAAGCAACTGATGCAGAGAGGAAGACTGAGATAAATCACCACCCCCATTTAAAATTCAGATATATTACATGTTACAAACAACACATGTTAAAAAACGATGCACACAGGATATGTGGGAGGGTAAAACTGGCCCCTAGGACTCCTCCTACCACCTTCTTCCTGGTGCTGGTGACTGCCCCTCAGCCTCAGCCTCATGTGCTGGTCCCTCTTCCCTTCAATAAGGAGGTTGTCCCAGGCTCTGCAAGTGCTCTGTTTCACACTAAGTTTTGTAAACAAAGAAAAAAATAGTGCACACAAATGTCATTTGTGAGTCCTTGTACACAGAGGACATAAGAAAGCTTTTCAACATTTCAAAAAGATGGTCTCGTGTATTATATTTTTCTCAAGTTGTCTTCCTTGCCTCAGTGATAGGTGATCCTAAACATTTTTTTACACTTCTCTCCTCTGGACATAAAAATAAATATGGCTGTCTGTGCAAGTTTATTATCCTTCCTTTTCCCTATTTTCAAAAATCTTTATGTAAAAGATCCAAACAACTCCAACATTTTGCTAGGTCCAGGTACATGGTATGAAACCATCCATCAGTTGCTCTATATCTATGTTGTATCCTGAAAACAAAACAAATCCAAACAAAGCAAAAAAACACAGTGCACACCAGTGGGGTTTGACACTCAAGTTTGATACTGCCACTCTCCCTAATAAGAATATATTTTATCCACAGCGATAATAAGACATACCTTTTGTACTGTTACCAAATTCCCATTCTTTGTAAACCAACTTGTTATTAAGAAAATGAAAATAAAGCCCCCCTTTGTGGTCCTGCACCCACCACACACTCTTTTTTTTTTTTTTGGACCCTACCCAAAAGTGTCACTAGTCCTTTCAAAGAACAATTGCTGTCATCTGTGTTAACTGGGATAGTGGTCTCTGGCAAGTTGGGCTGAAACTGGGCTTTACCTGGTTAATAGGTGTCCAGATTAGCTCCTCTGATGTCATATTCTCCAAAACCTGAAAAGGGGGAGTGGCCAAGGTTCTAAACTGGGTGTCAATCCAGGGGCCTATCTGGAGTAACAATGAGGAAGGCACACACTATCTTTCCTTTGTATTGAAAATTTTTTCTTCCTTTTTGTATTTGAAGTTTTATTAGTTATTAAAACATGGCGTCCATACAAATAGACATTTTCTGGGTTTTCCAGTGGAAACAGCTGCTTACATTGCCTAATAACTGTCTAAACATGCTGCAGATGTTTCCACATGTTAGCTGAACATATGTATTCTCTTCACATAGGCAATCATGATACATCTTATCCTAGGGAGACAATATGTGTTGCTATAAAGGAATATCTGAGTCTGGGTAATTTATAAAGAAAAGAGGTTTATTTTGGCTTATGGTTCTGCAGGCTGTACAAGAAGCATGATGCCAGCATCTGCTTCTGGTGAGGGTCTCAGGAATCTTCCAATCATGGCAGAAGGTGAAAGGGGAGCCAGTGCATCACATGGTGAGAGCAGGGGCAATAGAGAGAGAGATGGGAGGTACCACACACTGTTATACAACCATATTCTCTCCTGAACTCAGAGTGAGAACTCACTCATTATCCAAAGGACAGCACCAAGCTGTCATGAGGGATCTGCCCCCATGACCTAAACACCTCGTACTACGCCCCACTTTTAACACTAGGAATTACATTTCAACATGAGATTTGGATGAGACAAACATCCAAACCATACCTTACAGATATTGTTCAGGATGTCATAAAAAGCCATATGGCTTTTAGAGTCATACGGCTCTGAAACAGTTCAGGTTACATAAAAGTTAAAGCCTCAAGAGAGTGTAGATGAAGAAAGGCTTTGTAAGAATTTTAAAATATGTGTTTTCTCTCTAAGATCACGAACAAGACAAAGATGTCTACTCTAGCCACTTCTGCTCAACATTATACTAGGGGTTCTATACAGGGCAATTAGGCAAGGGAAATAAATAAAAGGAAACTAGATTGGAAAAACAGAAGTAAAACTATATCTTACAAATGATATAATCTTGCTTACAGAAATCCTAGGAAATCTACTAAAAATATTAGAACTAATGAGTTTAGCAAAGCTGCAGGACACAAGATCAATATACAAAAGTCAATTATATTTCTATACACTTGCAATGAGCCATCCAAAAATGAAACTAAGAAAACAATTCAATTTCAAGTAGCATAAAAAATAATAAAATACTTATAAATAAGTTTAACAAAAAGAGTACAAACTTATATTCGAAAACTTCAAAATATTGTAGAAAGAAATTAAAGAAGCTGTCTTAGCTAAGGCTGCTATAACAAAATACTATTACCTCACACTATTTTTAAAAACCATCTCAAAATGAATCAAAGACCTAAATGTAAGAGCTAAAACAATACAACTCTTAGAAGAAAACTTAGGGGTACATCTTCATGACCTTTGACTTGGCATTGATTACTTCTATATGACAACAAAGCCACAAGCAATAAAAGAAAAAATAGATAAATTAGACTTCATAAAAATCAAAAACTTTGCTTCAAACTTTGCATCAAAGGACATTAACAAGAAAGTAAAAAAAGACAACCTATAAAACGGGAGAAACAATTTGCAAATCACATATCTGATTCTTATCAGTCTAGTATTTAGAATATCCAATACACTCTTATAACCCAACATCAAAAGACAAATAATTAAAATGTGGGCAAACACACTGAATATATATATTTCTGTAAAAAAACAGAAGAATAGCCAATAAGCACATGAGAAGATGTTCAACATAATTACTTATTAGAGAAAAGCAAATCAAAACCATAATGAGATGCCACTTCACATTCACTGAGATGGCTACTGAAAAAAAAAGAAACATAACAAGTGTTGATGAGGATATGGAGAATTGGAATTCTACATTGCTGGTGAGAATGTAAAATAGTCTGATGCTGTGGAGAAGAGTTTGGCAGTCCCTCAAAACGTTAAACCTAGAATTACCACATGACCAGCAACTCCACTTGTAGGTATATACCCCACAAAATTGAAACATATCTTCACATAAAAACTTGTACACACAAATGCACATAGTGGTCTATTCACAGCAGCCAAAAGGTGTAAACAACTCAAATGCTCCTCAGTGGATTAATGTATAAACAAAATGTAGCATAGCCATACAGTCGAATACTACTGGGCCACAAAAAAAGAAGGAAGTATTGCTACGTGCTACGACATGAGTGAACTTTGAAAACATGTCAAGTGAAACAGGTCAGTCACAGACATATTATGTAATTTCATTTACATGAAATGTACAGAATAGGCAAATCAATATAGACAAATTATATCAATGGTTGCTTAGAGCCTAGTCTGTGTTTGGGTGGGCCCATGGGTCAGCTGTTGGCTTTCCTGAGGAATCTGGGAGTGAGGGGCTCTGATTTTCCACCCGAGGAACAAGGCAGAAAGACACTGACCACTGCATTTGAAGTGGACAAGACCTCTCCATTTTGTTGGACCAGAGGCTACATGCGTGTTTCCCATGGATTAGATGCAGGTCACAGAGGACTGATAGCCAGGCCCAAGGGACCACCTAGAAGGGAGAAGGGATATCCACAAAGGGAGATTTGTGTGGAGTGGATCTGTGATGCCAAGGAGATGGGCAGCTGGAAAAACCAAGTGCATTTCCTGCCTTGTCAGCCTCTTATGCATGAAGAAAAGGGTCTGCTTTCAACACCTACTGGCCCAGGGAGCATGTGGGCAACTGACAATGGGGCCAAACAAGCCAGAAATTTCCATGCCTGCTTCCCCTCCTTTCTCTCCTGGTCACACCTCAGGAGGGGTCAGAGGTGGGGTCAGCATCCTAGCGGATGAGGAGAAAAGCCAGACAGAAGAAAGTGCTCACACCCCTCTCCCTGAAGGAGAAGGTCCGCCTGCAGCTTTGTCCCAGCTGGAGACACAGGGAAGGAGTCTTGTATGTGTATGACATTTGACTAGCTAAATTCCATATTTAAATAAATATTTTCAGTTATCTAACTGGGAATGTATGCTTGCTATTTAAAGTGACCACAGTACTTTTTACTACCTAAGAGGGCTTAACAAGGAAATAAATAAATAAATAAATAAATAAATAAATAAGAGTGTGGGGTATAGTGGGGGTGGGATAACCTAGATTTAAAATTCTTTCTTCACTGAGCAGGTTTGAAGGGAAAAGGTAAACCCTTTGCATCCTCACTTAATTTTCTGAATTTGTTCAAAAGTTATTGGAGGCCAGGTGCAGTGGCTCACATCTGAAATTCCAGCACTTTAGGAGGCCAAGGTGGACGCATCACTTGAGCCCAGGAGTCAAGACCAGCCTGGGAAACATAGCTAAACCCCATCTCTACTTTAAAAAAAAAAAAAGTTATTGGGATAGGGTAGGGAAATAATAAGCAAGGTAGGCTGCCTCACTGCAGGGCCAGATTAAGAACAATGATGCCCTAAACGCAGACCAACCATGTTGCCACCTTGAAACCATCCCTATAAACTTTACAAAATTAATCAGAGAAGAAGGGAGGGGGAGAAATGAAAATAACCAAGCTTGCAGCACATCCAGCACTAATCATGAAGTCAGCTTATTCTCTCCTGCTTTCTCATAGTTGTTTGTTGCCTGCTGCCTCAAAATCACGTAGACCTTGTCAAAAGATTACAGTTTCCCTTAGCTGCTCTGCAGATAACAACTTAAGCATTGTGAAACGTTAAGTTTTCTATTTGAGTTATTCTTTCAGGTCCTGCCTATCTGTGAAACTACTGTGTCAGTTGGTCTACAGGACCCCACAGTGAGCTGGCTCACCAAAGAATACATCCTGATGGCTTCATCCCCCTTACCCTGACCACTCAGTAACCTCAGTTTTCTAGCCCTTGCCCTCCAAGACTCCCTTAAAAATCCCAGCACAAGAGTCCTTGGGGGAAAAGGAGTTTCCTCTGGAAATGGAGATCCCTCTGAGGATTCGCCCAGTCTTCTTGCTTGGTCACCCTGTATTCATTAAATTCTTTCTCTGCTGCAAAACCTATGTGCTGAGTGCATTAGTTTGTTACTGAGTAGTGGGAATATGAATCTGGTGGTTCTGTAACACCCTTGGCCCTTCCATTTCTTAACATAAAGAGCTTAAGTGTTCCTTAAACAAATCAGCTGACGAGTTAAATGCTAGCCAGACACAGCCAGCTTTCAGGGAGGCAAAAACCCTCAGAGCATGAGACAGAAACAAATGTTATATCTGATATCACCTTCAAATCAAACTTTTAAACTTTAGTCACTCACCATGCCAAAGAGCACATTTGAAAAAATTTTAGATTAAATCTAAACAGCAAATAAAGACAATTACAAAAAATGTTACTAACATCATATGACCAGTGAAAGACTTAAGGGCATGACAGCTGGGGGAAAGCTCTGTGGTGCCCTCTTTTCTTGGTGCCCTAAACACAAGCTTATTTTGCTTAATGGCTAACCTGGGGATGCTCCAGCAGGACACGGTGTGGGGAGCCACAGTGGCCCAGTGAGAGGTGTTAGAGCCTGTGCAGGGCGAGGATTGTGTTCATGCAGGAGGACAGCCTGGCATAGGATGCTGAAGCCTGACCAGGTGCAGAGGGTGTCTGAGCTGGGTGACAGCCTCGCCCACTGAAGTGGGTTGAGGAAAGCTTCTAGGCAAAGTTGTGCAACTTAGCAAAGATGTCCGTGTCCAAGAGATGAGGAAGGTCCAGGAGGTGTGGCCTGTGTCAGGGAATCAGAGCATGGGCAGGAAAGGAGAGCATCCACAAGGGGGCATCAGAGTGAGGGGTGTAGGCCTGGGAAAAGAATGAGAAGGATGTCTGGAAATGGGATGATGGTGGCACACAAGGGGATTGACAAAGTAAATACAAACATTAATCCTAATAGGAGCTCACTGCTGGAAAAGAAAGTTAAAAATATGGAAAAGTAGAAAACTTGAAGAAACTTTGTATTGGACTGGAATGGATGGAAGTACTGGTGTAAATTCATGGATATGAATAGAAAGATAGGTAGGTAGGTAGGTAGGTAGGTAGATAGATATGTATGTATACACATATAGTCCCTAACTTTGTCTACCTAGCAAACCTGAGGGCAGAGGCCCCAGAAGCCATGAACACATCTACCACTGAGATCTTGGTTTCTAAATACAATTCTCAAACATTAAGAGGAACCAGAGCTTATTAGAGTGAGGACTGATTTCAGGGCTTGGTCAGGGAAAAACTCAAGATGACTCTGGAATTTTGTTTTGTGCCACAAAGTAAGAAAGTGCTCAAAGAATGATGAAGAACCTCCAACTGGCCAAAATTGAGACAAATTGAGCATCAAAGTAAACAAAAATAGTAATATATTATAAATCACTAAATAAAACAAAATTATGAGCTTTACTAAAATAAATAAGTGAATAAATTGAAAGTCTGATGTAGGATGAAATATTTACATAGTTCCAAAGTATGTAAATATTTACATAGTTCCAAAGTATGTAAATATTTACATAGTTCCAAATTAACAAACTACCTGTTGATTTCAATGGGAGAAGGAGTAACTTTGCAGAGGCAAAACCTGATAGGCCCCACCTTAATCAAATGAAGAGCCAGAAATGGTACATATCAGCATCATATGACTCCGGTATAATGACCTGAGAAGAACACAGGGACATCTTTGTGGTATCCCTAACCTGAATTTAATCATGTGAAAACATCAAAGAAACCCACACTGGGGAACTTCTACAAAATAACTAGCCTGCACTCTCTAATCATGTCATCAAAGTCAAGGAAAGACTAAGAACAATTCTAGAGTTAAAGAAACTAAAGAGACATGGCAACTAAATGCAACATGAAATTCTGAAGTGAATCTTTTGGCCGAAAAGAATATCACTGATACAATTGATGAAATGTGAATGAGGTCCCAGAATTACATGGTAGAAATGTATCAGCATTAGTTACCTGATGTTGACGGTTGTTTTGTGGTTAAGTAGAAAAATGTCCTTGTTTGCAGGATACCCTAAAGTGTGTGAGTGGTGTGGAGATGATGGTGAGGGCATCATGCTAGCAACTTACCCTCAAATGGTTAAGGAAAAAAAGCTCTTTGTACTACTCTTAAAAACTTTCCTGTACCTTGAGATTTTTTTCAAGTTAAACAAATAGGGAAGGTAGGAGATAAAAAATAGAATTGCATTTTGATTACATCCCTTAAGTCATCTTTGTTCAACTCAATGGTTATAATGTTAACAATACTCCATCCGGGTATTTGGTAAACATCTGATTTAATACCCCAATAGATTAATGAAGCCCAGATCCATGGGTCTGGAAGACGGTGGAGAAGCTCTTACCCCTATTTATGTTCCGTCCACAACATTATTCACTCGAAGAATTCAGTCCCAGGAAAGTTTTGCTTCCCTCAAAGCAATGTTGTTGATATATTTTTATTAGACAAAGAGCTTCTATTTTATTTTTTAATTGCATTTTCTATTTTATTTTTGATACTAAGAAGTTCAGAACTAAATATGATGCTCCATTGCCCCTTCAAACTAATCCCAAGTTCCTTGTAATATTAACTTTCTTTGATCTAAAAAGTTTTAATATCAGGAATGGAAGTCTGATTTTAATATTAAAAGTATATTTTATTAATAAATCACAACAAAGAAAAATATGCAATCATCTGAATAGAAGCTACAAACACATTTAACAAAACTCAATTTCTATTCTTGGTTTTTGATTTTCAATCTAAAAAAGAACAAAAAGACAATTCATTGACATAATTAAATGCCTATTTTAAATTAACAGCCAATTTATTGTTTAAGAATATGCCTAGAGGCTGTGCAATTAAAGCCATAAAGAATAAAGGAATCCCAATATTAGCCCATTATTATTGTTATTATTTGCAAATGATGAGGATCATCTACCCGAAAACACAAGAATCTATTATTCAAAACGAAACCAACAAGATAGCTTAGCAATAGTTTTTTCAGTTAAAAAATTAAATATATTCAAATGATATCTTTCCAATATTCCTGAAAATACAATGAATAAAAATCAGATTCAGAAAATATAAGATAACAACCTTAAGTTTTGTAAGAAATGCATAGGAAATGCAGGAAGCAAACTAATACTTGACTGAGGAAAACCTGAAGCCAAGTTCAGCAATGGAAGTCTTATCATGTTCTTATATCAGTATTATTGAGTACTATTGATATTGAATATTGACATTGAGTACTGTTATAACTACCAATTTCTCCCCATTGGATTTATTGCAATTCAGTGCAACTCTAAAAACACTGCTACAGGTCTTTTTAAATAAGGTCCACTGATTATAAACTTTCCTGGAAGAATAAACAGCTGATACTAGAAAATAATATTTTCAAAAGTGAAAATGATGTTTTTTTTGACCTGCCTGATATTTACAAATATTAAAATTTAGACCACTGAATATGTTGTAAAATAGGTCTAGTAATAGATATTAAACTAAAACTAAATATTAAGCCCAGAAATAGACATAAATATACAGAGATTCCTTTTACTAAAAGTTGGTATTTTAAGTCAGAGAGGAAAACGCAAATTATTTTTTAAAAAACAATGGTGGTAAAATTCAAACACTAGGAAAATGAACCCAAATCTTCACTTAAGCCATGCAATAAACGTCTACAGATGAACAAAAGACTATGAATTGTCTAGAAGGAAACACTCTTCTTTCTCTCCTTTTTGGCTCTGCGTGAGCTCACACCTTCTGGATGACTCCAAAGCTGCTGAATGCTTTAAGTGGTTAACACAGAAAATTTTAAAGGCCTACAGGAGGTTAAAATACTATCACAGTCCTGAAATTCTTTCCTGCCCATTGCCCATGTGGCTGTGACGATGTCTGAAGGAGAAATAGGCCTGTGAAGTGACCGAGTCCATTTGCAGGTGCAAAGGTGGCGGGAACATTTCCTACTACTTACGTGGCTTCATTCTCTGTCTCTGCCTTCAAGGAATAGAGCTGTAGAGTCCATTTCTCTTTACAGACCCAAACACATTCACCTAAATCTATTTACATAGTGAACAAATGTGAATCCTTCAAGCCAATTCTTCAAGATGGATCCCAGGTGGCTAACTGGGCCTAAGTTTAAAATAGAGCCAAGAAGCAATTTTCTGACCAGGTAGGAGTCACACACATACTCTCAGTTCCCTGAAAATCTGCATCCTTTTATATTTGGGACTTCCAGCATTCACCTGAACCAACCAATCAGAGCTCAGCAGCCTCAGTCAATCAATCAGGGTTCAGCTGTATTGACCAACCAGAACTCATTTTTGCCAGCCAATGAGAAATCAACTACACTCACCAATCACAACTAAACGTGTTTCCATTTTTTATTTACATAAATGAACCTGATTAAAAACCTAGGTGGGGCTTCACACGGTGGCTCACGCCTGTAATCCCAGCACTTTGGTAGGCCAAGGCAGGCGAATCACTTGAGGTTAGGAGTTCCAGACCAGTCTACAAGTCTTCCACATATTTGGGCTATACATTTGACTCCCTTTAAAATTGTTCTAGCCTGTTTTAACAACTGTCTGCAAAAGACCCCCATCAGGATCATGCTGACCCAACATCCTTCATTTGCATAAAGGAACTGAATGAGGACCTGAGCAGGAACCTTTGCTATAAAACCAGAGCCTTCCTTTTGATCTCTGAAACGTTTCAATTTAATGTGGACAAAATCCTACCCCATCCTCCTCCTTGTCAAGCTTTCCAATCTCGTAATAAACACTCTTTAGTTGCTAAAGCCAAAATCTAGGTCCTATCCTTGTTTCTTCTCTTTCTGCATAGTTCACAATCTCCCTGCCTTGTCTGGCCTGCTGTACCTCCAGAACTCATCTGAATCTGGCTGCTTCTCACCCTCTCCCCTGCCTACATCCTAGTCTGCACTGCCAACATCTCTCACTTGAACCTCTGAAACAGCATCTGTCCTGGTCTCCCTGCCTCTACTCTTGTTTTCCTAAAGTCCTTCCTCTAGAAGGTGGCAAAAATGATCTTTATAAATCATTGATCAGGAAAGTCACTCTTCTCGAAAGTATCCAATGGATTTGATTATAGACAGAATTGGATGCAAACCAAGCTTTTGCCATGACCTGGAAGCACTACATTAATCACTTAACCTTAACCACTTACACAGTTTATCTCTCTTTACTTATGAGATTGAACCACCCTGCCCTTCATTCTCCCTCTTAGGAATACTGAGCTCACTCCCATCCCAGATTACTTTCCTTGGTTATTTTTTATGCTTGGAATACTCTTTCCCAGAGTATGTAAATTCACAGACCCTAGATTAAGAATCCCTGCTTTCTGATATTCATTCAGACAGTAAAGAAATACATTTAAGCACTTTTATAGGTGCTGGGATAGAACAGTGAGAGCTGGGTGCAAGTGAGAACAAATTTTGCCCAGTAGGTGACATTTGTGTTGAGACTTCAGTGATGAGAAAGAGAGGCACATTATTTTTTATCCTCGGAATACTCACTGACCTCCAGCAAAAACAGCCCTCTTGAACATGCTCCATCGTGTTACCCTATTTCATGTTCTTTTTAGTATATCGGTGCCTGGAATTATCCTGTTTAAATATAGCTATTTGTTTCCCCCTATCAAAATGTGAAGCTCTTTTAGGCACTGAAGTCCTGATGATGTTGCTCACTGCTCTATCCCAGCACCTACAAAAGTGCTTAAATATGTTTATTTACTGTCTGAATGAATATTAGATAGCAGGGATTCTTAATCCAGGGTCTGTGAATTTACATAGAAAAAAATTACATCTTTATTCCTTAACATCTGACTAAAATTTAACATTTCCTTCCATTATGAATGTAGGTAATACATCATAGCAGTGGTAGTACTGAGGACTTAGATATCAATAAAAATCACAGGTATTTTCCTATGACATTACAATTGTGAACTATGAAAGAACAAATCCTTCAAGTTGGATGCTGATTGGCTAACTGGGCTTAAAATCAAAATAGAGCCAAGCAGTCATTTGCGACTGGAGGTCACACACGCACTTTGAGTTTCCATAAAACCCACACACCTTCTTAATTTTGGGAAGTTCATAGCTGCTTGTTCCTGTTTATGTGCCTGAACCAACAAATAGACTGCAGCCTGAGTTGACCAATCAAAATTCAGCAAGTGTCAACCTCTCAGAACTAAGCAAATCTGAATCATGCATTTGCATAAGTGGACCTGAGTGGGAACCTGGGAGGGAACTTTCTCTATAAACAGTGAACTCTCCTTTTGCTCTTTAGACTGCACCTTAAATCTGCCTCTCCTTAGTTCACAAACTGTTCACTAGGATAGCCTCTTTCCTATAAATTTCTCTTCAGAGAACTTTTATTCAGACTAAAGCATTAATAAAAATCATGTTATCATAAACATACTTTTTAGTATCTTGATAACTATTTCAACATAATCAGTCTCCTTTAGAATCCTCTGCATTATATTCTGAGTTGTGGTTCATTACACAAGAGATTGAGAAGCCCCACTGTAAAGGAACTACCACAAGCACAATGCATGCCCCTTATTCAGCTATTGTCCCTAGGATCCACTGAAATAAATTTAAAGAAGCAAAAATAGAACATTACAAAACCTAGAGAACTACCTCATACCCAAATCAACAAGGACTATTTACTATAATAAGTTCAAAACACTGAGGGCCAAAATAAAGGGTGACATTGGACATCAACTCACAGCTGTCTACTAAACTCATGAACCCGGTACATTCGAAGGGAAGAGAGGTGGAAAAAGCAGTTCCAGGGCTGCGAAGCAACTTCTTCCTGGGTGAGGCTGGGTAGGAGGCAGGGCATCTGGGAAACAATGGACTTTTGCAATCCTGGTATGCCAGGCATATTGGCAATGGCTTCTAGGCTACAGGAGAAACGCAAGGCCATGATTCTGCCTTTTCTTATTTTCTTCTAACTTCTAAAATTACAAGGCAAAGTTGTAAGGTAACCCGCTTTGCAGCAGTGTGTCAGTTTGAGAGTGACAGGTAAAATACTGCTGATTCCACAAATAAAATGCCTGTGTGCTGCTGAATGGCTGACAGCCCTGAGGATACAGGTTGTTGAAGAAACAACCATCAGCACAGCAACACAAACAGCAAGGCCCAGAATACCTCCTGCACTATGGCACTATCCATACTGGTGTTCCCAGAGCCCCTCTGCCACTTAGCCTAATATCTAAAATGAGAATTTAAAACCTCCACTGCCAGCCTGATGGAAAGATGCCAAGGGCAACCAGGTAAACAAAGGAGAATGGAGGAAATTCTACCCACATCATCTTTGGGGAATTACAGGTTTACGTAGAATTAGCCTGAACTAAAGAAAAATAATTAGAAACATTGAATGTGATTGATATTTTGGAAGGAGAAAAAAAGCAGAAAAAGAATATAGCATGTAAATAGAAAAAATGAACACATTTTCAAAGAAGAGTTAGAGAGCATAAGCACAATCAAAATTTAAAATATTCTACAAATCTAAATTGCTAGAGTCAGGCAAGGAGGCAGGAGGAGGAGAAGGACCAAAAAGATAAGGAGGATTTTTTTTAAGGGAATAGAAAATAAGATGCTAGAAAATGAAGTATATTTTTAATGACAATAACTGCAGTTGGATTGAAGTCATCTATATAAAGGAGACGGCTCTCAAAGTGGGTGAAATAATTGAACCCAGCTATATGCCCTCTGCAAGAAAAACATTAAATAAAATGGCTCAGTAAGGTGGAATTTAAAGGCAATGCAAAAGTATTCCAGGGAATCTAAAATAAGCACACACCCACACCCACACCCACAATTTAAGGTTGTCATATCAATATCAGAAAGTAAATTAAAAGTAAAAATTATGGAATGGGAAGGATTCATAAGTTTATAAAGTCAAAAGTAAATTTCAAATTAAGATATACTTGTCAAAGTCTTTTTGAAATTGTAACATCAGAATATAGTATTCAATAGTAAATGCCAAAGCAGACATAAAAAGAAAAATGGATAGAAATAATAATGGAAAACTTTGGTATAACTTTCAATATTTAACAGGTCAAATATATACAAAACAAATAAGATTTATGGAATCTGAATAAAGTAAAGTGATTGTTCTCATAGCTGTGCCCCACTCTGTGCCTTGGAAATAGAGGATAAACCTTCGCTAATGTCTATGGGATATTTTCTAGTGCTGTTATATGCTTATTTATAAGGACAATCTCAGATATTTCTACATTAAAATATTCAGATAAGCTTTTGTATTTTTAAACTGCTGGTTATATTCCACTCACTTAAACAAAATGTATTAACTAAGGCTGTATTGACAAACATGCTTAATTCCATATCCAGATTTTTGCCATTTCTAAATCAACAATCTTGAGTTATGCTTGCATCTTGGCAAATTTTTGTGAGTACACCATTATGGGAATTTTTAGTACTTGCAATACTAGATCGATTTAATACCGACTCAATTTCATTTTTGAGTGACGCTATCAATTTTCCTCCTTTAGCTGGGTGTAGTGTTGCATGCCTATAGTCCCAGCTACCCAGGAGGCTGAGGCACGAGGATTACTTGAGCCCAGGGGATTGAGACTGCAGTAAGTTATGATTGTGCTACTGTACTCCAGCCTGGGCAACAGAGTGAGATCCTATTTTTTAAAAAAATTTTTCTTCAAACTTCATTTGGATCATTTCTTCCAATAAATTTGTTAACTGGCTATTTTTGTTTAAGGTGACAAATTTATTTATTAATAAATTTTCCAGGAAACTTACTGAATTAATTATTGTTTGTATAGTTTTCCAGTCAACCCACTTGGATTTTCTAAGTAGACAACCATATCATCTGCTCATAATGATAATTTTACCTTCTTTACCAATATGTATTTTCTTCATTTCCTTGTCTCTCAGCCCCTCTCTCTTAACTGAGAACCTCATTGCTTATCGCACAGATGAGATGCCAACCTATATACTAACCCATCACATATACAACACTGCCTTCTCTCTGCCACTGTGGATAAGCTCTAGGTTTCTACCCAAGGCCAACCCTGGCTGTGGTGCTTGAATTTCATCCCTTCCAGATGAGTCAAGTACTTTTTAATTCTGTCATTGTGCCTTATCTCCTACATTGTGGAACCTCATTATTGAATTATACCATCACCTTATATGCTATTGCATGTATCTTCTGAAACAAACAAAAAACAAACAAACAAAACCCTCCTTGGTTTTACATCCCTTTACAGCTACCACACCATTTCTCTAATTTGCTTTATAGGAATGCCTATCCTGGCTGTCTCAGTTTCCTCAGCCTGTATTCTCTCTCTCTTGATTTCTCTTTTCATACTATAAAATAAAACACAGAGACACAGAAAATTGCACAAATATTTGGCTCAATGAATTATTATAGGATAAATGTTTGTAATCACTAGCCTGGACATGAAAAATAGAATATTGCCAGGATTCCCAAAGTTCTTCAAATGGTCACTCCCTGCCCCTAAAAGTAACAACTTCTTTGACATTTATAATAATAATCTATTTTTCTGTATTTCTTTATAGACTTATCACCCACATGTATACCTTTATAGTGTTTCATTTTGCCAATATTTAAAAATCTGTTATGTCATTTAAGTTCTTTCTAATCTAGAGCATCCATTTCTACCCCAGTTTTTTTTTTTTGAGATGGAGTCTTGCTCTGTCACCCAGGCTAAAGTGCAGTGATCTCGGCTCAATGCAACCTCTGCCTCCTGAGTTCAAGAGATTCTCCTGCCTCAGCCTCCTAAATAACTGGGATTACAGGTGCCCACCACCGCGCCTGGCTAATTTTTGTATGTTTAGTAGAGCCGGGGTTTCACCATCTTGGCCAGGCTGGTCTTGAACTCCTGACCTCATGATCCACCCGCCTCGTCCTCCCTATTTTTCTTTATAAGTAATTTATTTATTAAAGACCCTGAGCCTTTTGACCTATAAAATCTCCTACAGTTTAGATTTGCTAATGATACACTTGGATTTTGTCGAACATATTCTCTGTTTTCTGTACTTCTTCCAAAGCGGTAGCTGTATCCAAGGTTTGATGAGATTCAGTTTGATTTTCTTAGCAAGATATTAGTGGTGGTGTGTTGTTTCATCAGAAGGTATACAATGTCTTCATGCCTCTCTTTTTGTGATACTAATGATCATTGATATTCAACACCTGGATCTCTTAATTTATTGAGGGTTGCAAAATAAGGACATTCTGCATCTTTCAATTCTTATTTATGTATTAGCCAAAATTATTCTACAAAGAGACATTTCTCCTCCAATTCATTTACCACTGATAGAGTTTACATAAGCAAAGCACAGTATTATACCTTGAACACACCTTAAAGGACTCTTTGTCTCCATCATTCATTTGAAAATCATTTTAGTCAGGGTTACCTTTAAAGTTTCTCTTGCCTAAACCATTGTAAATTCTTAGACCTTATATAATGTAATGTCTTGATATTATAGCACTTGCCAAAGGTCCTTGCTCCCAACCTTTTTCACTTCGAGTCTCCATTTTACAACTGTTCTTCCTACTTCGTTGAAGGCCCTTCCCAGTCTTTTTTGCAAACTTCTCTTTTTCATCCTCATCTTTTGATGTTAAAGAGGCCCAGCCTCCCAAATTTATATCTCCAGCCTTAGCATCCCCACAGAGTCCCACAGCCATTTCAGGATGTCTAATATTCTCAGGCTTAACATGGTCTCCTCTTCTCCAAACCTGCACCCGTTATTCCTTCTCGTCTGAGGAGTCATCCTTATCTCCTCTGTCTCCTGCATTCCCAGTTTCAAAAATTGTCCTTAATCTGATCACTTCTCACCTTCAGAGACGTGTGTGTTGTTTTTCTTTAGCCCAGTCCTGAATTTCTGCTGTAGCAACTATAAGGTAGAAAATTAGGCCAGTCACATTAATGGCTGCCATCAGGATGAAGGTTTTAAACCAGGCGGATTCCGGATCCTAAGGAATTAAAATTCAAAGTAATTGTAAATTATTGCTCTTGTTTTTTTGTTTTGTAATGTTTAAAATGTAATATTAAAAATGTAGACTCAAGTCACGTAACAAATATGGAAAAACATACTTATACATAGCCGAAAACGTCATCATTTTACTTTATAAAATAATCACTTTTATCTTTCTACTATATACATGTTGTTTAAAATTCTATTTTCATCAGATATTAAGTTTACTAGTTTCTTATAGTTCATAATTAACTGATTTTTTTAATCTGATCTATTATTTTGAAGTTTTCTGCATCTTTTCAAGGTATCTTATGTAGCTGACATATTATTGTATCCTGTAAGCTTATATAGATAAAGAGTGTCTTCATATTTTAATTGGCAAATTTAACATACTTTCATCTATTGTAACTATTATTTTGTTAAGATTTATTACTCCCATATTATTTCATATTTTCCATTGCAATCCTTTTTTTTTTAAGTTTTGGATTCGTTTTGAAGAGAATGAGTTTTCTTCTGCTGGTTTATAGAAGTTAACTATATTACTCATTAAACATTGTTCTTCAGATGTATGCTCGAGTTGAAATAGCTATCAGAGGAGAACCAGAAAAGTTATTGCAGCTGCAATAATTGACTTCCCAGGCTTGACTTCTGGTCACCAAATATTTGATTTACTCAAATTTCAAATGCTCAGAAGAGTATTCAGTTTTTCTCTCCTTTTAAAGCTGAGGCAGGGGCAGATGAGAACTGTCTAAGTTAACTTATAGGCAGAGACAATTTTGGACAGTTCTGGAACCACATTTCCTTCCACATCTTGGATGTTTGCAGAGAAACTAGCTCCACTAACAACTTTTGGAAGTCAGCTCTGCACACCTGAGTGAACTCAATGGAAGAATAAAGGCACTATGCTCAGAGGGAGGAAACAGACCATGGCCACCTGGTGCTTCCCATTTCTAATGAGGCCATTTCTCTGACCAGGGAGCTTCTGTGGTTCTAGTGATGTTTTCTTCTTTTCTGAAACCATAAATACAGAGATTGTGGTGGTGGAAGACTCCTCTTTATGGGAAATGTGGCCATGGTGGATGCAGACCATCTCTCCCTGTCCCAACTTTGGGATAAGGAGCATTTGGAGGAATTATCTACACACTACCATTCCTTTGGTTGTAAGTGTTCCTACAAATAAAGTTTATATGTGATCCACATGGTGCTAGTGGTATGAAGGTGTAGTCCTTTGTGAGTACAGATTTATGCCAGCATTTCCATTCTGACTCTTCTTATTTGAGTGGCTTTAGGATGTTATCTCTTATCTTCTGCTTGTTCATTATAACTGAAGACATAGATTACCCAGGATAGGCAAAGACCCAAGGCAGCCAGTGTCTTCAATGGTCATTTACCTCTCTGGAATCAGGCTATTCTTTCATTTTTAATCTCTGAAATGTTCTTTTGCTTTACTTTTTTTGCAGATGAGGCATGCATTTAAAATAACTGTTAAAATTTGATAGGGCATTTTCAGTGTCCTTAAAAGGAAGATTTCAGGTAACTTTGTCCATGACATGTGCAAAAACAGAAGTCTGCCTTCATAGTCAGACTTAGATCAGTCTTTATTCACTTGTGATTTTTCATTCTTTTTTTGAGAAAACTGTATCTTGTTACTTATATTACCACTCAGCCAGTCAAATACCTGTGTTGATCAATCCACATATTCATTATCAAAAATAACAGAAGTCCACTTCTGTACCAATGGGCAATTACTAAAGAGTTCTCAACATATCTAATTGACAAATAATGAGATAGAAATTGCATTATTTGTAGATTTGGAGAGATGCCTGATTTGACCAAATTTATTTTCATATGATGCAAAAACTCATAAGTCATCTCCTTCTGGCATCTTCTCTGCAATTTTTCATATGTGTAATCTTTCTCTATACAATTAATATTGGAAAAATAACTACACATCTGTATGTTTCTTACCTGCTTAAGGATCAATCCAGTCAAAGTGGAAGCAATTAGTCCTCCTATCATTCCAGTTAAAGTTGAACATGCTTTAATAAATCCAAAATATCTATGCATAAAAGAGTAATACACAAATGTAAAGTAGTACAAATACTGCAGGAAATGCAAACCTAATCAAATGAAATTTAAGAGAGATAATTGCTCATTTTGCAAGTTCCTGCTTCTCAAATTCCATTAAGATGTTAGAAAAAGTATATGAATATAGGCAACTTTCTAGTGTCACCACAGAGTCAGAAAGGTTGGCGTTAGCAGTAAAGAATATGATGATATTAATAAAATGGGATTATATTTAGAGTGAAACCCAGTAGAATTAGAAAATATGTAAGTTCCATTGAGAAATTCAGAAGGTGATATGTTTTGGTAATGGGAACTGGTTTGGGGTTAATAAAAAATTGAAGGGCTTTGTTCACCTGGTTTACTCCCATAGGTCCAGAGCTACTGACCTCCAAAATTGCTTCCAATACTCAGGCAAGGAAATCAGAAGCCTAGTTTACAAGCAACTATAATTGGCCAATCCTGGAAGCTCAAACCAATTCCAGCAGAAAATTAGCTACAAACGCAGTGAAGCTGCAGCGAACGATAGATAAAGGGGTCAAACCCATCAGCCATGAAGAGCAAGGTGGTGCTGTTTGGAGAGCAGAATCAGTGTCTAATCAAGAAATGAGTTCACTCCAGGGCTGGGAGTCCGTTTTTCCTGCCCTGTAGATTTCATCATTAAAGTTCAGTGTGTTCAAGTCCTCCCTTTTATGAGAGGCAGAGTTCAGAGTTTCTTGTTTCTTTTTTTCTGATCTTCTTATTTCCCTAGTCTTTCCCATTCCTACTCTGCCTTTACATGTTGAGTATGGGAGGAGGTGCCTGTTTTGTTTATTAATTTGTGGGTCCCTGTTCATAGAGGAGTCACATCAAGACCTAGAGTCCTTGAACGTTAAGCTATATGCAGTCATTGGGTAGGATTAGAGTTGTCTCTTTTTGACGATCTAGGGAGTGTGTTGTAATGGATGAAGAAGTACATTTATGGTTATGAACATCCACAGGTAGAGCTTGGAATGGAAACTATTAATTGTCCCCACTATTTGTTGTTCTGTTTTTCATTTCAGCAATAGAACCCCTGGAGTTTAGGTGGGAATTGGGACCACTCATGACTTTTGTGAGCCCTTTCCACTTTTGCTTTCATGAACCTCTTCCCCCATAAAAATATTAAAAATTATATTTTATGACTGCTCTGGCATAAAGGCAAATACATTAACATTATACATTAAATCATTTTCTTCCACCTACGAGTTTGTTTTTTATCTTCCAATTTGGAAAAGATTTTCATGAGTTCCTAAAAATATTGTAGGCCATAGGTACCATATCTTCTGTACAACTGGTAGAAATATGATTATTAAATTATTAGTGCATTTTAATTTACATATATTCTATATCACATAGGGTATTATTGTTTTCATTTTGCAAATTCAATTATATTAGATTTGCCCTAATATTTTTCCTCTCCATTTCTCTTCTTTTGTTCCTATATTTCTGTGATTATTTATATGAAATTATTATTCTGTGATTATTTATCTGTAATTATTTCATTTCTGCCTGAAGAATTCTCATTTAGTAATCCTTTCATTGGAGGTCTATGGCTGCTGAATTCTCTCAGTTTGCCTCGAAATGTTATTTTAACTTAGTTCTTCAAGGAAAGTTTTTGCTGGATATAGACTTCTAGGTTAACAGTAATTTTCCTTTTTGCATTTTAGAGATATCAATTGATTGGCTCTGGCTTTCATTGTTTCTGTTAAGAAGGCAGATGTCAATTCTATTATTGCTTTTTTGGAAGTAATGAGCCTTTTCTAGGTGGCTGTTTTAAAGATTTTGTTCTCTCTCAGTCTCTCTCTCTCTTTCTGTCACCTCCTCCCATTCAATTTTAGCAGTTTCACTAGATAGGTTTAGGTGTGATTTTCTTTGTATTTATCCTATTATTTATTATTTATTTATGACGTTTTAACGACTATCTTCTTCTTTTTTTTTTTTTTTTTTTTTTTTTTTTTGAGACGCAGCCTTGCTCTGTCGCCCAGGCTGGAGTGCAGTGGCCCCATCTCGGCTCACTGCAAGCTCCACCTCCCAGGTTCACGCCATTCTCCTGCCTCAGCCTTCCGAGTAGCTGGGACTACAGGCGCCCACCACCATGCCCAGCTAATTTTTTGTATTTTTAGTAGAGACGGGGTTTCACTGTATTAGCCAGGATGGTCTGACCTCATGATCCGCCTGCCTCAACCTCCCAAAGTGCTGGGATTACAGGCGTGAGCCACCACGCCCGGCCCCGCAGGCATTTTTAAGATAGGTCTTGAACTGAATAAATCAAATAAATACATGTCCTCATTTCTCTAGCACTGAGTTTGTGTAGATCTAGTGGGCAAGCTTCTTTATAAAATTGTAAGAAAGTGAGTTATTCTTGGTTGATTTTGCCTGTCTACCCCAAGGCCACTGCTCTACAAAACTTCAGAAAATTCTGTTCATATTGGATTTATGTTCTCCAGAGAGTACTAACCCCACAAGGTACAATGTGAACAGTGTTCCCTGAGAGTTGAAAATGACAGAGCTACTTCTGTTAGTCACACTTATTATATCTCTAGAGGAGATATAATATCTTGAAAATAACATCTTGAAAAGAGCAAGTTTTTTGCCAAACAGGTCTGGATTAAAATCCTAGGTAAAATTTCAGACCAGTGGTGAGATTTTGAGCTCAAAATTAAGTATCTGAACCTCAGTTTCTTTAGTTGTAAGGTAAATATGATTAACTGGTAGGTTGTTATGAGAATTAATAATATATGAATATGGACATAATAGCAATAATTATGGAGCAGCTAACCCTTACACAGTGCTTGCCAGAGTATGCCAGGTACTATTCTATATACTTGACCTACATTAACTTATTCAATTATCTTAATTACTCTATGAGTAAACGTTCTCTTATTAATCCATTTTATGTGTGAAAAAAATCATCAGAGAGAAGGTAAATAATTTGTTTGATATAAATGGCTGTGCTGATATTGAAATTCAACTGTCTAACTCTAGAATCTGTGCTTCTAATCATAAGGATATACTTTTCACATACGTATATGACAGATGCATACATCTGAATATATCGTTAATGATTAATATCATTAATGATTAACATATCATTAATTAATGATTATATCTGACTTATATAGATATTTCTTCAGAACTTTTGGCCTGGTGGCTATGAACAACAATGTAGCTTAACTATCCAGAATTCTCAGCAGAAACCTTACAAGCCAGAAGGGATTGAGGTCTTATCTAAGCTTCCTTAAACAGAAAACAACTGTCAGCCAAGAATTTTGTATCCAGTGAAACTTAAGTTTCATAAATGAAGGAGAAATAAAGTCATTTTCAGAAACAAATGATGAGGGGATTTGTCTCTAGCAGACTATCCCTACAAGAAATGCTAAAAGGAGTTCTAAATTCTGAAACAAAAGCTGATCTGCACCAGAATAGAATCTCTTTACAGCATAAAACCCACAAGGCCTATAAAACAATAACACAATGAAGAAAACAAAGTAGGTAACATGATGACTGGAATAGTACCTGACATCTCAATATTCATATGGAAAGTGAATGGTCTAAATGCTCCACTTAAAAGATACAAAATGGCAGAATTAATAAAAAAAATCACAAAACAAATATTTGCTGTCTTAAAGAGACTCACCTAACTCATAAGGATTCATATAAACTCAAGGTAAAAGGGTAGAAAAATATCTTACACACAAATGGAAACCAAAAGTGAGCAGGAGTAGCTATTCTTATATCATAAAACAGAGTTGAAAGCCACAACAGTAAAAAAAGACAAAGGAGGTCATTATATTATGATTAAAACATCAATCAAACAAGAAGATATTACAATACTAAATTTATGTGGACCTAACATTGGAGCTCCAAGATTTATTTACACATTTACTACTAGACCTAAGAAATGAGATAGACAGCAACACAATAACAGTGGAAGGCTTCAACACTCCACTGACAGCAGTAGACAGATCATCCAGACAGAAAGTCAACAAAGAAACAATAAACTTAAACTACACTTTAGAACAAATGGATCTAACATATTTACAGAACATTCTACCCAAGAACTGCAGAATATACGGTCCTCTTATCAGCACATGAAACATTATCCAAGATACACCGTATGATAGGCCACAAAAAAGTCTCAACAAATTTTTTAAAATTGATCAAGTATCTTATATTTAAAAATTATATCAAGTATCTTCTCAGACCACAATGGAATAAAACTAGAAATCAACTACAAAAGGAACCATGAAAACTATCCAAATACATGGAAATTAATCTGCTCCAGAATGGGTTTTGGGTTAACAATGAAATCAAGATTGAAATAAATAGTGACACAAGTTACCAAAACATCTGGGATACAGCAAAAGCAATGCTAAGAGGAAAGTTTATAGTACTAAGTGCCTATATCAAAAAGTCTGAAAGATCACAAATTGACAACCTAATGTCACACCTCAAGGAACTAGAGGAAAAAAAGAACAAACTAAACCCAAAGCTAGAAGAAGAAAGGAAATAACAAAGATCAGAGTAGAACTAGATGAAATTGAAAGAATCACAGTACAAAAGATCAATGAAACAAAAGCCTGGCTCTTTGAAGAGATAAATTAGATGATTAGCTAGATTAACCAAAAAAAGAGGAGAGAAGATTCAAATAAAACACAATTAGAAATGAAATTGGAGACATTGTAACTAATACTACAGAAATACAAAAGACCATTAGAGACTACTATGAACACCTCTATGCACATAAACTAGAAAAGCTAGAGGAAATGGACAAATTCCTGGAAACATACAACCCTTCTAGATTAAATTAGGAAAAAATAGAAACCCTGAACAGAGTAATAACAAGCAGTGAGATTAAATCAGTAATTTTAAAAAATTGCCAACAACAACAACAACAACAAAGCCCAGGGCCAGACAGATTCACAGCTAAATTCTACCAGACAATCAAAGAATTGGTGCCAATCCTACTGAAACTATTCCAAAAGATTGAGGAAGAGGGAATCCTCCTTAACTCATTCTATGAAGCCAGTATCACCCTGATACCAAAATCAGAAAAGGCTATAACAGAAAAAGAAAAGTATAGATCAATATCCCTGATGAACATAGATGAAAAATCCTCCACAAAATTCTAGCTAACCAAATCCAGCAGTGCATCAAATAGATAGAATAATACACCATGATTAAGTGGGTATCATCCTAGGGATGCAAGCATGGTTTAACATATGCAAGTCAATAAATGTGATATATAACATAAAGAGTTAAAAATAAAACCCATATGATCATTTCAACAGATACAGAAAATGCATTTGATAAAATCCAGCATCCTTTGTAATAAATATCCTTAACAAATTAAGCATAGAAGGGACTTACCTCAAAATAATAAAAGTCACATATAGCAAACACAACCAACATCATACGAAATAGGGAAAAGTTGAAAGCATTCCTCCTGACAACTGGAACAAGACAAGGATGCCCACTTTCACCACTTCTGGTTAACATTTTACTGGAATTCCTAGCCAGAGCAATTAGGCAAAATAAGGAAATAAAGAGCATTCAAACTGGAAAACAGGAAGTCAAAACCTAGGAAAAACTCTTCTGGACATTGGCCTAGGCAAAGAATTCATGATTAAGACCCCAAAAACAAATGCAAAAGAAACAAAAATAAATTAATGGGACCTAATTAAACTAAAAAGATCCTGTACAGCAAAAGAAATAATTATCAGAGTAAACAGATAACCCACAGAATGGGTGAAAAGAATTGCAAACTATGCATTGACAAAGAACTAATATCCACAATCTACAAGGAACTCAAACAAATCAGCAGGAAAAACATAATCTCATCAAAAAGTGGGCAATTGGCATGAATAGACATTTATCAAAAAAGAAAATATACAAATGGCCAATAAACATAAGAAAAAATGCTCAATATTACTAATTATCAGTGAAATGCAAATTAAAACCATAGTGAGATACTACCTTACTCCTGGAAGAATGGCCATTATTAAAAAGTTAAAAAACAATAGACATTGATGTGGATGTGGTAAAAAGAGATTGCTTAATACACTGCTGATGGGAATGTAAATTACTACAACTTCTATGGAAAACAGTATGGAGATTTCCAAAAGAATTGAAAGTAGATCTACCATTCGATCCAGAAATTCCACTACTGGGTATCTACCCAAAGGAAAATAAATCATTGTAAAAACAAACAGACAAAACACCTGCACATGTATATTTACTGCAGCACAATTCACAGTTGCAAAGATATGAAACCAACCTCAGTGCCCATCAACTGATGCGTGTATAAAGAAAATGCGGTATATATACACAATTGAATACCACTCAGCCATTAAAAAGAAGGAAATAACATCTTTTGCAGTAACTTGGATGAAGCGGGAGACCATTATTCTAAGTGAAGTAACTCAGGAATGGAAAACCAAATGCCGTATGTTTTTTAAAATTATTATTTCAATAATTTTGGGGGAACAGGTGGTATTTGGTTACAGGGATACATTCTTTAGTGAGGATATTTGAGATTTTGGTGCACCCATCATCTGAGCAGTGCACATTGCACCCAATGTGTAGTATTTTAACCCTCACTCCCCTCCCACCCTTTTCCCTGAGTCCGTAGAGTCCATTATGTTATTTTTATACCTATGTCCTCATTGTTTAGCTCCCCAGTTATAAGTGAGAACATAGAATGTTTGATTTTCCATTCCTGAGTTACAAGTTACTTTGCTTAGAATAATGGTCTCCAACTTCATCCAGGTTACTGTGAATGGCATTATTTTGTTTCTTTTTATGGCTGAGTAGTATT
Source organism: Homo sapiens (assembly GCF_000001405.40). NCBI lineage: Eukaryota > Metazoa > Chordata > Mammalia > Primates > Hominidae > Homo > Homo sapiens. The sequence goes on from NC_000006.12 coordinate 25,807,824, forward strand.
CCATAATATATATATCACCACATTTTCTTTATCTACTTACTGTTTGATGGGCATTTAGGCTGGTTCCATATTTTTGCAATTGCGAATTGTGCTGCTATAAACATGCATGTGCAAGTGTCTTTTTCATATAATGACTTCTTTTCCTCTGGGTAGATACCCAGTAGTGGGATTGCTGGGTCAAATGGTATTCTACTTCTAGTTCTTTAAGGAATCTCCACACTGTCTTCCATAGTGGTTGTACTCGTTTACATTCCCACCAACAGTGTAAAGGTGTTCCCTTTTCACCACACCCATGCCAACATCTATTATTATTTTGTTTTTTAATTATGGCCATTCTTGCAGGAGTAAGGTGGTATCACATTGTGCTTATGATATGCGTTTCCCTGATTATTAGTGATGTGGAGCATTTTTTCTTATGTTTGCCACCAAATGCCATATGTTTTTCACTTATAAGTGGGAGCTAAGCTATGGGTATACAAAGGCATACAGAGTGATATAATGAACTATGGAGACTGAGAGGGGAGAAAATGGGAGGACGGGCAAGGGATAAAAAAAACCACCTATTGGGTACAATGTACACTATTCCCCTGATGGATGCACTAAAATCTTAGACATCACCACTGTCAATTCATCCATGTAATTAAAAACCACTTGTATTCCAAAAGCTATTGAAAAAAGAAGAATTTTTTTTAAAAAAATTCAGAGTTAACAAGGAACTCCAACTTAACAACAACAAAATATAAATAACCACATTAAAAAAGTGGAAAAAAGACATAAATAGACATTTTCAAAAGAAGACATACAAATGGACAATAAGCATATGAAAAAACTTTCAACATCACTAATCCTCAGAGTAGTGCAAATTAAAACCACGATGAGATAACATCTTGTACCAGTCAGAATGATTATTATTAAAGTCAAAAACCAACAGATGTTGATGAGGTTGCACAGAAAAAGCAATGCTTATACACTGTTAGTGGAAATGTAAATTAGTACAACCTCTATGGAAAACAGTATAGAGATTTCTCAAAGAACCACAAATAGAACTACCATTAGATCCTGCAATTCTGTTACTGGGTGTCTACTCAAAGGAAAAGATATTATTGTATCAAAAAAGATATCTGCACTCATGTGTTTATTGCAACACTATTCACAGTAGCAAAGACATCAGCCTAAGTGTCCATCAACAGATGATTGGATGAGGAAAATGAGGTTCATATGCACAATGGAATACTACTCTGCCATAAAAAAGAATGAAATCATGTCTTTTTCAGCAACATGGATGGAAATAAAGGCCCTTGTCTTAAGTGAAACAACTCAGAAACAGAAAACCAAATACTGCAAGTTCTCAGTTATAAAGTAAGAACTAAATAATGTATACACATGGACAGAGTGTAGAATAACAGACATTAGAGACTTGGAAGAGTGGGAGGAGGGTGAGGGTTAAAAAATTACTTAATAGGTATGATGTATATTATTCAGGTAATGGTTACCCTAAAAACCCAAACTTCACCACTACATAATATATTCACTTAACAAAACTGTATTTGCATGCCTTAAATTTATACAAAAGCAAGCAACTTTTAGCAACGCTTTTGAGAGCTTGGATTTAAGAAAGAAAAAGATTTTTAAAAACTCTCCCTAGTTACAGTGAACTATCCACACACACACACACAAAATCAATGAAACAATCCCATATATAATAGTTACAAGAAAAAAATTCTTAAAATAAATTTAACTGAATAGGTGAAAGACCACAATGAAAACTAAAATGTTGGTGGAAGATATTGAAGAAGACACAAACAAATGTAAAGATATCCTGTGCTTATGGATAGGAAGAATTAATGTTGTTAAAATGTCTGTACGATCCAAAGCAATCTAAAGATTCAATGCAATCCTTATCAAAATTCCCATGACATGTTTCGCAGAAATAGAAAAACATCTTACAATTTCTATGGAAGTACAAAAGGTCCCAAATAACCAAAGTAATCTTAAACCAAAATAACAAAACTGGAGGCAGCACACTATCTGACTTCAAAATATACTTCAAAGTTTTAATAATAAAAATAACATGATACTAGAATGAAAATAGATACATAGACCAATGGAGCAGAATAGAGAGTCCAGAAATAAATCCAACATTTAGGGTGAATTGATTTTTGACAGAGGTGCCAAGAACACAACATGAGGGAAGGATGGTGTCTTCAATAAATGCTGTTGGGACAACTGGGTATCCACATGCAGAAGAATGGAATTACACTCATCGCGTGCCTTATATAAAAATCAACTCAAAATGGATTAAAGACTTAAACATAAGACCTGAAACTGTAAAACTACTAGAAGAAAACAGGGGACAAGCTCTATGACTTTGACCTGGGCAATGATTTTTTTGGTTAGGATCACAAAAGCACACGCAATGAAAGCAAAGACAGACAAATGGGATTATATCAAACTAAACAGCTTCTGCACAGGAAAAGAAACAATCAACAGACTGAAGAGGCAACCTGAAGAATAGGAGAAAATATCTGTAGACTATACATATAATAAGCGGTTAATATCCAAAGAATACAAGGAACTCAAACTCAATAACAAGAAAACAACCCAATTAAAAAATGGGCAAAGGACCTGAATAGACATTTCTCAAAAAAAGATATACTATCAACAGGTATATGAAAACAATGCCCAACACCACTAATCATCAGGGAAATTCAAATTAAAACCACAATGAGATATCCCCCTACACCTGTTAGAGTGTCTGTTATCAAAAATACAAAAGGTAAGTGTTGATGGGGATGTGGAAAAAAGGGGAACTTTTGCATACCATTGGTGGGAATGTAAATTAGTACAGCTGTTACGGAAAACAGTATGGATGTTCCTCAAAAAATTAAAAGTATAACCACTATATGATCCAGCAATTCCACTCCTGGGTGTCTATCCAAAGGAAATGAAGTGAGAATGTCAAAAGAGATATCTGCACTACCACGTTCATTGCAGCATTATTCACAATAGCCAAGACATAGGATCAACCTAAGTGTCCATCAGCAGATGAATGGCATAACAAACATGTGGTATATATACACAATGGGATACTATTGAGCCTAAAAATGAAGGAAATCAAGTCATTTGTGACAACTTGAATGAACCTGGAGGACATTAAGTGAAATAAGTCAGACACAGAAAGACAAACACTGCATGATCTCACTTACATGTGGAATCTTACAAAATTGGACTTAGAATTAGAGTAGAATAGTGATTACCAGGCACTGGGAGTGAGATGTTAGCCAAAAGATACCAAATTTTATTTATATATGAGGAATAAGCTTAAGAGATCTATTGTATAACACAGTGACTACAGTATAAAACAATGTATTATATTCTTGAAAATTCCTAAGAGTAAATTTTGTGTTCCCACACACACAAAAATGCTAAGTGTGTGAGGTAATGCATATGTTACTTTGCTCGATTTTAGCCATTCCACAAAGTATCCATATTTTAAATCATCATGTTGTGCACAATAAATATATACAATATTTATTTGTTAAAGGTTAAAAAAAAGCGTATAAACAAATCCTACCTGGGAGCAATATCCAAGCCATTTATAAACACTCCACCCAAGCAAAAGCTGCCTGTTGCACCAGCAAGTATTAGGAAAATGACAATGCTGTAGAAGGTGGAACTCAGGTAAGGCAGGCAGACACCAAAGATTGCAGGAAGGAGAAATCCTGGGGAGTGATTCAGACAACATAGTCAGGTGCATCCTAAAGATAGGGGAGAAGTATCTCCCAAGTGCTTAAATGTTCTGGCTGTTGCTTACCTGCTGCTGTGAAGAGTTTCCGGACAGCAATTACGCTGAGAATATTCCTGGTCAGGAAGAAGTCTGATAACTGACCTGCTAGGTTACCACAGATCCAGGCAAACAAATAGGGAAGGGAAGACAAGAACCCATTCTGAAGAGGAAACATTATTCTTGGAGTGAGTTTGATGGGTAAAGCAGTACTGACACACAGAGTAATCCCTATGCTAAAATTTATTATCTAAAATGTGTACTTTCATATAGGAAATCATCAACATACAACAACAGAATTACTGCTGGGACCACATTACCCAAAAGAAAGAGAAAAATAGCTTTGAGGTCAGTAATATTTGTCATAATCTGTCAAATCTTCCAATTTCAGTATCATGAAACGTAAAAGCACTGGATAATAGAGGAGGAAGACTACATTGGGAATAGGAAATACCGGCCCTGGGGAAAATGATAGGATAAAGATGACAATTACAGACATGCGTATGGTGCTTACACTGGACCAGCTGCTACCAGTCCTTGCAGCAACTTCAGGGTTTCATGAAGTATAAAATTGAGTCAGAGAGAGTTTATAAGACCTTACTGGTATGCCAGCCCCTAGGCTGGTTTACTGGAAGCTCATTACAGAATGCGGCAAAGTGGTAAGCCCAGACAGACTCCATTTCTAAAGGAGTCTTGTCTTGTCTGGTTATTATGGTATTGAACAATAGGAGTTTGCCCGTATCAGTGATTCTCCAAGCCAGATGAGCAATGGGTATGCCAGTCCTTCCAAAGTAAGACTTGAGTCTTGGCTTCATAGCCCAGACTCATTGCCTTACTTTGGAGAGGATTGGTAAAAGCTTGGCAGAGTGACAGGGCCTGGCTAAGTGACTTTCATAGGAGGCCCCCAGTCCCTGCAGGGAATGGTGGTGTTGAGCCTTAAGTAATATACAAAGGGAGTCACATAGTCAATGGGAGATGGCAAATGTGCGGAAATATAGATGCATGTGTGCTGTTGCTGGAGTGCCAGACACTTATGTCTACATCAATGCCTTCTGTTTTGGGCAATGTTCATAGAAAGAGCAGAAACAGTTAGTTTCCAGGTGAAGAGCAGTAGCCAGATAGTGTGAGGAGCTGGCAAGAGCTGCGACTAGGGTCGTTAGAGACAGACAAATGTACACAGAGTCTTTCGTGAAGTTAAAAAAAAGAACAAATAGTATACTTACCTCTTTTATATTAACATGAAGCATGGAGTTGATAAACATTGGAGTGTATAGTGTCATGATGTTATGTGACCAGAAAAACGTAAAACTACCAGTGGAAATAGCCCAGACTGGAAGCGACTTAAGTATAGCCTTGATAGGCAGAGATTGTCTACTTGAACTGACCTGGAGAGAAATTCATTAAGAATTAGCACATTAGAACAAACTGGAACATGTTTAGTTTGGAGTAGAATCTGGGAGATGCCAATATGGAGAACTGTGTTCTACCTGCTGGACCAGGGAGGATGTGATGTATTCCTTTTCACTGATGCTTATACATGGGTGGTCTTTGGGGTCATCATAAAACAGAACGAACCAGAGAAGACATACGGCACAGCCACAAGCACCTATCAAAGCAGGGTAAGTTAGAATTGGAAGTCTCTGTTTGTAGTGGATCTCTTTCCCAGAATGGCATTTTTCAATGTATCAGTCTGAGAAACTGGACCTCCTCTTTCTTTTTTGAAACTTTTCAACAAGACTTGTGTTTTTCAGTCCTCCTTTTATCCACAGGGACCCCTCCCTACTAGAAATGGGATAAGGCCTATGCCCTTTCCTGATCTCCTATCCTCTGCTCCCTCCACTCCTGACAGCTGGACCTCCCTGCCCTCAGGCCCTCATCTTTTCAAATTCCTCATGTGTTCCACCATAAGAGGATGGCACAGCTGAGCCTGCACAGGGCTTGACAATTGCCCAGTTGTTTTGTTTTGTTTTGTTTTTAATGTTTAAGTTCAGGGATACAAGTGCAGTTTATTTATATAGGTAAACTTGTGTCATATGGGTTTATTGTACAGATTATTTCATCACCCAGGTATTAAGCCTAGTATCCATTAGTTATTTTTCCTGATCCTCTCCCTCTTCCCACCCTCTACCCAGTGGTAGAAGGTGTTCCCCTCAGTGTGTGTTGTTCCCCTCTACGTGTTCACGTGTTCTCATCATTTAGCTCCCACTTACAAATGAGAACATGCGGTATTTAGTTTTCTGTTACTGTGTTAGTTTGCTAAGGAGAATGGCCCCCAGCTCCATCCATTTCCCTGCAAAGGACACGATCTCCTTCTTTTTATGGCTGCATAGTATTCAATGGTGTATATGTACCATATTTTGTTTATCCAGTCTATCATTGATGGGCATTTAGGTTGACTCCATGTCTTTGCTATTATCACCCAGTTTTGACAGCTTAGCCTCAGCTATGTTCCTGAGATACAGCCCAGGCTTCAGGGATTATTGGAGTTCTATAAGAGTTTGACAAATTGTTTCTATGAGTTTTTTATATGAATAATTTGACTGTGAGGAATTCTCTGCTGGGACAGAAAGTATATAGTGCTCATCAGTCTTCCAGAAGACTTGCATTCATTTGACAAATATTGATTAAGTGCTGATTATTTACCATGCACCTATTTTAAGTACTGGGGATACAGCAGTGAATAAAACAGACAAAAGGCCCTGCCTTTATGGAGTTGACTTTGTAGTGGACAAAAAAGAAAAAAATTATTTTATTCAATCAACTTCCCAAAAATTCATATAATACTGTTTATTATCTCTTTTTCAAAATGAGCAAACTGAGACTCAGAAAGATCAAATTATTTGTGGGACACAAATGTTAGTGAGTGGTAGTTTACCCATAAGCATGAATTATATTGTCCAGGGAGAAACTACACCCCTAGATGGCGAGGCTGGGGTGCTGGAAATAAAAATACTATAATAGAAATAAAGAATGCCTTTGATGCATCAGTAGACTAGACATGACCAAGAAAAAATCAGTGAGCTTGATAAAATGGCTATAGAAATTTCTAAAACTGAATTGCCAAGACAGAAAAAAGAACTAAAAAGACAGAATGGGCTGGGCATGGTGGCTCACGCCTGTAATCCCAGCACTTTGGAAGGCCGAGGCGGGCGGATCACGTGAGGTCAGGAGTTCATGACCAGCCTGGTCAACATGGTGAAGCCCCGTCTCTTCTAAAAATACAAAAAAATTAGCCGGGCGTAGCTATGTGCCCCTGTAATCCCAGCTACTCAGGGGGTTGCGGCAGGAGAATCGCTTAAATCCAGGAGGCTGAGGTTGCAGTGAGCTGAGATACTGCCATTGCACTCCAGGCTGGCCGACAAAAGCAAGACTCTGTCACACAAACACACACACACACACACACACACACACACACACACACACAAAGAATGAAATATCTAAGAACTGTAGGACAATTATAAAAGCTGTAATATACATGTAATAAAAAAAATCACAAGGTGTGATATACATGTAAAGAAACATACTGGAAGGAAGAAAGAAAGAAATAGAGAAAGAGAGAAAGAGAAAAAAAAGAAAAAAGAGAAAGAAAGGAAGAAAGAAAAAGCAAGGAAGGGAGGGAGGTAGCAAGGGAGGGAGGAATGAAGGGAGGGAGGGAGGGGAAAGAAAAAAATTAGAAAAAATATTTAAAGCAATAATTACTGAGAATTTCTTAAAATTAATAATAAACCTCAAACCACAGATATAGGAAGCCCAGAGAATGCCAAGAATAAATAAAAAAAAAAGTTACAACCTGACATGTTGTAACCAAATGACCCCAGTTTTTTAAGAAAACGGGAATGAAGTACTATTTTTTGTTTTCTGAGACGAATTACTATTTTTTAAAGCTTTCTCTTCTTTTCCCCTTTCCCCTTTTCCTCTTGCTCCTCATTTCCAACTTAGCCCTTCAGAAATGCAAATACAACGTTTCACCTCCTCCCCTCACCAGACATTCGCTATAGGAAAAATTCTCCTAACTACGTGCTTCAAGACACAGCTCTCCTCCAGAGCTGACAGTCAATTTGCAGACCAAATTGCCAGGGAACTTTCATCTCTAGGGCGTGGCCTCGGAACTTCCACTCTCCAGGAGTGGTCTTGGAACTTTCTTCCACCTGGAGAGCATATTGAAAACATGCCCTTTTTGGTCACTTTTTCAATCTACTTCTGTCCATGTAAGTGCTACCTCAACTGTGCAGTAGATAACTGCCCGGTAGCAAGGGGACCCCTGCCCTTGCTCATTTCCTCCCCTACCATATGAAAATGCTTACTTTTTTTTTTTTTTTTTTGCCACTTCAGCTCCAAAGGTGAAACGGCACAGTTAAAAGCAAGAAATTTTGTGTCCCTTCCCCAAGCTAGCTTTGGAATAAATCCACTTTTCTTGTACCAGACCCCACTCTTGTTAATTGGACTCTACATGTGGTAAGCAACTAACTTGATTTTCGGTTACAATATAATATTCAACTTCAGTAAATCAAAGACAATTTTGAAAGAAGCCAAAGGGAAAAAAATGACCTGAAGAGTCCTGTTTAAATTTAGAATTCTGAACACAAATCTCTGGCGACTAGACTGAAGCTTGACCTATTCCTACCCAGACCCATTCCCACCTCACTAGGTACTTTGAATGGATATATGTGGAAACTCTTGGCTTCCCCATTGTGCACCATTCATATCTTATGCAAATAGTGCCTCCTACCTCCCTTGGTCACTCCCCAGTTGAATGGATGTTGGGAAGAGCCCTGCTGGTCTTTTCCAATATAACCAATAGCCTTGGTTCTATTTAAGCAAGACATTCCAGGCATGATGATTAGAAGCAGAGCCATGGGCTCTACTGAGCCTACTGTCTTGGCACCTGCCCTATGAAGACAGCCTAGCTAGAGAGGGGCTAGAATGGGCTATCCACAGTGTGGAATCTAGGGCAAGCGCCCTCTGGCCTGGGCCTCAGGGCAGCGGTGACAGAAGCCATAAGTGATCTTGGCAATAGCTGTGTTTGATGCCACATACACTAGTCAGATGTGAGTTAAGGAGAGCGTGAGATGCTAGGAAATGTAGGCAATGGGTACAGACAGATTATGCAATGATTTCAATGGTCAAAGGGAGGTTACTTGAGACAGAAGACAGGGAAAGGGAATCATTTTAGAGATTTGAGAAGAGTTAAGAAGTTTGAAATAGTCTTTAGGAGACAAATATAGCAGGATGGCCAGGCCATTTTTTTTTTTTTTTTGAGACGGAGTTTCACTCTTGTTGCCTAGGCTGGAGTGCAATGGCACGATCTTGGCTCACTGCAAACTCTGCCTCCCGGATTCAAGTGATTCTCCTGCCTCAGCCTTCCGAGTAGCTGGGATTATAGGTGCCTGCCACCACGCCCAGCTAATTTTTTGTATTTTTAGTAGAGATGGGGTTTCACCATGTTGGCCAGGCTGGTCCCGAACTCCTGACTTTAGGTTATCCACCCACCTCAGCAACCCAAAGTGCTGGGATTACAGGCGTGAGCCACTGTGCCCAGCTGGCCAGGCCATTTTAAGTGCAAATGTAAGTCTGTGACTCAATTTACTCTACTTGGTAATCTCCAGCAATTATCAGCTGCTTAAATACAGTTATTGTCGTATTCTTTAAAACAGTATCTATTCAGATTTGTTCAACTTTATTGGCAAGAATATTCCAATGGAATTTTAAAACAATCTTGGTTTTAGTTTTCCCTCTGCCACTAACGAACAGGTCGTTTGACATACGTGGACATCATGTAATTTATAGTAAAAAGGTTGTGGGAGGCAGATACCTAAATTCCTAAACAGCTGTCATCTAATCCCTTTTCCTCAATTCTTAGTGATAAGGAAAAAACATGTGAGGGACTTCACAGTAAAGCTATTATCATAGTACAATGTGTAGTTGTGTAACACCTTCGTTTGAGTTTCATGAAACCACCCATGATAAC